>NC_000002.12:152944163-153247193 GCF_000001405.40 Homo sapiens
TCAGATTAAAATTAAGTAGACTCTGACAATCACGAAGAATGCTTCTGGAGACCTAAGCAATCAGTATAGGTTCATTCCAGTGAGCTTGCATCTGAGGGTGATGTCAACCAACTCCTGCTTTTATAACTAACATGAGCATGTTTCTTTATCCAACATGAGTCACCTTCTAAGATTGATGTAGTTACAGATTGCCTCTGTAACTAACACAATGTCCCTGCTCTCCAATCCTCCTTTATTAAAATTCTATGTAATATCAGCAGTTTGCTTAGTTCTGTGAGACTTTGCCCAATCAGTAATGCTCTCCATTCTTAAGGAGAACAATAAATTAATCTTTGCAGCTTTTATTTTTGTTTCAGAGTTTGAATGGTGGTCTCACCTCTTGATAGATAACAGTATACGTCAACACCTTTTTTTTTTAGTGAAAGTAACAAAGTTGTTCAACTTCTCAGATCAATTATTTGTTGGGAATAAATTCACATACCAAAGGATGGGTTTATTACATAACTAAACCCTTCTTACCAAAAATAAGTTTCACTGGATTGTCACATTAATAAACAGTGAGAAATTTAAACCTTTATTCTCTTTGTAACAGCATGGAATGTGTTTCATTGATGTATAACATCCATTTTATATAGTTTACATGTGACATCAGCCTCTTGAAGTAGAACACTAACAAATCTGACATGTTTGAAGTGTGAAGAGCTAGGGGCTTAAAAATAAAACTTCCTGAGAAATTTCTAGGAGTAAGCTAAGAGTTGATGAGAGATGGATAGTGAATAGCAAGTAGGTCTGTTGGATGTTCTCCAATATGAGACTACACTGGGCCATTTCCATACCTTTCTCTATATATCCTAATAAGCCTAGCAACAGAAAGTGGATTGGAAGGGTATGTCTATAAGGGAAACTAATTTGGTGATGGGTTCTCCAATAAGCCACAGAGTGAAGCTTTTGATGGTGGTGATGGAGCTGGCAGGGAAGTGGCTTGATACCAGCCAGGACTGCGTTGGGATTATATTGCCAGTAGAGATGGGATCATGATAGACTGGAAGAAATGTAAAAGACTTGGTGATTACGGGTCTTTATACAGGTTGGGTGCAGTGGCTCATGCCTGTAATCCCAGCACTTTGGGAGGTCGAGGTAGGTGTGTCACTTGAGGTCAGGAGCTTGAGACCGGCCTGGCCAACATGGTGAAACCATATCTCTGCTAAAAATATAATAGCCGGGTGTGGTGGTGCGTGCCTATAACCACAGCTACTCAGGAGGCTGAGGCACGAGAATCACTTGAACCCAGGAAGCAGAGGTTGCAGTGAGCCAAGATCATGCCACTGCATTCCATCCTGGGTGACAAAGTGAGACTCTGTCTCCAAAAAAAAAAAAAAAGATGAAGAAAAAAAGTTTTTATAAGAACCAAGTGCTGATGTGATTGGAGGGGAGAAGAAAGACAAATGGCCAGATTGTGATCAGGAAGGAGAGAATGCTAAGGTAAGGATCTCAGATATATTACCTTCAAGTCAAAAATATTTTTTGAAACTTAGTGGTGTATTATGTGATGGTCATTTTGCCAGATGCAGTGGGCAGTACAAAAATGAGTAAGATACAGCTTCTGCTCTCATGGAACTTACAGTCTTGTGGGCCTTTATAGGCTTCATGATGGGCTTTATGATGAGGATGTTCAGAGGTGTTTGTGGCTGGTTTGTGAAGGAGGCCATCAAAGCCTAGAGGAAATACATATTGTGAGGTCCATAAACCAGATGGGCATTAACATAAATGCTAAAGGCTGAAGAAAGGCAGGGAATGGGAACTAAAGAGAAATGGAAATGCCATACAGCACCAAAATGTAGAAGACAGTTATGACTTGCTTCTTTCTTTTTTCTTTCTTTAGGATTATTTAGTAGGGGACAGGAAGTGGGGAACCACATGGGAACCCACAGCAGATGACAGAAAATTTTTAGAGAAATAAGATTTACTTTTGATATATTTTAGATATTTGTTCCCTGCAAATCTTGTGTTGAAATGTGATCCCAATTTTGGAGGTGGGGCCTGGTGGGAGGTATTTGGGTCATGGTGGAGGATCCTTTATGAATGGCTTGGTGCCCTCCTTGGATTAATGAGTGAGTTATTGCTTTATTAATTCAGGTGAGAGCTGGTTGTTTAAAAAAGCCTGTTACACCTTCCCTTCCTCACTCCCTCTCTTGCCATGTGATGGCCTGCTCCCCCTTCGCCTTCTGCTATGATTGGAAGCTTCCTGAGGCCCTCCCAGAAGCAGATGCCAGTGGTACACTCCTTGTACAGCCTGCAGAGCCCAAGTATACCTCTTTTCCTTGTAAATTACCTAACCACAGATATTGCTTTATAGCAACCCAAAATAGATTCAGACAAAATTTATGAGGAGAGGTGGGTCTGGCTAATTATTATATAATTACATTGTTACTCAAGATATTAAAGGCCACATAAATTGCCTGAAAATGTGAACTCACACTTGAAAATTTGAGGCTTTCTTTTAGAGGGAACACGTACATATCAAAAAATTGTTAGCAGCTGCCCAATATCTTCTGACCATTTTTCAGTATCTCATGCCAAGCCTAAGCATAAAATGTCTGGAGAATAATGCAGTATTAAATGATTATTTGGTATATGGATCAACTCTAGGAAAAAATATAATTTTAGAGAGGTTAGATGATAATATTAAAGATAAATCAGTAAAATCAAGACCAAAAGCCTGACCTTGGACTGAATTTGGGGGTAAAGTTGTAAAATTCAAGATTTCTTGTTGTGCTTAATCCTCTTAAGCCAAACGATTACACTTTGTAACCAGAATCATCAGTAATTTATCCACAGTATCCTCGTGGCTCTAATTTATGCTGCAGACCTCATCTGCACTGCTTGGTTTGGTTTTAACAAAATGCCTTTTTTTCCAATGTACATAGTTAGATTTTATATGATTATTATAGGGAAGCTTGTTAGCAGCAAGGGAGTGCAGAGATGAAAGCATGTGTTCTCAGATGGGCTGTCTTTCTGAATGCTGTTTGCTGGAAGGTAGCAGTTACCGAAGGAAACAATGGCTGCTGCTAAAGAGTCTGAAGGGGTCTGAGGGCTTTTCAGAGCACACGCTGATGGGCATGGAGTGAATAGTTGTCGGTGGGTTTAATCCTAATTTGTCACCAACTCAGAGCCTGGATAGCTCACAATAGGAGATGACAGGTGTGTTAAAGCATGAGGCAAGTGTGTAACTTGGCTTTGTACAGAGGCCACAAAATGCTGGTTAACTTGGATATTGCTATGCCCTTCCTTTTACCTGAACACCTGCTTTCCTTCACAAGGTAACCAACCTCATGGGGTTTCAGTCCTCGGTGAAATTTTTTTAAGGGGCATATTTACATCATTCCTTTGTACTTAACTTGGGTCATGTGTGGTGGCATCTGTTGGATGCATTTGTGATGGGGCCAAGTAGGAGACAGTATACCCACAGTTTTCTCATTTAATTATAAGGGAAAAAGCAGATTATCCTTGTATCACGTTTTGGTATCAGGGCATTTCTAGCATCCAGCACTGCATGTGATGCAGTTAGGCTCATATGGATACGTGGCAGGAGGAAGATGCCCAAGGCAGATGGAAATTGAAAACAATATTACAGGCAGAGCCAAGCCAGTGGCACATCATTTTTGGAAACACTGAAATATTAAACAGAGATTTCGCTTGGGCAGCAGGTTGGCTGTGCATGGTCTTTTCTGATGGTTTATGTAGCAATTAAAAAAAGAAGAAAAAGTAGAAAACATACTGAGTAAGTGACATAAATAAAGGATAAGAATTAGCTAAGAAAGGAGGTGACATTACATGTATTTGCTTACTTGTCCAAGGGTGTTTGGAAGCACATCTTGGCTTTAATTGGGATACCAATACCATAATTTAAAGCTTAGATTGCCTGTGCCAAATCCTAGGACTGCATAGGCATTCTTCTGCTTTCACTGTGAGTAGGTTTATAAGATATGTTGACTGCACCTACAGGAGTTATAAAACTAAGTGAAGATAAATGACTTGATTAGATACAAACAAATATATGTTGCATGCTCTTGGAAAAGCACACAATTCCTTTTCAAGAGGGACGTCATGGAAAGGAGAGGGGTTTGAAAAGTAATTTGGGGTTTGAGTAATTTGCTTTATTTTACATAGTACTCCTCAAAGCCCACCTGGGCCAAAAATAAAGAGGTGCTTTTTCTTTTAATTTCCTCTAAAGTGTTGATGACATGAGGGTGCAGGCTTTCATCAACATAACCTGTTCCCTAATTTTTACCCATTGCTTTTCACTGGGGAAACATCAATAGAAAAACAAACAATTTTGTATTTTCTCCTTAGAATATTCTGTGAGAACTAAGACCATTCCAGTTTTCTTCCCTCTGACGTCTCTTATTTTGTACATGGTCTAGCTAATCCACTATTAAGTTTAGCAAGAAAACGGCATTAAGGTATTTATTTATTTATTTATTCTGAAGAATAGAGTGAGATATCACACGTTTACTTTTCAAACTACAGAGGGATTAAAAAAATGGATAAATCTTCTTGGAATTAGGTCTTTCAGTAAGGTAAGAGCTTTCATTAAATACTGACATATACTGAAGTGCAGCAGCTCCCGATCTTTTTGGCACCAGGGACCGGTTGTGTGGAAGACAATTTTTCCATAGACTGGCTGGTGGGGGATGGTTTCAGGATGAAACTGTTCCACCTCAGATCATCAGGCATTAGTTAGATTCTCATAAGGAGCGTGCAACCTGGATCCCTCGCATGCACAGTTCACAATAGGGTTTGTATTCCTATGAGAATCTAATGCCACTGCTGATTTGACAGGAGGCAGATGGAGCTCAGGCAGTAATGCTCATTCCCCTGCAGCTCACCTCCTGCTGTGCAGCCTGGTTCCTAACAGGCCACAGACCAGTACCAGTCCGTGACCTGGAGGTTGGGGACCCCTGCTATAGTGTATGCTCTCTTGAATATTCCTGGGAGTTTCTAGAATTAGGCTTGTGAAGCTTGTATTCTTCTGTCTTCTTGTGCCACAATGAGTTCTTTTTTTAAAATTCATGTCACTTTATCTTTTAGTCAAAGAGAAATTGGGATTTTTCTACCTCGAAATGACAAATCAGACATAAAATTAGTAATTTTAAAAAATGATGTTCAGATGCAATAATATTTATTCTTCCTTTTAAGCAATTTTCTCTCTCACATAAATTCATTTGTTGTATAATCTAATAGTCTACAGTTAAAAAGTCTATATAGTCTAATGTACCAATTTTGGCAGTCTTCTAAGTCAGACATGAAGAAATTAGGGGGGAAGGAAGAGAGGGGGAGGGAACTCATATTTGTTGAGCACTGTGTTAATCAGAACTCTGGGTTGTAGATGCCAAAATCCAAGTCAAAATACACACACACACACACATACACACACTTTGTATGTGTACACAATATATACATTCGTCCTTCAGTATCCATGGGGGATTGATTCTAGGACTCCACACTGGTACTGAAATTCATGGATGCTCGAGTCCCTCATATAAAATGGTGTAGTGTTTGCATATAACCCATGCAAATCTTCCTTTATATTTTAAATAGTTTCTAGGTTACTTATAATGCCTAATACAATGCAAATGCTATGTAAATAGTTGTTGTATTGGTTAGGGAATGACAGGACAAAAAAATCTGTACATGTTCAGTACAGATGAAACCATTCCTTTTTTTTTCAACTATTTTTGATCCATAGTTGGTGGAACCCAAGGATGCAAAACCCATGGATATGGAGTAGTCACTATACATGTAAACTAGTTAATCAAGACTTAGTTGACCAAGAAATTCAAGAGGAGAATCTGGCATCAAGCATGCTGTATATAGAAGTATAACTAACATCATGAAGGATCTGAGTCTTTTGTTCTGTCTCCTGAGTCTGCTTTTCTTTGAGCCAGCTTCATTCATAGGTAGGGTCTTCAAATGTAGAGGTGAGGCTGGCCACCAGCATCTCTAGACATACATTATTCTTAAAGCTATCATCTCTTTCCTTGTAGCTCAGCCAAGGCCTTGCCAATGACCTTAATTGGACTGACTTGGATTACGTGGTCATTCCTGACTCAATTCATTCCTGACTCAATTCCTGTGGCCAGGCCTGAATTATATGCCCATACCTAGGGGTATCAGGACCAAGGACAGCAGCGTTGCTTTTCCCAAAGAGATTCTGATTCTAGCCAAACATAAACCCATGTCCACTAAAGTTCCTATATAAATCATGCCTGTAACAGTAGCTTGCAACTTTCTAGAAACTGTAGGTGGAACATAAAACAAGTTTGTTTTTCAGTCCTACATATAGATTGAATCATGGGTCTAATGTTTTAAAACTACAGTGTAATGATTTCAGCAAATCTTTACAGGGCCGATGCTTTATTTAGCTATTCATTTAGAAGTCTAATATTTCTCAAAGGATTTTAATCACCAAAAATTAGATTAGATGAGGAAACAAAGAGAAGACACAGGCAAATTTATTACTTTTTTTCTGGGCTCCCCCAACCCCCTTCCACTTGAAGTGCTGCTTCAAATAGGTATTTGTGTGGCCATCTATAAAGCAGCAACCTTTCAGATTGGCAATAGACATGACAAAGTAGCATAAACAACTTATCTGCCAACTATTGATTGATAGATATTTGCTTATTTATATAATTTAGTTATATAAATGTATTCAAAGTTATGATTTGACATTCTGCAATTCCAATCTATGGGTTCTGTATAGGGATTCTACTCTTATTCATCACCAATTCTAGTACATCTGAGTATAAATTGAATTATATTTGCTACTTTCTGGGATTTGTTTATACTTCTAATGTTGTGGTTACTCTATAATAATTTTAATTTGGTGACTCAGGTTCTTTTGGAGACAAAATAGAGTCTAAATGTGTCAACTGTTATTATTTGTTTATGGGTTTGTTCAACCACTAAACTTGAGCTTCAGGAGAGAAGATCCTGGGACTTTCTCATCTTTTTTAACCCCATGCTCATTAGAATAGTTGGCACAAGGTAGGAAATCAATGCATGCTGGCTGAATCACTGATTTCAAAGCCCTTAGAGAATTTGCTACTGAAAGAAACATTGGAAAAAAGTTTCAGTGAGTCTTCGAATAATCATTCTCTAAGTAATCTACTTTTAAAAGCTTGAGTATCTATTTACTGGATTCCTTTAAAGTAAGGTTTATACCCCACCACACAGCTAAAATTCTGTTAGAGCCTTTTTATTAATTGTTTACATGCAAAGTTGGATGAATTCTAACAAATGTTCAGAAATTACTATATATATATATGAAGATGAGTTAAGAAAACCCCAAATGTATGAAATTTCATTAAGAGTGGACAAGATCAGATATTGTAACAAAAATTGCATGTAGTAACTGCTCATTTGGAGTCCCCCTTTATCTACTGAAACAAAAAAAAAAAAAAAAAAAAAGAAGAGAAAAGTATCCCACTCTCCTGATGGAAAAATCCAGGTTCTGAAAGCAATAAATAGACTGCAGGACATCAGCTTTCTCAAGAAACAGAGACATACTTTGGTGAAATTTAAAACAAGGATCAGATGTGTTACTTCAGTAGTGTACGAAGCTGATATGCTCAAGATTTTAGATGTCTTTAAAACAAAAACCTTACCATGCCGATAGAGGCATTACATACAATAGTAGGTAACTTTCAATTTCCAAACTGAGATGGCTTAAATAATTCCTGTGCATAAAATATACATAATTATGCTCAAATAGCCACAACTACCTTTTCTTTTATGAGACAGAGGTTCACTCTTGTTGTCCAGGCTGGAGCGCCGTGCAGTCTCAGCTCACCGCAACCTCTGCCTCCCAGGGTTCAAGCGATTCTCCTGCCTCAGCCTCCTGAGTAACTGGGATTACAGGGCCCACCACCATGCCCAGCTAATTTTTTGTGTTTTTAGTAGAGACAGGGTTTCACCATGTTGGCCAGGCTGGTCTCGAACTCCTGACCTCAAGCAACCCACCTGCCTCAGTATCTGAAATTGCTGAGATTACAGGTGTGAGCCACCATGCCAGCCTACCTCTTGAATTAAATTATGGACATTTAGAAATGAGGCTCCATGTGCATTTTATGTACTAATGCTATGATTCTTAAAACTCAAATTTACTGTATTTATGTAGCTCATTAGACGTTGAAAGGTTGACATGGTGAAACAGTTCTGATGGTCTCCAAGAAGCATATACAATCTAAAAAAGCATAGGGAAGATTTCACTTAAATGTGGATCACAGTTGCCTCAGACCCACTCCTCACGCAGGCTACATCTGCACAGCCTGTAATAAAGTATAGTAATAATTGTACTTTATATCATAGTTAATAAGGAAATGGCAAACATGTATCATAACATTAAGTGGGAGATGAAAGAATAGTTAAAAAGTTAAGAATATATTTTTGGTTGATTCCAACTCTAAAGTGATGTTTTCATTGTTATCAACAAACAGATCCCCCAGATTTTGTCAGCCCCATGCTGTGTTTTGCTCAGTCTTGTCTGAGCTTTATGGAAACTTCTTTTGTCTTTATCTTGGACAACAAACAGAGGTGGTTATAGCTTCATGTTATAACTTTTTAAATGAGCAGAAAGTATATTTTTCCCTTTGTTTATCTGGATTGTAATCAGAAAGTAGCCTATACATTTACTTCTACGTGATGATAGATTATCATTTGTTTCATTAACCAGCGTGGAGTGTATCTGCATCTTCATATCAAAAGTGTTGGTTTGCTTAGACAGTGTGACTTCTGTGAAGGAACCAGACCGAGGCATTTAGCAGCTTTGTATCCTCAGATTTTTTTAATACGCCCTGGGATTTGTACTTTGACAGATATTAAACTCCATAACTTCGATCAGTAATCCTTCAGAAGTATTGTTATATTTTTTATAATAAAAAAGGTAAAATAAATTGCCATGCTTTATGATCCAGAGCCAATAAGACCCTTTGAAATTAAAGGCATTTCCTCTTGATTTGTCATTTTCCTAGGAAAGCTTGAAGAAAGGTACCAATTATTTCTGACAGGCAGCAAGGGAATTTTGAGCAGCATTCCATTAACATGTTTTTGGTCATTTGTCAGCTTATCTGTATGGTCTGCTAATGCTCAGTACTAATTAACAAAACTCTGAAGAAGGTGAAAAAAAGAATCACCTAAGCTCAATCAAACTAGAATAAAACTGAAAGAAGCTGAGAAAGACCTTGCTCTCTCAGAGACAAATCCCTGCAAGAAAGCCCCAGAAATTGGAGTTGTAGGCAGAATTATAAACATGTTTGGGTTTTTTCCATAATCCTTATGTGTTCTGGCCTGTTAGAGTATGCTATAGATTGAAAAGTAGAATGAATCTGAGATAAAGTTGATGAATGCATTTAATATGTTTATTTTTGTGTCTAAACTATGGTACTCACCACATTCAGTATTTAATCATATCATCACATATTGAGTTTTTTATTAAACTGTGTATTAGTCCATTCTCATGATACTATGAAGAAATACCTGAGACTGTGTAATTTATAAAGAAAAGAGGTTTACTTGATTCACAGTTCCACAAGGCTGGGGGGCGCCTCAGGAAATCATCGCGAAAGGCATCTCTTCACAGGGTGGCAGGAGAGAGAAGTGCAGAGTGAAAGGGGGAAAAGACCCTTATAAAACTGTCAGATCTTGGGCGAACTTACTATCACGAGAATAGCATGGGGGAACTGGCCTCATGATCTAATCTCCTCCCTCCCCCAACATGGGGATTGCAATTCAGATTACAATTTAAGATAAGATTTGGGTGGGGACACAGAGCTAGACCCAACTTGCTTTCCCATAGTTTTTTCTTTCATTAATTTTTACCAACTTCTTTAGTACACGTTAAAGGCACTTGTCTGGGAGTTGGCAAGTGTTGTAAATTTTGTTGTAAATGTTTACAGAGCAACCTTGACATGCAGAATGCTCTCACACTCTCCATTATCACCCTAAAACATACTTGGCAGTGTATGTGTGTGTGTGGGTTGGGGGGGCACATGTGCATACAAGTGTGAGAGGGAGCATTATTTACCTTTAAGTATTGTATAAATAGCCAAATAAAATTTACTAATGTACAATCTCCTTGGGTTAAGCACTTGGCTAAGATATATCATACTGAAAGGGAATTTTTGTCACTATTGTTACAAATGGCAGAATTCCAGGAGGTTATAATGAGGCTGTCTACTCAACCTGAGTTACCTTATTATGACTCCAATGCTCGAATCCTTCTCTTAGTTGGGGTTTGTTTTTTATCTGAGCAAACTCTGCTGCTGTGTTTAACCGGGCTCCGTTCTTGTTCGTAGCAGTGGTTCATTTTTAGTGCTGTGGTGTAGCGTCTGATATTTACAAAGGCTAATTTGAAGGAGTAATAAATGATACAGATTGAACCTTGGTGACACTCTGCTTTCACATTTGTTAAGGGATAAAATATGGATGATTAGAAGAAATCAATTTCGAAAGCCAGCGGACTTTTGGTATTCACCACTTTCATGTGTGGCTCATAGGTGGTCAGCCTGGCTCACTGGATAGAAGAACACGTAGGGCTCTGGGGCCTCGGCCCCAGTGATGAGTGAAGGGTTCATTTCCCTTCTCAGTGCAGAAGATATGCATTGGAAATCTGCAGGACAATAGGTAAATGGTCGATGGTCATGGATTTGGGACCTATATCAGATCTATATCAGAGACTTGGCTAACATGTGCATCCTCCAAGTTTAGGTGAATCTAATTTTTGGTGGTATGAGAAATATTTTTTTAAGATTAAGAGAACTGGGGGCCAGGTGCAGTGGCTCATGCCTGTAATCCCAGGGCTTTGGGAGCCCAAGGTGAGTGGATAACTTGAGGTCAGGAGTTCGAGACCAGCCTGGCCAACATGACGAAACCCTATCTCTACTAAAAAAAAAAAAAAAAAAGAAAAAAAAATTAGCTGGGTGTGGTGGTGCATGCTTGTAATCCTAGCTACTCAGGAGGCTGAGGAACAAGAATTGCTTGAACTCTGGGAAGCAGAAGTTGCAGTGAGCCAAGATGACACCACTGCACTCCAGCCTGGGTGACAGAGTTAAGACTCTGACTCAAAAAAAAAAAAAAAAAAAAAGAGAGAACTGGAATGTTTCTAGCCACTAGCCCCTATGTAATTGCCACATTTTTTGGCCTGTTTCTTGATTTGAATCCCTGTATTTTGATGCCTTCCTTATGAACTTTTTTGTAGAATAGAATAGCTTATTATAAATTTTGATTTGGAGGGTAGTATGTGATATGTATTGCAAAACTTTTTACTGTGCTTCCTGTAATAATGTTATTGAGAACATTGTCTTCTATCTGTGGTCTCCAGGAATACTTGGGCTTCTTCTGAGAAGCTGTTATAATTTCTTTTTATGCCTACCATGAGTAATATAACAAATTGTTCTTTCCTTTTTGAACTGACCTCTATAAAACTGAATTTGTGGCCCATATATAAGAAGAGGAAATTTCAGGGGTGTGTTTCATGAGTATATGAGCTCAATCCAGTTTTATCTTTTTTTTTTCCTACTTACATTTAATCTGTTGCCCTGAAACTTCACCTACTTGTTTTAATAATGTTAATTGGAATATGTCTCTGAAAACTTCCTTAAATTATTTTTGAAAAAAGGTGATTATAAAAAAGCCAATTTTAAAAGCTATGTTATTCCTTAATTCTCATGAGTAGTTGTCCTTTGTTTTCTAAAGTTTCATCTTTCTAGAGGATAACAGAGAGCAGCTACAGTAACAGGGCCAACCTTGTGAATAGATAAGGAGGAGAAAGATGTGGCAATGCATGGAAATTCCTAATATCTCTTCCCTTTGCTCTCTTGTAAAAGTCCCAGGAAAGGCAGTTGCATTCATTCCTGTGGAAGGAAGGAAGTTCTGAGAGTGTGGAGAAGGAGAGTGAGAACACTGGAGAAGGAAGATGAGTAATAATTAAAAAGGGGCATCAGAAAGCAGAATGTGAAGGATGTTAAGGACCAAGACTGTTAGTATCCTTCTTGCTGCTCTTAGAACACGTCCAGATGCTTCTTCGACCCCTGCTCCTGGCACAATTGTACAGTGATTAATGGGTGATGAGTTAATATCCCCAAATATCTTCTATTTTCTTCATTATTCACATGATTGCTGAAATCAAACAAGCAAACCAACAGGAAAACTTCTTCAAACCCCAGTTTTGTTGCTTAATGATACCATTTTCTTTATTCTAAATTTCAAAAAGATACAGAAGTTTTACATTTATTTCTAAATGAAAGTATATTTTCATTTTTTGGAATAATTCATAACAATAGCTTTGGAAGCGGTTTTTGTACTTTCATTGTTGTCATCTGTGTAATATTTGCCATAGCTGGAGTAGGGAAGACTTAGAAGGCATGCCTTTCTTCATGTTGATTGTTTTAGGCTGTAAACCTTCATTTTTGATTTCCATAATCACTGCTAGGTATTGTTCTCTTTCAGGCTTATGTCCCAATGGGACATGTATGAAAGCCATCAGAAATATATTTCACACACTCTGAAATTGTGTTTTCACAAAAACATAACTATAAAAATAAAATTTGGGAAGATGAGCACCATCCATGTTGATATGTAACATTAAGATCAGTTTATAGCTAGCTTAAAAAAATAACTATCAGAACTTGGAAGAGAAGAATATTTTAAGTTTTTAAATCAATATTTAATTTAACTGAAATAGGGTGTCCTTCTTGCCTAGCGAGTACTTAAAATGAAGCCTCCACCATGCTTCTGTGTTTGTGTAACCACTGAAAACAGCTTGGCAGGTTCTCCTCGGCCCTACCTATATGAGGCTATGGATGTCAGAACTTACCACAAAGCTAGTTACTGCAGGCTCACAAAGTTGTGATAACTCATTATGTGAAATTGCTCTCAGTTGCTCTCATTTCCTGCTCAAGGAATGTTCTTCCTTGTTCAAAACCTTGAGTTTCTCTCAAGGCAAAAAATTCCTGCCGTATCAAGCAGATTTTAAGCTGAGCTAAAGCTTGCAGGAAAACACAACCAACCACTGTGCATGATGCTGAGGGCAGCATCATCAGCAGAGTGAGAACATGGACTCTTAGCCTACTGTCTGCGTTCAAATACTGTCCCACAGTATTCGCCTCTCCAAGATGTTTTGTATGCCTCATTTTCCTTATCTGTAGATGGGAATATACTGCTACCAACCTCAAAGAATTTTTATGTGGAATAAGTGAGTTTTAACACATGTAAACTGCTAGGACAGTGCCTAGATCTGGTGTTATACATGTATTTTTCATATGAATTAGCAAAAGATGTTTAGGTGCTGTTCATCCATTCTCTCTCTTCTTAAAACTTGGAAGCTGTTTTTTATCTGACATCCCTGCCACAGCCTTTTGAAAGATTAATAGAGAGTCATTATTCAAAAAAACCTCCCAATCTCAAATGAACTATTTTATTATATTTTCTGTTTCAGCAGTGAGACCTTGGAAAGAATACTTTGACTATAATCAAACATTTATTCCAGGATCCTAATATCTCATAGTTTAGAGCACTATCGGCACACTATGGCCTGTGGGCCCAATGCAGCAGCCACCACCAATTGTTTTTTTTTTTTTTTGGAAGCAGAATCTCACTCTGTCGCCCAGGCTGGAGTACAGTGGTGCAATCTCGGCTCATTGCAACCTCTGCCTCTAGGGTTCAAGCGATTCTCCTGCCTCAGCCTCCTGAGTAGCTGGGATTACAGGCATGCACCACCACACCTGGCTAATTTTTGTATTTTTAGTAGAGATGGGGTTTCACTGCATTGGTCAGGCTGGTCTTGAACCCCTAACCTCAGGTGATCTGCTGACCTAGCCCTCCCAAAGTGCTAGGATTACAGGCATGAGCCACTGTGCCCAGCCCATCACCCATTTTTATAAATAAAGCTTCTATTGGAACATAGCCATGTTCATCTCCATATTATCGATTGCTGAGTTGAGTCATTGGGACAGAGACTATATGTTCTGCAAACCTAAAATATTAACTATCTGTCTAACAGAAAAAAGTTTGCTGATGTCTAGTTAGGAGTATCAGTACAGTATTAGAGTCTTTCCCAAACTAAATCTTTTAGTATATTTCTTGATTTTTGCCACATCTGCTTACTGCCCATTTCATATTTTCTTTAAATAGAGCCTTCATTTTTTTGGTTAAGAATATTTTATAAAAGAAGCTTTACGTTATCCTAAAAGAAAAATTAGTAAAACATGATAGGAATAGAAAATATTTAAGAAAGCAAATTGCTTAAAACAAATCAACTTGTTATTAAATTTTGGGGGAATACTACTCCCTGCAGTCTGAGATCTACTCTCTTAGGTAATGAAGGAGATTTTCAGTTGTTGGATAGATGATAAATACATTTGTGGCATCAAATTGAAACTTTAATCTTGCCGTAATCAGAGTACTAAATGAAAATTCAAAAAGGAAGGTATAATTTTCTTATTATATGTGATTTGTGCCATTTAATGACACCTACAAGTATACCCTACAATAGTTTTGAATATCACCCCTAATCTTGTATATCTGCAGTGATACACCTTCTGCGCTTTCAGAAACACTGGAAAAACAGTGGCAATGATAATGCCAGCTAATGCCAGTTCATATGTATTTAGACATTCTTTGCCAGGTGCTATTCTAGGAATTCTGCATGTGCGAACTTAGCTCCCACAACAACCTCTGAGATAGTTTCTACTCTGTTCCCTTTGTACAGATGTGACAGCTAAGACAGACAGAAGCTGGTAACTTGCTCAAGGTCCAGAGCTAATAGACAGCAGCGCTGGCAATGAGGCAGTGATTGAGGGTAAGCAATACAGGATTAGCCACCAATTGTGTGTAGAAAACTTGACATCATTTGTGACTTCTCACCTGTGTTCTCTGTATTGTAGATATTTTCATAGGAAATTGGGAGAAGTTTTATTAGAAACTACTAGCTTATTAAGGAACTACTTTATTATTTTATCTTTCTGAAATGGTAGTTTCTCTTTTCTTCTTTGAGAGTGTTGAGAATGGATATTAATGAATAAAAAATCGGCCAGGCATGGTGGCTCATGCCTGTAATCTCAGCACTCTAGGAGGCCAAGGAGGGTGGATTGCTTGATTCCAGGAGTTTGAGACCAGCCTGGCCAACATGGCAAAACCCCATATCTACTGAAAATACAAAAAATTAGCTGGTCATAGTGGCATAGGCCTGTAATCCCAGCTACTTGGGAGGCTGAGGTGGGAGAATCATTTGAGCCCAGGAGGTCGAGGCTGCAGTGAGCTGAGATCACACCACTACTCTCCAGCCTGGATAACCAGAGTGAAACCCTGTCTCAAACAAACAAACAAAACAAAACAAAACAACAAAAAAAAGGAAAGAATGATAACTAGATGCCTTTATTTTCTGCTAAAATGGTGGTTTTTAAAAAAACTGCAAAATGTTGAATTTTGTAAAGATACAATAAAATTCTTGAGATTATATATTACATTCATAAGCTTATGGTGGCAATGTAATTTGATAGGACTTCTTTTGTTAAATAATTTTAAAATGTGTTTTAAAGACCACAAAAACTAGGAAATAAGGAGTTTATTTCCTTAAACTCCAGATTCAACTTTGGGGACTCTATTGTGAGGATGTAATGCTAATGATGTTAAAAATGAAGATATTTTGGAAACAAACAGAAATCAATACAAGCTTTGAAATTGAATAGACTCCGGAATGTGACTCTGTTGCCTGATTCAAGTGAAACATCAACAGATTGAAGGCATAGCATCTGAACCAAAGGGTAGAGGAATTGGTGTTTTTACTTAGAGGGAGGTAATTATGTGGATCAGTGAGCATTCCCACCTCAGTTTAGGCTTTCGAGTTTTCAGTGGTAGCACGTTTGGTAAGAACTGTAGCGGTGTATGACAGAGCCAGGCTACATTTGTTTCCTAGCTCTGCCTCTGAATGGTTTTAGGAGCCTCAGTTTCTAATCATTAAGCAGAGATAAAAATGCCTTTCTTTTTAGGAGTATTAAAATAAGACAATGTAGGCCGGGCTCAGTGGCTCACGTCTGTAATCCCAGCACTTTGGGAGGCCGAGGCAGGTGGATCACTTGAGGTCAGGAGTTTGAGACCAGCCTGGCCAACATGGTGAAACCCTATCTCTACTAAAAATACAAAAATTAGCCGGGCGTGGTGGTGCGCACCTATAATCCCAGTTACTCTGGAGGCTGAGGCACAAGAATCGCTTGAACCTGGGAGGTGGAGGTTGCAGTGAGCTGAGATTGCAGTATTGCACTCCAGCCTGGGTGACAGAGCGAGAATTGGCCTCAAAAAAAAAAAAAAAAAAGAAGAAACAATGTGTATAAAGGGTCTCAAGAACATGGTTCTTTCCAGAAATGTTAGCTATTGTTCATCTCTCGTTTGGCTTTCTTTGACGTCTAATGGGGTAAGGAAGACCAAAGTATTTGGGGCTGAGTAACGCAGGTGGGAGTGTTTGTCTTGCCTTTGGTGTGACAGTTCTCTTTGTGATGTGGAAAAAGTATTTTTGACTTTTTGCCACCAAACATTAAATTTGATTTAAATTTCAAGTGCAGTGACAAATAATCTTCAGTTATAGGCAAACAACAAATAACTCAATTTGAGATTCTGTTTGGTCCTTAGGAACAAAACTAATTGAAACCAGGTTCTGACATTTACTTGCCCTGAGACTTTGAGTAAGTTAAACTTTCTATACTTCAGTTTCCTCATCCTTAAAATGGGGGTAATAAGGGTATATCACTCAGAGAGCTAGGAAAATTTAATTATTAATTTTATAGATTTATAACACTGTCTGAAACATATAAGCACTCTATATGTATTGATTGTTGCATAAAATACTTTCATGTATCTGAAAAATGTGAATGAGGCAATAATTTTTACACTTCTTGAAGCTGTTGGTAAATGTTTTATCATCATGCCACAAATTTTCCATATTTGAGTTCTTAAATGGTGAGAAGGGCTAGATTAGACTCTCCTGCCTTTAGTTCTTGGTCTTCAGGAAGTACATAATATGTTATCTTGTTGTCAAGGTAACAGGATTCAAGATGGTTTTATAAAATGAGAATGGGCTCATTTAAAAAAATGTCAGGAAATGCTTTAGAGAAGGAAGTGTCTTAATAACAGGCTTTATTGAAGCAAAAGTGTCTAAATCTCATTGAAGGCAGAGAATCGATTGCAGTTTCACTGCCTTATTGAAAGCAGCCTGTATTTTCAAACAAGAGCTTGGCATTTAATATCCCCACAATAATGAGGCAGAACTTTTGAGAGTGTGAACTGTGAGGAGCTGGTAAAGATTTTTTTTTTCCCTGGAAAAAGACACAAAATAGCAGTAGATTTCAGTGACTCATGATGGCGGGGGGAGTGATTCGTGAAGGGATTTGACAGAATGAGTCTTAGCAGTATGAGGAGTGTATCCATATAGTCATTTTCACCTAGCTTCATTATGTGAATTCTGGAACCAACTACTCGTGTTCTAAGCCAAAGATTAATGATAATAAAACAAATTTCAGGAAATCTAATTTGGAAACATATAACCTCATTTACATGTCACCCAATTTAAATTGGTCAGAAGAAGGATCTCTGCTATTTTGGCTTTGTACCAGGCATCCATTAGGTATAAGAAAAATTATATGTATTCTCTTTTTATGATCCCAAGAAAAGAGAAGTATATGAGAAAAGAGGTAAGATATATGAGGGTTTTACAGCTTTATTGTTTGTATTTTTAATCTTCATTTAGTACATACACTCTTTAGTTAATCTGATAACTGTACACTAAAACCAAAAAACATTGGCTTCTCCTAATTGTGAGTGGAACAGTTAGAGTATTGATTGTAAGAAATAGAAATTAAAATTAAGAAATTTTAATTAATTAATTTTTGTTTTTTTTGAGACAGAGGCTTGCTGTCTCGTCTAGGCTGGAATGCAGTGGTGCAATCTCGGCTCACTGTAACCTTCGCCTCCTGGGATCAAGCGATTCTCCTGCCTCAGTAGCTGGGACTACAGGTGTGTGCCACCATGCCCAGCTAATTTTTTTTTTTTTTTTTTTTTTTTTTTTAGTAGAGACAGGATTTCACCATGTTGGCCAGGCTGGCCTTGAACTCCTGACCTCAGGTGATCTGCCCACCTAGGCCTCCCAAAGTGTTGGTATTGCAGAAGTGAGCCACTGTGCCTGGCCTAATTTTTAATTAATTAAACACTAAAAAGAAGTCAGCCCTGCTGGAGACCAGCACTGGACTTTGTGCTGATGACAGGTGCCACCTCAAATGATTCTAGCCATTCTCTTTTTTGTATTATTTGCTCCAGAGGTGGGAGGCAACCAATCAGAGGCTGAAGTGAAGTTACAAAGTTACACCCTATGCAAATGAAGACTTGGCCTGTGACCAGTCTGATTGGTTGTGGGAGGGGACCAGTCAGATGTACTTGACATTTTTCCTCTGTGACACAGTGGAAAGGGGATTGTTGCAAAGGGTGTAGCCTCTGATCCTTTTGTGAGTTGGGTGTGGAGAAGTGCGGTTTTTCTTTTGATTCAGTTCTAGGAAGTCAGCATGAATCAGCCTTAGGTTCCTTGCCTCCAGACCCTATTCTCCTGCCTCATTTCCCCGTGAGAAATGTGATCCCCATAAATCTTTATGGGAGGCAGAGGGACTGATGTTTTTCTTCTGTAACTGCTTCATGCTGACTTGAAGTGCAGTCCCTACCTACTGGGGATCATGGAATTCTTTCCCTGTTCTGTCTAGTGGAGACAGGGTAGCTTCTTGATGGCTGTGATGGTGCCTTCACCAGGAACTGGCTGGAAACCTTGTCACATGATCATCTGAAGCTTGATGGTCTCTAGGCGAGAGAAAATAAATTTGATTAAAAGATTTAACAAACATGGTCCAAAGACCGAGGCATGTATAATTATTAATAATTGGCTGGCCAGAGGAAGGAGCTATGAACCCAACTTAGCACTTTTGATCAGGAGCCCATGACTCAGACAGCTGTTGTATCTTAGAGTCCCAATCGGCTAGTTTTTGGGCAGCATCTCTACTAATCCTAATTGGTTGACCTAAAAACAGCATTTTTACTCTAGAAAAAGACATAGGCACCCCTTTTCAGCAGCCAGAAGATCTGGTTCACTTCTATTTTGCAAAGTGACTGCTGCTAAGGAGTCTATTTTATTTTGTATGGTGACAGTACTTTGGGCCGTGTCATTCAAGCTTTCCATAAAATCCTTGGACAAATGTTGGCAATAGGATAAGGAAGTTGCAAGTCTGCTAACTCTAGTTCCTAATCCCACTGTTATTCCTAGCTCTACCAAACGGAGTATGAGTTGGATGGCACATTTGTGTCTGGTAGTTGAGGTTAAAGGCATAATGAGGGATTGGTTGTTGGGAGCTATATTAATTTTGGAGGCTAAATAAACAAGTGTACAGGTTCCAGGTTAATTGGCTGGTAAGCATAAGTAGAAACTGATCCTGCACAGGAAAAAGACTCCTTGTTTTTCAGACAAAAATTGTTTCTTATGGTGAACATATGGGATAGCTTGTTTTCACTTTCCCAAGTGGTTAAGGTCCCTGCTAAGGTAGCCCTGGTTAAAGACTGGAAAGGACTTTGGGAAGTATCCTGAGTTGCCCCAGCAGTCGTGTTTTCCCAGTAGAAGTTGTTACACTTAGAGTCCACTAACAACCACCCAGAGGTATTTTCATACTGGGGAACCAAAAGGCAACTGATGTCTCAGAATTAGTGCAGTCTTCCCAAGGCAAAATGTAGCTAGTGGGCTTACTTTGACAGTACTTATACTGTATATCCTTTAAAGTGCCCTTATCTAGGAATGGTTTCCATGAAAACCATACAGGTTTT
Source organism: Homo sapiens (assembly GCF_000001405.40). Lineage (NCBI taxonomy): Eukaryota > Metazoa > Chordata > Mammalia > Primates > Hominidae > Homo > Homo sapiens. Next base: position 152,964,066 of record NC_000002.12, read on the forward strand.
CTAAATGATGCAGTTTGGGTAACTGCGTAGCTTACATGATTATGTGAGGGGTTAATCTCTAGGGTGCAGTTACATTGATGACTTTTCAAGTTTCCCAGGGCCTGACCAGAAATGTGGCTTCTCTTAATACAAAGTGGTGCCTGGAATTTTAGCTCGGTGTGCATTGATATTGGGCCTCAAATGGGTTTCTGTAGGGATGCATTCCCAGAAACGTTGCTCTGATAGGACTGGAGGAGGTGCTGGTCCTGTCTTTGTAGCCCTTGTCATTTCCATAATTTTGAAGTCATGTAAGTCATCCAGGCCTATTAACTTGAAGGGAGTTCCTCCCTTGTAGTTAGGGTGATAGGTTATTTTTTCAAGGGCCCCAGATTGGGCTGGGATTGGGATGGCAGTGTATTTGGATGATTATGGAGATAAAGAAAGCCAGGAGTCCTTTTTCAGAGCTGAGCCGGTGGTATTGAATAGTCTTTGTGTTGAATTTAAAGTTCTTAATAAATACCCAGAATCCATTAATAGCCGGAGGGGTAAAGTGAAGCTCTATTGTAAAATAAGGCTGATTCCCGGTATGCATCTTCTCAGTATACACAGGCTGTGGGTGACACGATAGAACAAAAAAATACTTATATGTTATTTTGTTCTATAGAATGGGAACTTCAGGGGGCGGATACCTATGCTGTCAGGAATTCTTGTTATAAAAATGAATTAAAACTCTCTGCTTAATTATTACAAAGGAAGTGATTCCATCCACCTGGAAGAAGGCAATTAAATTGCAAAAATATAAAAATGGCTACTATTATCCAGCCTACAGTAACTATGCAACAGAGACACCAAGGAAGTTGGTAGGCATTTACTTATTTTTTTGGCTGTCTTTTAAAGAGGCACTTGAGGTCTTTCACAGGTTCACAGGTGTAGTGGCTGATGGGAGCTTCAGATTCCAGGTCCAAGGCTTCAGGTATCTCAGGCTTGACTCTGGAAAGATGTATCCAATGATCTAATCTTAGTACTTTGACCACAGAAGGTATGGCCAGTACCACTGAAAATGGTACCTTCCATTACAACCCTTGCATGGGTTGTAATTGTTGAGCAGGTGAACCCTCCTTCCATGTTTTAATAAGTACCTTATCCCCTGGCCTCATTTGGGATTGCTGGTTAGCTCCCAGTATGGGGAGCCTTAGAGTTACAAACTTTTGTAAAGCCTGCTGAAATTGTCCCAGGTTAACTAGGTATTTTACAAAATTGGCAGTATCTGGATCAATAATTATATCATTTGTTAAAAATGGCCTCCCATATAACATTTAATATGGGCTCATATTAGTTTTTGCTCTAGGGGAATTATGGATCCTTAAAGAGGGCTATGAGCAGCAAGTTGACCCAAGTTTCTGATGTTTCCTTACATAGCTTAGCTAACGCCCATTTTAGAGTTTGATTAGGCCTTTCTACTCTCCCAGAAGTTGGAGGACTCCATGCTGAATGTAAATAATATTTGATCCCTAAAGCCTTAGAAACCGCTTGAGTTATTTAGGAGATAAAGGACAGGCCATTATCACTTTGGAGGCTCTGAGGTAATCCAAACCAGGGCATTATTTCTTTTAAGAGGACCTTCACAACTTCATTGGCCTTTTCTGGTAGGGTAAGCTGCGACTCAACCAGTAAAGGCATCTATTAGTACTAACAAAAACTTCTATCTTCTACAGGCTGGCATATGGGTAAAGTCCAATTGCCAGTCTTCCCCTGGGCAAGTTCCTCTCCTCTGGACTGGTTCTATTAGAGGAGACATTTTGTTTCCTGGGTTGTTAATTGCACACAGCGAGCAGGCTTGACAGACTTGCTTAACCACCAAAGAAGAGCCTGTTAACCAAGGCCAGGGAGGCATCTCTCCCCATATGGAAAGAGTCATGGAGGGTTTTTATAATTCTTCATTGGGCTGTTTGAGGGAGAGATACTTTTAGTCCCATATGCCACCAAGATCCTTTTTTTTGCCCCCTCTTGCTCCTTTATTAACTGTTTTTCCTGTGGTATATATTCAGGTTCTATTGGGGAATCATAGAAAGGAATCATTGGTAGAACCTGTTGAACTTACACCCTGAGGGCTGCAGCTTTGGCCTATCAGCCTTTCTGTTACCTTGTGTTATGGGGGTTAAGTCCCTTTGATTCCCCCTACAATGGATAATAGCTACAGCCTTTGGCAGCTGTATTTCTTCTAATAGCTGAAGAATTTCAGGTCCATGCTTTATCAGGGAATGTTTTTGGCAGGTACATTGCTTCCAGTAGCTGAAGCAGTTCAGGACCATGCTTTATTTAAGTAGTGCCCTTTCTTTCCAGATTGTAGCATGATCGTGAAGCAGGAGAAATGCATATTTAGACTCTGTATAGATGTTAAGCTTTTTTCATTGTCCCAACATTAATGCTCAGCTAAAAGCAATGATTTCAGCTTGTTGTGCTGATGTGGCAGCGGGCAGTGGTTGGGCTTCAATAATGATGTTGTGACCTACTACTGCGTATCTAGCTCAGTGCTCCCCATTTGACACAAAACTACTTCCATCTGTGAACCAGTCACCTCTGGAATCTGGGAGAGGCTGATCTTTTACATCAGGCTGGCTGACACGTTTGTGTGCGATAACCTGCTTGCAGGAATGATCAGTTATTGGGCCTGTGGGTAGCAATGAAGCTGGATTCAAGGTGTTACTGGTTTTAAGGGTTATATCTGGATTGTCTAGCAGCATGGCCTGGTATTTGGTTAACCTTTCCCCCATCATGCAGATGTGTCCTTTTATTTCTAAGACTGACTTCACCTGATGTGGGGTTTGAACTTCCAATAGTTGAGCCAGGGTGATTTTAGTGGCTTCCTTTACTAAAATAGCAGTGGCTGCAAATGTTTGCAGGCAACTCAGCCATCCTGAGGCTACTCCGCCCAACTTCTTTGAAACGTAGGCAGTTGGTCTGGGTTCTGATCCTATTTTCTCGGTTAGCACTCTCACAGCTATGCCCTTCCTCTCTGCTACATACAAGGAGAAGGGCTTGGTGAGGTCTGCGATGCCAAGAGCAGGAGCCTGGGTGAGAGCCTATTTTAGCTTGACGAAGGCTTCTTTCATTTCCAGGTTCTATTTCATTAGCTCATTTTCAGGCCCTCTTGTTGCTTCATATGGGGTCTTTAATATGAGCCCCAAATTTGATACCAATATTCTGCAAAATCCAGCCATTTCCAGAAAAGAATGAAGCTTTTGCTTGATGTGGTGGAGTCACAAACTGCATATGACTTGCACTAATTCTGGGGATATTTGCTGGCTCTGGGTGTTAAGACATACCCTAATTTTCGGACCTACTGAGCCTTCTTTTTGGACACTGTGTATCCACTGTCTTTGAGGAAATTCAAAGTTTTTATAGTATTTTGGTCAGAAACCTTCTGGGTCAGGCTACATATAAGAAGGCCATCCACATACTGAAGTGTACTCTCATTCTCCAATTGCAGATCCCTCAGACCCCTCTCTAAGGCTTAGGCAAAGAAATGGGGGCTATCTCAAAACCCCTGAGGGAGCACTGTCCAAGTATATTGTTTTTTTTCTGGTATTAGGATTTTCCCATTCAAAGGCAAAAAGTTATTGAGACCCTGGGGCTAGAGGAATGGAGAAGAAAGCATCTTTCAGGTCTAGGACTGAGAACCATTTTGCACCCCCTGGCACCTGAGCCAGGAGGGTATGTGGACCCACCACCAATGAATGGACAGGGATAACAACCTCATTAATTATTCTGACATCCTGTACTAGCTGGTATTCCTCCAAAGGCTTCAGAACAGCTAAGATGGGAATATTGCAGGGAGAACTGTACGGTTTTAAAAGTCTATGGGTAAGTAATTCCTCAACTATGGGTAATTGGCCTTTTCTTGCTTTAAGCTCAATTTGGTATTGTTTTTGATTAGAACAATAGCTGGGGTCTTTAAGCTGTATTTTGACTGGCACTGCTGTTTTAGCCTTCCCCAGTTTCTCAGTATACCATGTTGGTGTGTTAACCTGTTTATTAATGTAGTCTGGGACATTGTCTGCATTATTGACTATTAGCAATTTCAATTGGTGTTGGTGCTTAAATTGCAGCAGTGCCTTTATTTTAACCATAATAGGGAGTAAGAACACAGTAATTTGTCCCTATATCAAAAAGAAACTGAATTTGGGTGCCCATGACGTCAAGAGTTACCTGTGGCTCCTCAGTAGTAATGATGATGTTCCTGGACAGGGGCGGTGAGGAAGGTCCCAGGCCCCTTCAGTCTTCATCTAATTCCTCCTTTTGCACTGCTAGAGTTTTGACTGACTGAGCCCCTCTGTGGGAGTGGGGGCAGTCAATTCTCCAGTGCCAAGCATCATGACTGGTGCCTTCACGTGGACAGCAGGGGCCTGGCAGGGGCTTAGTATAGTCCCTTGCCCAATGCCCATTTTTCTTGCACTTGAAGCAAGAGTCTTTGCTGGCATTTTCCTTATGGCCCTTTGGGTTTCCCCTGGAATCTCTTTGGGCATTCAGGGCATCACCAGTGATGGCTGTCATAATTTTGGCTTGCTGTTTTTCTTTACTCTGTTCCCCTTTCCTTCCTCCAGGTCAGAATTGTTATATACCATAAAGGCAGTATCAAGAAACTGATTTTGATTAGTTTCCATCTCTAGCTTTTGGTGCTTATGTGTAATGTCTGGGTGGATTGGCTAATGAAATGCTGTGCCATTATTATTTTACCTTCAGAAGAGGAAGGGTCTAGACTGATATATTTTTTAAAGGCCTCCTCCATCCTGCCATAAAACATGGCTGGATTTTCCTCCTTTCCTTGTGCAACTTCTCTTACTTTATTATAATTTACTGCCTTAGTTATTCCCTTTTTCATTCCTCTAAGGAGAGCCTCAAGAAATGTAGCCCAGTTGTTCATCCTTACAGGGGTGTTATAGTCCCAATTAGGATCAGTAGTGGGGACTATGTCTGGGCCCAAGTGATTGCCCTGAGGGTTTTGGGCAAATAAATTGTCCACTTTGCAGTGGGCAATCTCAAAGATTCATTATTTTTCCAAGGGGGTCCAATAGGTTGCTAGCATGAATTGGACGTCTCTCCGTGAGAGATCAAAGGCTAAGATCAAAGTTTAGAACCCATCTGCAAATTTTCTAGCTTCCTAGCTTTTATTTACATTGTTGTGTGTTAGTTATAGAGAATGGGGCCTGAACTCAGACTGGATCCCTGGCTCCTGCTACTTCCTTAAAGGGTAGCAGGGCTGGAGGGGGAGTTGAATAGGGTGTTCCCCTCTGAGTGTGAGGGGTACTTAGCAAGGTTCCCACTGTTTGCTGTTGGGCTTGAGCCTCAGGAGCACTTAGCAAGGGGTTATATGGGGGTGGTTGCTATTCCCCCCTGACAGACAGGTGGCCCTTGTAAAAGGGGGTCATTTACAATATCTAGTTCTGCCTTAGGACTTTCCTTTTGGGGGGCAGGTTATGGCATTTTTGCAGATTTTTGGGTTTTGGTATAGGTCATAAAGGCCTGTACATATGGGATTTCTGATCATTTACGCTTCCTTTTGCAAAACAGGTCTAATTGCAGGATGGTGTCATAATTAAGGCTACCACTGACTGCCCATTGTTCTTGGCTTTCCAGCTGGCAATGTGGCCAGACAGTGTTACAATAAAAAATCAGGTGTTTTCTCCTTAGATTGTTAGGGTCAAATTGATTCCAGTGGTTGAGGATCCAGCCAAGCAGGGAATCAGGTGGAATAGATGGGAAGTTGCCTATAGTGGTACAGAAAAGAGGACTTTGAAAAGTGGAGGGTTTATTAGGTGACCCAACTTTTATCTGGGGTATCCCCCTGGAAAAACCCTGGGCCCTGACTGGGGTCCCCCTTTAGGGCCCCATCTTAGTCTGTCAGACATCTCTGACCTTAGATGGGTACCAGCATTGCTTTGGAATGATTTCCTCCACCACTGATGACCCAATTTGAACTCTCCTTCTTGTTACTGGATGAAGGCCTCAACTTTTAGCATCCTTATAATTTGACAAAGCCAAGCTTTCCCTTCTGACTTTAGCCAATATGTTCATACACAGAATCTCTTTTACAATTAATTTTCATAAACTGCAACTTGTTCAAACCTTTGGATTTTTCCTATCTCACTAAAAACAATCCTTTAACCCTCTAATCTTAGGCACGAGGTGAAGAGATCAAGACCATTCTGGCTAATGTGGTGAAACCCCGTCTCTACTAAAAAATACAAAAAATTAGCCAGGTGTGGGTGGTGGGTGCCTGTAGTCCCAGCTACTTGGGAGGCTGAGGAAGGAGAATGGCGTGAACCCGGGAGGCGGAGCTTGCAGTGAGCTGAGATCACGCCACTGCACTCCAGCCTGGGTGACAGAGTGAGACTCCATCTCAAAAAAAAAAAAAAAAAAAAGAAATCCACATTAAATTGTACTACATTTCTTGCATACTTTGCTTTCATGAATCTTTGTCATGACTTACACAGACCATCTATGACATGCTTGGACTCTCTGACTTGTCCTAAACTCTTTAAACAACCAGTCATTTGAGTTTAGGACAAGAATTTACCATGCAAGATCCTTTCTGTTTTTTTTTTTTTTTTGACAGAGTCTCACCCTGTCACCAGGTTAGAGTGCAGTGGCAGGATCTCAGCTCACTGCAACATCTGCCTCCTGGGTTCAAGCAATTCTTCTGCCTCAGCCTCCTAAGTAGCTGGGACTACAGGTGCGTGCCACCACTCCTGGCTAATTTTTTGTATTTTTAGTAGAGATGGGGTTTCACCATGTTAGCCAGGATGGTCTTGATCTCCTGACCTCATGATCCACCTGCCTTGGCCTCCCAAAGTGCTGGGATTACAGGCGTGAGCCACTGTGCCTAGCTTCAAGATATTTTCTTATATAAAATCTCTTTTCTTCATAACCTTCTTTGCATAGGGGGCTAGGTGGGTTTCTTTTGTCCTTAGCCAGTTGAATACACCAGTTAGGAGAAGGGAGGTCAAGACACCTAACAGACATTATCTTTTATGGGCTAACTCTAAAGAAGAATTTAGCATAAGAAAAGAGGGTTTAAGTCATCTGAAACGTCTGTGAATTTGTCCTGGATGAGCTGTTGCTGCCAATTGTATCACACATAAAAATCATGAACTATAACCAGAAAAGATAGAAAAGAGTCCTTCCCCCTTATGGGCAGGGCAACTATCCCCATTCACTCTTTGGCCTTCAGGTAATAGTGGAGAGTGGCCCCAGTCAGTTGTCCTCAATTACCAAGGAGCAACTAGGAAACGGCCACTGAAAGACTGAAAAAATAGAGGAAAAGGACGCAGGTCTCTCACCCAAACTGGGTAGTGGTGGTCAGGTGTTTCCACATGAAAACCTTTCAGTTTCACTGGAGAGTGGCCTCAGCCAGAAACCTGCAGTTGTCTCTGTGCTTAGGCACTGTCCACTGAGGGTCCTAAGTTATAAAGGGAAAGAGAGAGAGAGAAAAAAGGGTTCCCCTGTATGGAGCAGAGGGAAAAGGGGAAAAGAGAAAAATAAATCCCAGACTTGGAGTTTGCCTCCTGGCCGACTCACCAAAATTTGTTGCCGATGGAGGGTCTTGACTACAAGTTGTCCAGGTGAATTTGACAAAATGCACAAACAAAGCAATGAAAGAATGAAGCAATTAAATCACAGATTTATTGAAACAAAAGTGCACTCCACAGAGTAGGAATGGGCTTGAGCAAGTAGCTCAAGAGCCCTGGTTACAGAATTTTCTGGGTTTAAATATTCTGTAGAGGTTTCCATTGGTTACTTTGTTACACCCTATGTAAATGAAGGATTGGCTTGTGGTCAGTCTGATTGGTTGCTGGAGGGGACTAATCAGAGGTACTTTCCATTTTTTATCTGTGAGGCAGTGGAAAGGGGAGTGGTTGCAAAGGGAGTAGCCTCTGATCCTTTTGTTACTTGGGCTTGGAGAGGTGGGGTTTTCTTTTTGATTCAGTTCTAGGAAGTCAGTGCAAATCGGCCTTAGGTTCCCTGCCTTCAGACCCTATTCCCCTGCCTCACAGGGGTAAGGAGCAGAACTATGGTGCTCCCTCTTTGATGCTATAGTGGGTGCATGGGAACTTGCTTTCTATAAAGTCTCACACAATGGGGGCTCCTTCTAGTTAGGAAGAAAGTTTAGATTCTGGATAGACAAATAAAAGCAGATATCCTAAAGTGTAATACAAACAACTGGAAAAAATAAAGGAATGGAATCAATAAGTTTTATATATGTGCCATGTATACATAGGCTCTGCTTGTATGAGAACTCAAGGACTTGCACTGCAATATCTATTACAAGTAAGCACCCCCCTGGATGTCCTAGAAGGGCATCTCCATCCCACTCAAGGTGATTAAAAACCTTTTGGTAGTCAGAGTATCTCTCTTTCTTTACTCAAGGGGAAAGAAGTAGCTTTTCTTCCTGAACACCAGATTCCCCTAAAGGCAATGGCTTCTCTCCACTCTGGTTCTTACAATGAAAAGGTGGTGGCAGTAGAGCTGATTCTGCTAATTGGTCCTCTCAAGGAGCTCCAGAGGCAGATGTCTTTTACCAATGGCTGTTGGTTATTGGAACTTAAGATGTCGGATGTGCATCTTAAGGATGTTCATCTATAACTTAAGATGTGGGATGTACACCCTGAATTTCAAAGTTCTAGAAAGAATTCTTAGGGCAAAAGAAAAAAAAAGTTAACACATTTAGACATCAGAAATAGTGGCTTTCAATAACAAAGTATCATGGAACAGCATCATATATCTGAGAGGAAGACGTGTGACTAGATGATTTTTTAATTCTATGAAAGATAAAGGTTACAATCAGAGATTGATAAATATGCAAAAGGAAATATAGCACAAATTAGCCCTTGAAAACAATACGTGATTAAAATCAGGCAGTCAAAAAGTGAATTACGGTACAGATCTCAGAAGTAAGGGAGCTGGTATTAGCAGACTGGTAGTTAATATGTTTATATTAGAATCGGGCTCAACAATTATGGGAATTGTTACTTGGAAAAATCCAAGTGTTATAAATATAGACAATATAAAAATAATAAAGTGCCAAATAATGGGGCATGTGGAGAAAAAAATGTGAGGTAGAAGGAAATATAAGTGTGCTTTTCTAAAATCAAGGAATCAGATAATAATTCTAAAGTAGATACGTTAAGAAATATAGTTTAAATGTATAATTTAAACTTCTTAAAAGAGGGCATACACAACCTTGCAAAAATGGGAAAAAAGCAAGTGCTAAAATCAGAAAATATAAATGTCAGAAATAAGAACAAATAATATCTGTTTTAAAAAATGAAGGTAAATGAAAGAAATTACTTGTAATGAGAAAGATTCTTAGATTAGTTTCTGTGAGAAAAGAGATTTTTTGTTTGTTTTGCTCATGGCAATGCCTAGAACACAGAAAAAGTCAAACTGGCTTGAAAATGAAGGGACCATTTAGCTCATGTAACCAAAAAGTCTAGTGGAACAGTGGGTACCATGGGGTCTTTGGCCTTATTTTTCTGTGAAGGTTCCTGGTCGGCACCCTGCTTTGTATGGCTTATTCTCAGACTTGCTTCCTCATGGTCACAAGAGGACTTCCCATAACAACTGTGGGAATGTGACTCTTCATTCAATGCCATCACTTTTCTCCCTACCTCAACCCCAACAAATCCTAAACCAATCCCATTGGAAAACCAGATAGGGATTGTCAGCTGTTTAAATTAGACGAGAATTCTCAAAGGGTGAACTGTAGATCTCCAGGAGTTCCCAAGACTCTTTCAAGAGGTCCACAAGTGCACAACTATTTTTATAGTAATACTAAGAGGTTATTTTCCCTTTTTCCTTTGTTGACATTGGCCATGATGATACAAAAGCTGATGGGATAAGACTGTTGGTACCTCAGTGTGATTCAAGGCAATGGCACCAAACTGCACCAGGGATCATGGCATTCACTGTCAGTTACTTGCAGCCAAAAAAAAAAAAAAAAAAATGCCATTTTCACCTAAGAATGTCCCTGATAAAGCAGTAAAAACTATTAATTTTATTAAATCTTGACCCTTGAATACATGTCTTTTTAATATTTTGTGTGATGAAATGAGAAGTAAGCATGCAGCATGAATACAGCATCTGGGAGTATTGTGGTCATTGCAAAGAAAGCACTTTGAGGTAGTGTGAGACATGACTGAACTGTCTGCTTTTTTCATGTAAAAGCATTTTATTCCAGAGAACCACTGACAGACAAATGATTGTTATTCAGACTTGGGTACTTGACAGACATTTTCTTGAAAACAAATGAAGTGAATCTGTCACTTCAAGGAAACTACTGACAATATTTTTTGCCAAAGATGAAATTCAAGCTTTCACGCAAAAATTCTAATTTTGGAAAACTTAAGTCTACCACCTTGAGCTCAACAGCTTCCCAATATTGAGAAGCTTTTGCAGTTATATTGATGCAAATATTAGCAAATGTGGATTTTTTTGGATATTACATAATAAAATGTGTCAGAATTAGAAAAGTAACATTTTGAGAATCAATATTTTTCAGATGATCAATGTGTGATGCTACAAAATCATGCTTGGCAAAAGATCCAATTGAACTACAAAATAGGCCAATAAATTTTAATGTAACAATATTTAAAGGTTATAAAATATTCATTGACATGGTTTCAGATTCCGTATTCCAACTGACATTTAAGATACCAGTTGTTTCTGTAGTATAGTATCAAAAAAGAATATCTATAATCATCTGAAAATTACTAAAATACTCTTCCCTTTTCAAACTACCTATCTGTATGTGGGTGGCTTTTCTCTATATAGTTTATTTTAACAACATATCACAACAAATGAAATCAAAAGCAGATATGACAATCTGTCTTCTATTAAGATACTAAAGAAATTTGTGAAAATGTAAAACATGCTTCTCTTCTCACTACATTTATTTTAGTATGATAATTATAGATTTTTAAATAAAAATGCTAGTTGTCATATATATGATTGTTAGTTTTAACTAAATAAATGTTTAAAAATTTTAAATTTTAATTTCTAATATAGCAAACACTGATAGATATAACTCACATAAACAAAATAATTTTGGAGTTTTTGATAATTTTTAATAGTATAAAGGGGACCTGATGCCATAAATTCTGAGAATTACTGATTTAGATTAATCAGGTATCATCCATGGAGCTGGATCGTGACTCAATTCCACCTAAACTATGTAGCATCTATATATAGCTTCTACGTAATTGGAGAAAGATTGAATGATATTAGGGAAGCAACTGCAATTTTCAGTTTAATGATAAAGGGTAAATTCCACAACAAATATATAATTATTACAAAACTTTGTGTACCAAAAAACATATTGTATAGTAATAATGATTGGCAATTCAGCATTAGTAAAAAATTTTGTCTCATCTTTCAGCCCCTGACATATCAAGTAGATGAAAAGTAAGTAATGCTGTAAAAATCAGAATAATAAAATTAATATAGATATTCTCATAGTTACATATTGGACTTTGTACCATAAAGACAAGTTTTTACAAAGTCAACCATTATATCAGGCCTAAAGAAATCCTTACTATATTAAACATTAGAAACACTAGAGGCTACATTTACTGACTGCAGTGCACTCAAGCTAGTAATTAATAGCAAAACCCAGAACTTTTACACCCAAGAACTTAAAGGTTGAAACACACATCTCAGGGCCACCATGTTTTGCAGCTCTGTGGGCACCGTTCACATTGGGCCCAAGTACTGTTCCGTAGAGTGACATTCAAATAGAGTACAATTTAAACAGTGGTATCTACTTGGGCAATGCGATGATCTTTGACTTCATTCTTAAGTAACTCTTATGAAAGATGAAATTTAAAATAAAATTTCAGAATGTCTAGAAATCAAATAATACCCCCACATGAGTTAAGGTGGTATTAAGAGGAATACTTACGGTTGAAACTATTACAGTATTAAACAAACATAAATAAATATATTAAAAATTTAAGATTTCCTAACCTAAGAAGTTAGGAAAAATTAAACAAAATACATCTAAGAAGACCAAATAAAGGAATTAAACCTGAGAGTACAAATTAATAAATTGGAAAACAGAAAACAAGCTATAATTGATAAATAAATCACACATTCTTTATTTGGGAAAACAGCTAGCTAGCCTAAGCAGGCAAAAGGAACAGGAAATGACAAGTACTCAAGATTAAAAATGAAAATACAAATGGGGGAAAAATAATAGGCAAAGAGAAAAGTAATTCTTTTTTTTTTTTTTTCTTTTTTTTTGAGATAGAGTTTCACTCTTGTCACCAGGCTGGAGTGCAATGGAGTGATCTCGGCTCACTGCAACCTCTGCCTCCCGGGTTCAAGTGATTCTCCTGTCTCAGTCTCCCGAATAGCTGGGATTACAGGCACCTGCCACCATGCTCGGCTAAGTTTTGTATTTTTAGTAGAGACGGGATTTCACCATGTTGGCTAGGCTGGTCTCAAACTCCTGACCTGAGGTGATCCACCCACCTTGGCCTCCCAAAGTGCTGGGATTACAGGTGTGAACCACCACGCCTGGCCGAAAATGGAAAAGTATATGTGTAGACAGGTAACAGAAAAATAAATATAGATGGCCAATAAATAAATAAAAAAGAAAAAGGTGTTCAATTGCTCATCTAGACATGAAAATCAACAAAGATTAAATACTACATTATTCACCTACCAGATTGGCAAAGATTCAAAATTTGGATGAGGATAAATTGTGTTTGATATAATTTTAGTGGAAGTGAAAATTTGTTAAACTACTACTATTTATTAATATCTGTTAAAATTTAAAATATGTATAACAAATTATTAAATAGGACATTTTTCTGGTCTGAGTTAATGTCCTAAAACTAATAACAATAGGTGATAATTTTTCTTTATTCCAAAAAGAGGTTTTAGATCACCTATGAAAGAATTGCCAAAGTGGATGCAAACTGATTCTGAAATCTTTACTGTATCATCCAAATGGCAAGAATTATCAGGAAAAGAGACTGAAACTCCTTCCCTTACCTCAAGCCCAGTAAAGAAACCTCAAGAGAACTGCCTAAATCTCAGGTTGTTGGAGGAGATAAATACTAAAAGAATAGTCCTTGTTTCCCTTCTCCTCCAGAGAATCTTGAAACGAGATTAGGTCTGAGTTGGGAGAAAGAAGATTTAAATTGGAAGAACATATGACTAGCTTAGATTTTTTAATGTTGGAAAGTAAGAATGACTGGAAAGTTGCACAGTCTGCTCGAAGGGTAAGGAAGGAAGACCATCATGAGACAGAATGAAGGTGGTGTGCTCATACTTCACTGAATTCAGCTCACTTAATAGGCAGTTACATGCCCTTTGACTCAGCAACTCTACTTCTAGGAATTCATCTTACCAATACACAGAGGTGCCAGATTGATGTTCATAGAAGCGTTTCTTGCAGTAGAAAGCTGAAAACAACTGATATGTTACAAAATTTTATAAAGTAAGTTATTGTATAATGTCACATACTTTGCAGTTATTAAGAATAGTGGGGTATACCCATATGTACTTGGGCATAGGAAGACAGAATAAATGAAAAAAATCAAATTTCAAAAGAAATGATAAATGTTTGAGGTTATAGATATTCTAAATACCCTGGTTTAATAATTACATATTGTATGCATGTATCAAAATATACATACCACACAATTATTGTGTATCAATAACATGTTAAAAATAAATAAAAACATCAACTTTAGAACAAAACGATCACAATTTTGTTAGAAAAAGGAGTAAAATTTCATAGCTATCTTCATGATAGAGATGAGGGTCATGTATTTTTCAGGATAAAGACATCTAATTAATTTCTTTTTTTTCTTTAAAAATTAAAAGAGTGACACATACCTGGTATACAATATTTTGTCTGTATAAAAGGATAAAAAGTTTAAAAAAAGACAACAACAATAACCTGTTTCTATTTCTGTCCCAGCTCTATGGATACAGTTATACAGTACCTGTGCATGATTTCTTCTAAAAAAAATCATGCATTACTTTTATAGTTAAATATGCAAAGAGAGAAGTGAAAGAAAAAGAATTAAATGTCTTTCTTTTATTTTAAATCTTACCTAGTTAGAGGAAAGCTCCTCTATAATTTTTTGTGCTATTGTTTTCTTTTGACTCATGTTTGTTTTTTGATTTGTGTGTTTCCAAATGCTAGCCTCTTTCACTTTTTGCCAAAAATGAAGTCATCGGAAACAGGAACAGTTATAACGAGTCAGAGATTGTGTTTGGTGAAGGCCCTGTTATGGTGTCATGGGAAGAGTTTGCATATCAGAAGCTCTGGTGGGTTTCCTAACCACAAATCTGAGGCCATGCAACACTGGAAAGTATCTCTCTTACAACTATCCCCAAGCTTGCTATCTGGTTTCCTACATAGTAAAATTCAATAGAATGTATATTCATCACTTCTATTTCTACATTTAAATGAGTATATACCACTAGCCTTCTTATTTTCTACCCTTTAAGCCTTTTTTCCTCACTAGAAGTACCAGATCATATTATCCAACCTAATTAGAACACTAATTCCATAAGATGCACCTTGAGAAAGTTTCTGTAGGTAAATTATTTTGGACCATGTAGTATGGAGTATCTCTGCTTTGGATAGTCAATGAGAGGAACATATTACAGGCTTATTTCCTTTAAATAACCTGAACATAGTTTCTAGTCAGCACTTCTCTAAATAACCTGAACATAGGACTCTCCCCTATTAATATCTGGAAAGGCTTCCATTCATCTAAGCTCCCAGGAAGGAGACTGGAAGAGGGAAAGGAGCCTGATTCCTTCATGGAGGACTTAGGTTGTCAAGTCTGCCTTCCATAGCAGGTTCTGTAACTAGATAGAGCTGAGTTTGATTTCAACCCTCCCTCTCCTGTATTTAAACTGTAAATCTGGATACATTTTCAACATTTCAGTCTTTAATTTGAAAACAAGTTTCTTGAGTTGTAGTGAATTAAATAAGAAGAGGTAGTTAAGTAGGTGCCCAATAAATATAATATTAATTTTCTTTCTATTCTTTTTAAGAGAATCTTTCAATTTACCATATTTTCTTTTCCCATCATTCTATTTTATTAACTTTAAGAGAAACACTCTTCTCCTCCAATCCTGGAAAATTTTTTTCTTCTTTTTGCCCTGAAACTTTACATTTGTATTTTAGGCCTTAGTGTCTCTTGTTTGGTATGGCTAACCAAGAAGGTATGCTCAAACCAAATGAAAAAATGGATAAAATAGTACTTCAAGAGTGAAGAAAATAACCTATTTTAATTTAGCATTTGGCTGCAGCCAAAAATTTGCCTTTTTTTTTATTCTCTATTTTTTGAATAATCATAGCAGTCCTAACAGCTCGTAGAGTCACAGAATCTCTTTTAGGGGACTTAGTTTTCCCTTCTTTTCATTTGCATTTCATATGTATCCCAATCATTTTGCTGTCCATACCTCTTATTAGAGTAGCTTCCTAACTGCCTTCCTGCTTCTAGTGTCTCTCTAGTATCCAAGTGATTGTCAACACACCTGTCAGCTCATCTTCCTAAAAATTCCACTTGGATTATCTTACTTTCTTAGTCATTAATTTCAATAACTTTCCTCACCCATAGAATTGTGTCTAACAAGACTTCCACGATAAAGTCCTTCTGTTTGGGCAATCTTTTATCCTTCTCTTTCTTAATAGTTGCCTTCTTTTCATCCAAATCAGCATTGGTTCTGTTTTGTGTGTATACTGGGCTCAAGTCAGTGCTGCGAATTTGTGTCCCTTCAATGCTCTTGTGCTTTTTTCTCTTTTCTCTGCTGGTCCTAAGCAGACTGATCTTTCAAGAACCAACTATGTCTTTCCTTCTACATGAAGATTTCTCCCTTTTCTCCAATCAGTGTACACGGTTTCTTTTCTAAATAGCTATTTAACAAAGTTTGAACCACTTACTGTGGTGTTTAATCAAATTCTTATCTGAAACAGTAAGACTGTTTTTCTTCTCATCTCAAAGGGACAGAAAGTTCCTGGAAGGTAAAAATGGTTTTTCAAAATTCTCTCTTACTGATTATGAGGACTAGCATAGTGATGGATTGATTGATTAACTGAATCAAGTATGATGTGAACTCTAGCTACATCATTGTTATTGTTATCTGAATAGTGGCAGTCCACTAGGCCTGTGACTTCATCCCATGTTATCCTGGCTGCTTGAAAACAGTGTTTGCACATCCAATTTAGGGGAAATCTAGAGTAGAGTTATGACCAGGGCACTCTGCAATTTTTAATATGTTGCATTCAACTTTGTGTTGTTATAATCAGATGAGAGTTCTTGCAATCAAGCAATTTAATATGCGCATGGAAAAACAAGGACATAAAAATTGAGAAAAGACAGCAAAGTTTCAGTTCAAGAGATTTAAGATGAAATGAGCATAAAATTCCTATGAAAATCAAAAAATAAGATTATGTTTTATTCAGTAGCTTTTTGATGCAATCAGTGATAGAAAGCCATTTACTTTCCTCAAAATTTTGTATTTCCCCGAGATAATGTAGGGCATGAATAGTAGGATTTTGAAAAAGACAGTTGGAGGAAGAAACATACAATTTACTATTATATTACTTTGAAAGGGAAAAAGAATGCTTTTATTTTGCCCCTGGAAATCTGCATCTAGATTTGAAAACCTGGACTATTTACTCCTACTACACCTCCAATACCCAATCCATTGTCAAGCTGTCAATCTAAAATAAATGAGTCAGAATGTAGTTTAAATAAAGTTTATTCAAGCGCAAAGGTTGAGACTGCAGCCTGGGATACAATTCCAAGGGGCCTTGGGGAAGAAAGGCTTGTTTTAAAAGAAAAAGGGACAAATCAGGAGAGGAGGGATTACAAAAGTTGTTCATCAAGGATTCTCATTGGTTTGCAGAAATAACATTGATTAGTGATTGGCTATATGTTGTTGAACTGGAGGATGCATGGCATTTTATATGTACTTGGCATCAGTTAGTCTAGAGCCCACAGATCAAGTGGTTTCAAGAGGTTGTTATTTAGCTTAAGGCGGAGTGAGATGTGACTACCTAAGTATTAAATGTCTTTCTGGGCCTGATAATTTAAAGGGGCTTGCATTTGTCAGATAAAAGTTTTTTTTCTTCCTCAAAGTTCTATTGGCTTCTACCTCACAGTGCATCATAAATTTATGCTTTGATCTGCAACCATAGGTTAAACTTCATTCACCCTCGTTAGAAATATTGTAAAGGCCTTCTAACTCCTTTCCCTGCCACAAATGTCTTTCTTCTCAAATGTATTCTCCATGCTGCACCCTGCATCATCAAAAATATACCATGTACTTTTCTGCTTGCAGAAATGCCAAATAAAGTTCAAATTTTCATGTCCTATCTGATCCTGACCCACTCTTTCTCTAATATGTCTTTCCAACGTACAGTTTATAGACTGGCCGTACAGGATTTCTTGGCACAGTGCATAATTTTTTGCTTCCATCTTTGTTGGCATCTTATTAGTTCTGCTTAGAATGCCCTAACCTTCATCCTTATCTATTGAAATCATTTTCATCCTTCAAGAAACAGCACCTACATTAAATATTAAAAATTTTTGCCTTCCTGAATGGATGTGAATTGCTCTTGTTTTTTTCCAGTAAATTTGTTTTCCACAAACTTTTATTGTTTATCATAGTACGTTCTCTTAAATCAGCAGCAGAAACTAGTCTTATTTATCCTTATAAATCCCATAGTGTCTAGCATAGAGTACCTCTACTTACTTCCATTATTCTTATAAGGATTACCTTCAAGAATGACAAGTCCTACTCTAGCTTGTTGTTAAACTTTTCCTTTTGCCTCATTTTAAAGAAGCATTGATCATGTAATCTGTAATGAAAAGAACTCCTACAATAGATCAAAATTGGTTTTTAGAGTTAGAAAATTTTCTTTCAGCTCTTAATTTGTTATTGTTAAGATCATGTAACGTTAATAAATTGTCAAGTTGGAGAAGTATGATCAAATTTCTTCCACATGAGTTGCAACATTCTAGGGTGTTTAAAGATTTTGGGCAGTGACTAATTTTAAATACTTTTTGAATTGATGATACTCATTAGAGCAGGTTTTTCATCAATGTCCTTGTAACAGTGTTTTATTGTTTTGTGTTACCTTGGTCAGTGTCAGTATTTCATGTTCAGTCAGCAAGAAATGTATTTTTCTAATATATTCATGAGATACATTCTTCTTCATTAATTTATCAATTACTCTTGAATTGTTTTAAATTAATTTAAAGATTATCTCTTCTTTTTAATGAATTACTACTTTTGATAGAACCTGAAATTTTTGGTAATAATGTCCTTCTTAGTGTCTGAATAATTTCTATTGATTTAATAATTCATTTGTATCATTTTAAAATTTCATATTCCTTTAATTTTTAGTTTAAATTTTATCTCATTTATTTAATACATAAATTTAAATATGACAAGGGAAGGCATGCTTCATATCCATTCAGATGAGGAGCAGTGTATTCCTAGTCTAATAAATATTCTCTTAGCTAGATTTCAAAGATGCCCACTGTCACTCTAATGCCACCTGACCCAAACATGATGGAGGGAAATCAGAGTGAACAGAGACAGTGGTCCTAATTTAGCTAAAATAAGTTATTGCTAAAAATTTCACAAGGACATCTGATAACATAAACACATTGCTAGGTGTTTTTTCCTGGGTCTTAGAAGTGGCCTGTGAAAATGAGGTTAAAGCATGTGCTTTCTTAACTTCATGGTAAGTCACCTGGTCTTTGACGAGCCATCCCTGCTGTGTGACCTTGATTACAGTCAGATGGTCTCTCTGGGACTGGTCTCCTCACCTGGAAAATGAAGTAGTTGAACTAAATAATTTCTAAAGTTTACTGAGGAATAAGTTCTAAGATAATAGTTGTGAGGGAGGATGGGTGTTTGTGGCAGTAATGTTGTCATATAAACAAAATGAGGTATTCAAAGGGCTGGGAGACTTAGTAGGAGTGTCAGATATGTTAAGTATTAGGTTTTGGTTACTGAGGAAATTTTAGTTAGTTGTTACATTGTAAAGAACATTAGAGACAAATTAGCAATGGCAGAGAAAGCAAACCCAATTCTCTTCATTGCAGCCTTTTAATATTTTGTGGTGTGCCCACACAGAAGGGGTACTAAGAAGCCATAAAAAAGAGTGAATTATGTGTCTATATCAACATAGAATGAATCTGAAGGGAACTGCTAAATAAACAAAAGTAATGATCAGAACAGTGTGTTCAAAATACCTTTTACCTAAAATGGGAAAATTATGAATGTATGTGTGTGTATGCGTGTGCATGCACGCATGCTCACCTGTCTGTTGCTTATGTGAAAAAATGTATACCAACAAATGAAAAAACATGTATATGGGGAGGTTGGAGGGATCTGGCTACGAGAATACCAGATTGGGGAATATGTTGGTTTTGGTGTGAATGTGTGTGAATGATGCCTTCTTTTGTCATCTTTAAATTTATTTATCAAATAAATAAATGTAAATAAAAGTTAAAGGAATATGAAACAAAGGTAATGCAAATGAATGATTATATAAATAGATTTGACTCCAGAATCCTGAAAAGATTTTGTTATAATATAAAATTAAAACAACATTTTAAAAAGTCTGAAAATATAAAGCAAATAAAATAATTGAATGTAACTATGTATTGACTTGATAATTTAGTCAGCAAAGAGGAGTTACTTCAAATACTTTTAAAACAAAGTAATATGTCTATACATCTATAGTGGTATATATACCAAGAGCAAAGTCACTGTAAATACATCTTTGCCTGTTTTATCATATTTTTAGTAAAAATATTGCCATTGTTACTTTGTAATTATAATAAGCTAATGCAAATAAGTAATCTTATTAGTAGCCAAAATTTTTATTGAAAAGAAGATAAACAAGTAAAAAATAAAGTAAAAATTATATAATTGCAAATTTGGATTGGAAATACTAGTATAAACTCATGATGCATTTTCACTTAAAAAAATTCAGCTTCATGTGGTTCTATCTACTGAAAAACTTAGAAACAGTGGCGGTGAGTACTCCTTGAGGCCACTGGTAATCTCTAAACAGCATTTCTCACTGAAAGAAACTATGGATCTTTGGAGAAATAGCTGGTTCCAGATTGGGAATAGAGAATGTATGAGATGAGCCTGAAAAATCTTATATAAGAATTCAAGGAACTTTTCAAAAACTGAGAGGCTTGGGTCAAAAGTATTAGGGTATAACATGATGAGCTTTTTATGGGCTAAAGAATTTTATCACCAAAAAGAATAAAAACTTCCATAAGTTGAAACATATCAAATATGTTAAAATACATGAATATGTATACTAAAAAAAGCTGGTCACTTTTGGAGGATGCTAGGGAACCAGTGAATTATTCTGAAAACTGGAAACTTTTATACCTTTCCTGGACAAACTACCCAAGGGAAAATTCTTTTTTTAATAGAATAATTCTAGCTAATAAATGTAGAAAGAGTGATAGAATTAAAATATTATTATTTTCCCAGTACTGATGAACTAATGGATCTAGGCAATCATTATTAACAGATAATAAAATCATGAGGTGAGAAACTGTTGGGAAACTTTATAATGGATGGATTAAGCTTAGCAATACATGAATTCAGTCAAGAATCTAAATATCACAAAGAGAAACAATCAGCCATTTTTTGTTTCCTGATACGATGCTAGGGCAATACCTAAGATACCCTATAAAAAACTCTATTTCTGAAAAAATTCAATCTCAATCTGATCAATCCTCTAATTCTAACTGTCAGTTTATGTGAACTATACAGGACAGAGAAATAGGTTAGATTATAATATGAAGGTACAATGAGCAAAATATAAAAATTGGGAAAATCTACAGGTCAAGTGATTTCATGTCCTCAACCAATAAATTATAAATTTTAAAATAAAATTAAGCACGTCAATGGAATGCATTATATGGAACTTATTTGAACAAAGCAATAATTAATAACAAACACACAGACACCAACAATAACAAGAGAAAGCCCAAAACATTTTATGGGGGATATTTGACTAGTTTGGATATTTGATAACATTAAGGCAGTCTTAAAGGTTGCCATTTTTATAAGGTATAATGTTATTGTTGTTATAAAAAAGAGACCTTAGGCTTTCAAACTAAAGGAATTACAGAAAAAAATAACATAATGTGATGTGGACTTTTTTTAAAAAAAATAATCAAATTGGAGGGATAATTTGGGTGAGTATGTTCAAAATATCTATAATATGACATTTAAAAATATATAGGTAAGTGAAGGTAAACAATTGGGTCATGAATGAATTCCAAGGAGCTGAGGCTATGTGGATCTGTAAGAAACTGGATCTGAGGTGGAAATCAGTAAAGCATACATCTACAGAAAAGATCATTTTGTAGCAGAGGTCATTTCGGAGGTAATTTTCTGAAAATGGAAGAGGGGAAATGATGAGGGCTACATAAGCAGGAGATGGCCTTTTTCAATTCTCTTCTTGACCTGGCAATCTCCCTTTTGGAACTGTTCATGTTTTTGCACAGCTCTGTCTTACGGTTCTCCTCTCAGTCCCTTCATCTGCCTCTTTCCCTCTTGGATTACTTTCCATTAACTAGGCATATTATACAATAAAAATGTACTTAATATATTTTGGAAAATTGGTATTTTTTATTGTAGTAGTGGAGTATTTTATGTGTGATCATACACCCAGGTTCATCTGGATCAGACCCAGTTTATGAGTTTTTGTCCCAGAGAAATTATTAACACCACTTTCCCTCTGTTTTAGTCCATTTGTGCTGCTATTACAAAATATCTGAGACTAGGTAATTGATAAAAAACAGAAATTGTGTTTTCACAGCTCGGGAGGCTGGAAAGTCCAAGGCAAGGTGCTGGCAGTTTCAGTTGTCTGGTGAGGGCTGCTTTCCTGCATCCTCACATGATGAAAGAGCTGAAGAGCAAGCTAGCCAGCTAGCCTAAAGTGGTGTGAAGCCCCACTTATAAGGATTTTAATCCCATGAACAAAGGAGAAGCCAGCATGACCTAATCAGCCATTAAAGGCCCACCTTTTAATACTATCACATTGGCAACATGAATTTTGGAGGGGACACATTCAAACCATAGCATCCTCTAAAAAGTGTCCTGGATTGGATGATAAACTATATCTTTTTCTAAATTTTTGCAACAGTTGACTGTCATTCATATTCTTTAGGAAGTGTTTGTGCTAATACCTTACCTATGAGAGAGATGACATTAATGTATTGGCAGGCATGTATCCCTTTGAATAGATTCTTTTGGAAGAATTAAAAAATTGCACAGCGGAGAGCACAATCTCTAGAGAGCAGAGGAGAGGCATATTTTGATAGAGAAGGAAGGTTTCAAACATAGGCAGTTGTATGGAGGGAAAGCCAGATGTGGGGGCTGGAAATGGGATTTACAAAGCTGAAACACACCAGTGAGAATAGATGGAGTCAAATATAAAAATTGAGATCAGGAAGAGCCAAATACTAAGCAGGGCAACAGCAGTTTTGTTTAGGCAATACCATTATCTCAGTACTAGTAATAATAATAATGATAATGATAATGATAATGTAGTGAAACACAGATTGGCAAGAAATGCCTTTTTCCCCCTGTATCTAATTCCCATGATTACAACTTAAAATCTTGGTCAATTAATTATTTTCTCAAATCAGTTTCTCACCTTTCCCAGATTTCTGTTTTAGAGCGTAGATACCAGGATATGTGTGGAGGGGTGTGGTGGACCTGGTTCACAGCATCATCATCTGGCCCTTGGGCATCTTCTTAGGTATGCTTATTCTCATCTGTCCTTTGGTCCTAAAACTTCTTCACCGCCTGCTCTTGTATTTATGTATGAAATCCCTCCACCACCTTTGGACACAGAAAATCATCTGGCTGCCTTCTTGGCTCTGGGAGCTCTGGGGAAAGCTCAACAAGGCCATCTCAGAGTGTCTTCTGCATACCCCATGTAGCCATCTCCTGGTGCTGTGCCAGCTGCCATGCCAGGAAGCTCTTCAAGGCTTGCTGCTTCTTCTGGCACTACCTCCCAGCCCTATGTAAGCGCTGGGAATTATTAAGCTTATAAGGCCTTATAATTGTTATTTGCTGAGCCTCATGGAGTTTTTACCTTATGAATGTGCGCTTTAGTATTGAGGAGGACATTCAAGAGTACTCCCTTGTAGATTTTTGGAGTTCTTTTTATTTCTCCTCTCTGGTTTCTGCCTCACACATTTCATCTCTCATAGCATCCCTGAGTTCTGATCTTTGTTTCCTTAATTCAAATATTTTCACCATTTGCTTGGGTTCCTGCTCGCTCCACTATAGTCCTTAAAGCGTATCCGCTGAAACTGAGGTGATTGTAGGGCCTACCATGTTTGCCTGGATTCCCCCAGGAATCATAGTCTTCCTTTGTCTACCATCCAATGCCTAAAAATTATTACTTCATATATTCTGCCAAGTTTTCTAGTTGCTGCTAGAGGAAAGTCTGCCACCAGTTAACGCCATCATGGCCAGAAGTGAAAGTCTACAGTTGTCCTTTTTAAGTTACATTTTTAGTGATACATTTCTCTGACAGTCAGGTAATGCACTCTAGTGCATAGCCTGGCTCTCCCTACTGGTTAGCCTTATTGCAAACTATACCACTCTACACATGGAGGTGAAAACTTGATTACATGCTGCTTCCTGAGTCTACCTTCCCTTTACCACTGCTCTATCACTGAACATGACTTTCTCTCCACTATTTGGGATTCTCAGAGATCATACAATTTTTATCCTTAGGTATCTGATACCTTCAACCTTACAAAGCATTGTAATATACAGTAAAATAAGGAACATATGGAGAGAAGCATTGAGCTCAAGGTGTTTTAAGTGGGCCTCAGAAATAAGTAGAACAATCAGGTTTGGCTCTTGGTAGCCAAAAACAATTATTATGTGCCCCAATTAAATGCCACACATTATTTCAAGAGTAAATCAAGTAATTAAAAATAATCTGTTGAAAACAAGCCTTCCTAATGAATGAATTAAAAAAATGGCGTAACCCTGGGCTTGGCAAGTTACAGCCTGTTGGTCAAATCTCACCTGCTGCCCGTTTTTGTGCAAACGACCTGAAAGTTAGTAATGGCTTTTACTTTTAAAAATAGTTACATATTAAGAGGCTACATAAATGCCTATATAATATTCTCAATTTTGTCTCTTGACTCACAAAGTCTAAAATATTTATTCTCTGGCTCTTTAAGAAAAAGTTGGCTGGCTCTTGGTCTTTAACATTTTCTCCATCCATTCCTCTATACCATTCATGTAACAATTATTTATTGAATGCTTTATATTGTACAAGGTACCTTGCTAAGATAAAAAAATTAGGCAGAGAATCTTTTTGGGTTCATAATTTAAAAGGGAAGATAAGACATGAACATTGCTATAAAGCAGTAATATAAGTTGGAGTAAAAGAGGATTCATGCGAGAGGAAACAGGTTAAGAACTATCCTATTTCAGCAGAGAATAACTAACTTCAAGCTGGAGATGTTAGAGGAATCTCACCGGAGGAGGTGGAATTGGAACTGGGCCAGCAGGACAGATAGGTAGGATTCAAATATACATAGCTAAGTACATTCCAGGAGGAAAACATTACTAAAACTCAGTCACAGTTGCAATTTTTAAAATGTGCTACAAGTTCACTCTTGAATTCTGAGTCCTGCCCTTGGAGTGGCAATTAATTGATGTTCCAGGGTTTTGAGAAAAACATTTTGGTTCTTTGATACAAATTTTCATCCTGACTTCCCACCTGTTTTCTCTCCTGTGGCCAACATTTAGGCTGAGTTTCCTTGTAGGCATTCTAAGGGATTAGGTAGCAGGTTTTGAGGAGCTGCTTTCCTAGCTGAATTTTCAGATTTGGGATTCCAGTGGGTTTAGTGGGGAGACAGTATTCCATAGCCTCATCCCAGATTAGAGAAGTTTTGGCCAAAGTACTCCATGTACCACCCTCTGCGTGTGTGCTGTGTTCACCAGTGGCAACTCTGCGAAGACACCCTTCTGTAACTGCACTCCTTCTCTCCATGGGGACCCACAGCCAGCAGCATCTCCCTGGTATCTTTGCCAGCCTACTATCTCTAATGGTGGAGAAGGAAGGAAAATCAGATTCAATATTTGTAATGTTCAGACATTGCTTTCTCTCATGTAAATAAGCCTCTTAATGCTAGGACCAAAGAAATTGATCTAAGCAAAAAGAGAATCTTTATTTCCCCTGTTTAATAGAGACTTGAATACACAATGAGAAACTGAAATAAATACTGTCATTCATCTTAAATGAAATGAGCATAACCTGAAAATAACTTTCTTATGGATCAAAGTTTTTAAAGTAGAGTTAGAATGTAAAAAGATTATTCAAAGGAATGAAATTCATGATATTGAGTTTTCCTGTGAAAATAATCTTTTAATACGATTTGGGATGATGGCATGGTTCCTGATTGATGAGTTATATGTGAAAGAACAGTTTAGGGGGGGAGTATGAATACGATCATTTCCGGAGAAAGAGCTATTAAATAATATTACCTATCCTTTGAGGTAAACGTATTTTTTGTTTTTAAAGAGTAGTCATCATTAAATTTGTATGCTGATTAACACAAAGTCTCTGAAATCAAACTCTATTCATGGACATATACAGCAGTACTTATTAGGCACAATAAATGGAATAATTTTCATAATGGATTTAATGTTTTTCCATTTGGCAGTCAGAATAGTGTTTCTTAGTGTCACAAATACACTACTTTCATAACACCTTTTTATTTCTTCCATGGGCTTTGTAGTTAAGTTTGAATAAATCTGTGTGGTTTTCCTTTAACTTTTCTTTTAATCTTGCATAATGGTCATACTGACTTATCAATTATAGGACAGTGAGAATTGACTTAAAGATATATCCAAGATTGAAGGAGTCACTGGACTTGAATCAGATAAAATGTAATATTTTGGAGGAAGTTTTTGCATTTATTTGGCAACAATAAAAGTTTTTTACATTTCCATAGTATTTAAAAATATTGTTGGTGCTGTGCCGTAATATTTTGGTCTGCCCTTGGTTGCGAGTGGTAGAAACTTAGAAGGGCTTGATACCAAAAAGAGAATGTATTGTCTCACAATGCTGAAATGTCTAGGGACATCAGTCTTCAGGAATAGCTTGCTACGTGTTTTCAACTATATAACTAGGGTTTTGTTTCTGTCCGTACCTTGGTTCTATTTTCCTCTGTGTTGGCTACATTCTCAGTATCTCCCTCCATCAGGTGACAAGATGGCCACTGATGACTTGATGCATACATGGTCCTTATTGCTTGAGATACCAAAGGAAGCGGGAGCATCTTTACTCACAGCTTTAGCAATTTTCCCAGAGCACAGTGACTTGGGTCACATACCTTGAGCATAGCTAGGGTGTAGAATAGTAATTGACCACGCCTATGTGACCTGCATACATCTGAGGCAGGATGTATTACTGTGGTTTTGGGAGCAAGGGCTTCTGGATCAATTCATTAAAGATCAATAAACCAAAAGACTAATGAGTAATTTATTGAATTCATTTTTCTTTTATGATTTATTTTTAAGCCAGGTTTCATTGCTCATGTATAATGACACTTTAAGGGATATTCACTTTATCTTGGCCTTTATTCTGTACTTCTGTAGCTAAGATGGAGTCAGAGAGGTGGGGAATGAGGAGCAGAGAGAGGAGAGACATCTGGCCATCCATTCTGCCATTACTTTATTGGTAGTGTCATATCAACAAGGCTACTACTGGACATATCTAAGATCTAAGCCCTACATAACTTTATTCGTTAGTGCTGGGGCAGTAGGTCTATGTAAGTGAAGGCTGATTCATCAGTGGACAAATCCCATTGACAGGTTTTGTGGAACTGATGTGCCTAGTCCCAGGACCACAAAGCACTCACAAGGAACAAGTTGGGACCTGGCCACCAACAAAGTATGAGTGCTTTGTCCATCTGTCGTATATTGTATGCTCTATGGACTTTCATGCTATGCCATTAAAGAATTTATGTGAAATAACAACAAAGTATTTTTATAAAGAATTTTCTAAAGGTCCTCAAGATAGGGGTCAAAAAAGGAGCTGTAATGATTCCCTGTATCCTCAGCCATGGACTCTGTCCACATACACTACCCTTCCAGGGTTTCAGGTTTTGAGACAAAAAGAGAATTACAGTTGCAAGAGGGAGATCACATTATCCTTTGTACTCACAGTAAAGAATCTGTGAAGGTGTAATGTGAAGAGCGTTTAACTAGGAGTCCAAACATCAGAAATTACATCCTGTTTTTTACCGTGTTCTAGCCTTTTGATTATAGTTAAATAATAACTTTCTAACCTTTGGTTTTCTCAGGGATATAAAAGATTAATAATGATCCTTTTAAAATAGTTACCAAAATAGCATTGTGAATATTATAATTGTAGAAAAAGATAAGATGAAGCAATTGATTTACTATTCAGAAGAAGCAAGTACAATTTTCTTAATATTTCTAGTGTTTTTGTCAACTGCTTGGAATAAACAAACTTGCATTTTGCTCTTCTACAAGGACATTTGAAATAAAATACATTTTAGAAAGGTAGATGAAAATTTCTTTGTCACTGGTTATTTAGTAGTGACAGTAGAACATGTAGATGACTGTTTCCAAAAGCGATTCCTTTGTATTTTGGGGGTAGTTTAGACTTGCGTTATACCAATGCAAGTAACCATCACTATCTCTTGCAGAAATAGCAGTGCAGTGCATGGTCACAGTTTGAAACATCAATGGCTGTCAGTTAAAACACGTGGAATGTCTTGAAACACTGCTGTGTGGGGGCAATAATCTATTTTGATCATGAAATTACACCTTGAAGAACTATTTTTTATTATAGGCATTTTTAAAAACCAAATTACACCTTGTGGTGCAGACTGGGTTAAAAAAATTCCAAATGTCAACATGATTCTAATATGTGATGCTATAGGGCTTATTTTTCCTGAGTTTAAAAAATTATATTTTCTGTGCTTGGCATCCACACTGTGCTCTAGGGAACCACATTATATCTGTGTACTTCACTGATCTTCTTTGTGGAACTACAGTGATTAATGAGAACAATAATCAATTAAGAACTCATTTATTACACTTCATTAAACCAGTGATCTATTGACACTCACAAGATATGAACATAAAGTACAATTTAATGATTAAAATAGTAAAGGAAATTAAACATATCATGGAATGTTAACTCATTGGAAGAGTTGATAAAGATGATTACTTTTGTGCAACACAAGAGGAGTCTTTTTATATGAACTTCAGCTAAAGGAGAAATATGAATTTAAAAAGTGGAATGCTCACAACTTAATAAAGGAAGCTATATTATAGAACCTTTATATGCTTAGAAAAACAGGACAGGCAAAAACACGTGAAAGTATATGTTGACAAAAGACAGTAACATCATAACATAACACAGTTACTATGTGCACTTTGCTTAGTGTGAAAGATCCAAGATGACAAAGACTCTGAAATGAGATTTAAAAAAAATCTCAATTTTCTCTTTTGATCACTGAATAGTGTTCTACATTTATATCATTATAACAAAGCACATTTGTTTGGCTAAATCAGACTCAGTAATATAAACACAAATGTTACGTTCTCTCCCTTTTCTAAAAAACATCTACTTAATGCCATTGCTGTATGGGAGTTTTTGCTTCGTAAATAGGAGAGCAGAGAGGTTTGGGTTGGGTTTCATGGAAAGAGTCCAGAGGAGAAATGGTGGTGTTGATCAGTGGTTTATGAAAAGATACGCTACCACTCTTAAGGGAGTGTTTAGTAATTCATGACGGCATTAAAAAAATTGTGAGGCATTTCTAGTTTCTCACAGTGATTGTTTGTGTTGGGGGGAATACAACTGGCAGCTATTGAGGGTGCTATATTATCTACAATGCATGAAATATTTCTACATAATGAAGACTTGTCCTGAGACTCCTATGAATTTTGATCTTCTGACCAGACATTGAGGTATATAGAAAAACCTGTATATAAATAACTGAGTCTAAATGCAAAATATTTTTTACATGTCAGTATGTTTTTTTTTCATGGTATTATATCTATTGAATTTTGGAGAGATAAACCTGCTGAATAAATCAAGGCACGTTTACACTTTGAAGCATCACCTTACCAAGAATTGTTTATTATTTTGGTAAATCACATGATTGAAAGAAATGCTAATGCCAGATACCAATATCAGACTTTCTTTGAGGCAGTGTGATTCTCTGCAATTCTATACATAGAGGCAAATATCAGCTTATTGTTGGCCCTCCCTATTCATGGGTTGTGCATCCATGGATTCAATGGAAAATATTTGGAAACAAAAAATAACAATACAGCGATAAAAAGTAACACGAATAAAAAACAATGCTGTATAACAACTATTTATGTAGCATTCACATTGTGTTATGTATTATAAATAATATAGAGATTATTTAAGGTATATGGGAGGATGTGCATAGTTATATGCAAATACTATTTTGCCATTTTATATAGGGAACTTGAGCATCCTTAGATTTTGGTATCTGTGGGAGGGGCATGTGTGTGTGTGTGTGTGTGTGTGTGTGTGTGTGTGTGTGTGTGTGTGTGTGGTGTGTGGACTGTACTTCATTATATCTGATAATGTAGTTTTGTCCAAAAATTTTTATATTAAGACACATTTTATTATAAGTTGCTTCATTTTTAAAATATAATTAAGCCTTTATATAATAGCAATTTGAATTTACAGTTTTATAATTTTAAATTGCACATATATGTAGGTTATCTTATCTATACTTTTATTTCATATATAAAAAGAGGCATTGAGAATCACTAGATGACAATAGTATGGTATCTGTCTCTCTTCTGGAAAAATCTAACTTGAACTCATGCATAGAGAAATGAAAACTGGAATTTATAGAATTGTTTCTATGGGGACATTGTGAGATTCTCTGCTGATGATAATGACTTAAGAAAGACTTTGGGCCACATGCGGTGGCTCATGCCTGTAATCCCAGCACTTTGGGAGGCTGAGGCGGTTGGATCACAAGGTTAGGAGTTTGAGGCCAGCCTGGCCAATAAGATGAAACCCCATCTGTACTAAAAATACAAAAATTAGCCAAACGTGGTGGTGGGCACCTGTAGTCCCAGCTACTTGGGAGGCTGAGGCAAAAAAATTGCTTGAACCTGGGAGGCGGAGGTTGCAGCGAGCTGAGATTGTGCCACTGCACTCCAGCCTGGGTGACAGAGTGAGATTCTGTCTCAAAAAAAAAAAAAAAAAAAAAAAAAGACTTTGAAAGTTTGGGAAACAAGCAGATTGGGCTCGTGTCCAAATGGCAAAGTTTGACACAAGCTGAGGAGGAGAACATTCCTTTATGGCATCCTGTACTTTGTTGAACAGAAGCAATGATAACAGGTACTCCTGCCTTTTCCTGGAATTTGAAAGGTATATGTCTAAATTTTTCTCCAGTGTGTGTAATTATTTATCATGTTTAGGGAGCTTTATTCTATTCCTAATACTTGCTAGTATGTTTTAAAATCATAAATTACTATTAAAGTTTATCAAGTAATTTTTGGCATTATTAAGAACATCTTCAGAGCAACTCTTCAGGACTTTTTGGTGCAAATCATGCTGGGTTCTGCAGTCAACCAAGCTACATATTTATGAGGTCAGCCATTTAAGATTAATAGAGATTGTTCTTATAATTTGCTACCCACTTTTGTTCTCAAGTATGCTGGTTTAAAGACTCTAATGTTGACATGGTTGTTGTTTTCATCTACTTGGTCTGTCATAACAAAATTTCATAGACTGGGTGGCTTAAACAACAGACATTTATTTTCTCACAATTTTGGAACCTTGACATCCAAGAGCAGGGCATCAGCACAGTGGATTTCTGGTGAGGCTTCTATTTCTGTGTTGTAGATTTCTGTCATCTCACTGTTCATGTGACCTCTTCTTGGTGAGCATGTGCATGGAGTGTGGTGTGAAAGAGAAGGAGGTGGAGGGACATAGCAAGCTCATTGGTATTTTTTCTTATAAGGACAGGCAATATAATATGATATGATAATTCTATCATATTAGGGTTCCACCCATATGACTTTATTGTACCTTAGTTACCTCCTTATAGGATCTCCAAATACAGTTACATTGAGAGTTAGGGCTTCAACATAACAATTTTGGGGTACAAAATTCAGTCCATTGCAGTAGTTTATCTGGGTCACTATAAATCAAATAGAACTAACTTGAAAATTTAATAAACCAAGCCCTGAATTAGTAGAGGAAAGAAACAATAAAGATCAGAGCAGAAAGAAGTAAAATCAAGACTAAAAAAATACAGAAGATCAACAAAATGAAAAGTTAGTTTTATGACAATGATAAAATCAGCAAGCTGTTAGCTAGACTAAGAAAAAAAGTGAATACCCAAATAAAAGGAGAAATGAAAAAGGAGACATAACATCTGAGAGCTCAGAAATACAAAGAATCACCAGAGACTATTGTGAATAACCATACACAATAAATTAGAAAACCTAGAGGAAATGTATAAATTCCTGGATCCAAACAATCTACCAAGAGTAAACCATGAAGAAACAGAATAACTAAACAGACCAATAATGAGTAATGAGATTGAAACTGTAATGAAAAGTCTCCCATCAAAGAAAAGCTCTGGACCTAATGGCTTTACTGGTGAATTCTACAAAACATTTAAAGAACTAATACCAATTCTGCTCAAGTAGAAATCCACTGCTCTGGCACCCTCCTCTTGGATTTCGAGTTTTCAGAACTTTGAGAAAATAATATCTATTGTTTAAACCACCCAGTCTATGAAACTTTGTTATGACAGACCAAGCAGATGAAAACAATAACCATGTCTATTCAACTCAAGAAAATACTTCCAAACTTCTTCTATGAGGACAGTATTACTCTGATACCAAAACCAGATGAGCTCACAACAAAAGAAAACTACAGGCCAATATCTCTAATGAATATAGATGTGAAAATCTTCAACAGAATACAAGTAAAGCGAGGCTGGGGGAGGGGCGCCTGCCATTGCCCAGGCTTGCTTAGGTAAACAAAGCAGCTGGGAAGCTCGAACTGGGTGGGGCCCACCACAGCTCAAGGAGGCCTGCCTGCCTCTGTAGGCTCCACCTCTGGGGGCAGGGCACAGATAAACAAAAAGACAGCAGTAACCTCTGCAGACTTAAATGTCCCTGTCTGACAGCTTTGAGGAGAGCAGTGGTTCTCCCGGCACGCAGCTGGATATCTGAGAATGGGCAGACTGCCTCCTCAAGTGGGTCCCTGACCCCTGACCCCCTAGCAGCCTAACTGGGAGGCACCCCCCAGTAGGGGCAGACTGACACCTCACACGGCCGGGTACTCCTCGGAGACAAAACTTCCAGAGGAACGCTCAGACAGCAGCATTCGCGGTTCATGAAAATCCGCTGTTCTGCAGCCACCGCTGCTGGTACCCAGGCAAACAGGGTCTGGAATGGACCTCTAGCAAACTCCAACAGACCTGCAGCTGAGGGTCCTGTCTGTTAGAAGGAAAACTAACAAACAGAAAGGACATCCACACCAAAAACCTGTCTGTACATCACCATCATCAAAGACCAAAAGTCTTTGATAAAACCACAAAGATGGGGAAAAAAACGGAGCAGAAAAACTGGAAACTCTAAAAAGCAGAGTGGCTCTCCTCCTCCAAAGGAATGCAGCTCCTCACCAGCAACTGAACAAAGCTGGACGGAGAATGACTTTGACGAGTTGAGAGAAGAAGGCTTCAGAAGATCAAACTACTCCAAGCTACAGGAGGAAATTCAAACCAAAGGCAAAGAAGTTGAAAACTTTGAAAAAAATTTAGACGAATGTATAACTAGAATAACCAATACAGAGAAGTGCTTAAAGGAGCTGATGGAGCTGAAAGCCAAGGCGCGAGAACTACGTGAAGAATGCAGAAGCCTCAGGAGCCAATGCGATCAACTGGAAGAAAGGGTATCAATGATGGAAGATGAAATGAATGAAATGAAGCGAGAAGGGAAGTTTAGAGAAAAAAGAATAAAAAGAAATGAACAAAGCCTCCAAGAAATATGGGACTATGTGAAAAGACCAAATCTACATCTGATTGGTGTACCTGAAAGTGATGGGGAGAATGGAACCAAGTTGGAAAACACTCTGCAGGATATTATTTAGGAGAACTTCCCCAATCTAGCAAGGCAGGCCAACAGTCAGATTCAGGAAATACAGAGAATGCCACAAAGACACTCCTCGAGAAGAGCAACTCCAAGACACATAATTGTCAGATTCACCAAAGTTGAAATGAAGGAAAAAATGTTAA
Source organism: Homo sapiens (assembly GCF_000001405.40). Taxonomy (NCBI): domain Eukaryota; kingdom Metazoa; phylum Chordata; class Mammalia; order Primates; family Hominidae; genus Homo; species Homo sapiens. Next base: position 152,997,449 of record NC_000002.12, read on the forward strand.
GGGGACCCGGAGAGAAAGGTCGGGTTACCCACAAAGGGAAGCCCATCAGATTAACAGCTGATCTCTCAGCAGAAACTCTACAAGCCAGAAGAGAGTGGGGGCCAATATTCAACATTCTTAAAGAAAAGAATTTTCAACCCAGAATTTCATATCCAGCCAAACTAAGCTTCATAAGTGAAGGAGAAATAAAATACTTCACAGACAAGCAAATGCTGAGAGATTTTGTCACCACCAGGCCTGCCCTAAAAGAGCTCCTGAAGGAAGCACTAAACATGGAAAGGAACAACCGCTACCAGCCACTGCAAAATCATGCCAAATTGTAAAGACCATCAAGGCTAAGAAGAAACTGCATCAACTAACGAGCAAAATCACCAGCTAACATCATAATGACAGGATCAAATTCACACATAACAATATTAACTTTAAATGTAAATGGACTAAATGCTCCAATTAAAAGACACAGACTGGCAAATTGGATAAAGAGTCAAGACCCATCAGTGTGCTGTATTCAGGAAACCCATCTCACGTGCAGAGACACACATAGGCTCAAAATAAAAGGATGGAGGAAGATCTACCAAGCAAATGGAAAACAAAAAAAGGCAGGGGTTGCAATCCTAGTCTCTGATAAAACAGACTTTAAACCAACAAAGATCAACAGAGACAAGGCCATTACATAATGGTAAAGGGATCAATTCAACAAGAAGAACTAACTATCCTAAATATATATGCACCCAATACAGGAGCACCCAGATTCATAAAGCAAGTCCTGAGTGACCTACAAAGAGACTTAGACTCCCACACAATAATAATGGGAGACTTTAACACCCCACTGTCAACATTAGACAGATCAACGAGACAGAAAGTTAACAAGGATACCCAGGAATTGAACTCAGCTCTGCACCAAGTGGACCCAATAGACATCTACAGAACTCTCCACCCCAAATCAACAGAATATACATTTTTTTCAGCACCACACCACACCTATTCCAAAATTGACCACATAGTTGGAAGTAAAGCTCTCCTCAGCAAATATAAAAGGTCAGACATTATAACAAACTGTCTCTCAGACCACAGTGCAATCAAACTAGAACTCAGGATTAAGAAACTCACTCAAAACCGCTCAACTACATGGAAACTGAACAACCTGCTCCTGAATGACTACTGGGTACATAACGAAATGAAGGCAGAAATAAAGATGTTCTTTGAAACCAAAGAGAACAAAGACACAACATACCAGAATCTCTGGGACACATTCAAAGCAGTGTGTAAAGGGAAATTTATAGCACTAAATGCCCACAAGAGAAAGCAGGAAAGATCCAAAATTGACCCCCTAACATCACAATTAAAAGAACTAGAAAAGCAAGGGCAAACACATTCAAAAGCTAGCAGAAGGCAAGAAATAACTAAAATCAGAGCAGAACTGAAGGAAATAGAGACACAAAAAACCCTTCAAAAATTAATGAATCCAGGAGCTGGTTTTTTGAAAGGATCAACAAAATTGATAGACCGCTAGCAAGACTAATAAAGAAGAAAAGAGAGAAGAATCAAATAGACGCAATAAAAAATGATAAAGGGGATATCACCACCGATCCCACAGAAATACAAACTACCATCAGAGAATACTACAAACACCTCTACGCAAATAAACTAGAAAATCTAGAAGAAATGGATAAATTCCTTGACACATACACCCTCCCAAGACTAAACCAGGAAGAAGGTGAATCTCTGAATAGACCAATAACAGGCTCTGAAATTGTGGCAATAATCAATAGCTTACCAACCAAAAACAGTCCAGGACCAGATGGATTCACAGCCGAATTCTACCAGAGGTACAAGGAGGAACTGGTACCATTCCTTCTGAAACTATTCCAATCAATAGAAAAAGAGGGAATCCTCCCTAACTCATTTTATGAGGCCAGCATCATCCTGATCCCAAAGCCGGGCAGAGACACAACCAAAAAAGAGAATTTTAGACCAATATCCTTGATGAACATTGATGCAAAAATCCTCAGTAAAATACTGGCAAACCGAATCCAGCAGCACATCAAAAAGCTTATCCACCATGATCAAGTGGGCTTCATCCCTGGGATGCAAGTCTGGTTCAATATACGCAAATCAATAAATGTAATCCAGGGTATAAACAGAGCCAAAGACAAAAACCACATGATTATCTCAATAGATGCAGAAAAGGCCTTTGACAAAATTCAACATCACTTCCTGCTAAAAACTCTCAATAAATTAGGTATTGATGGGAAGTATCTCAAAATAATAAGAGCTATCTATGACAAACCCACAGTCAATATCATACTAAATGTGCAAAAACTGGAAGCATTCCCTTTGAAAACTGGCACAAGACAGGGATGCCCTCTCTCACCACTCCTATTCAACATAGTGTTGGAGGTTCTGGCCAGGGCCATTAGGCAGGAGAAGGAAATAAAGGGTATTCAATTAGGAAAAGAGGAAGTCAAATTGTCCCTGTTTGCAGATGACATGATTGTATATCTAGAAAACCCCATTGTCTCAGCCCAAAATCTCCTTAAGCTGATAGGCAACTTCAGCAAAGTCTCAGGATACAAAATCAATGTACAAAAATCACAAGCATTCTTGTACACCAATAACAGACAAACAGAGAGTCAAATCATGAGTGAACTCCCATTCACAATTGCTTCAAAGAGAATAAAATACCTAGGAATCCAACTTACAAGGGATGTGAAGGACCTCTTCAAGGAGAACTACATACCACTGCTGAATGAAATAAAGGAGGATACAAAGAAATGGAAGAATATTCCATGGTCCTGGGTAGGAAGAATCAATATCATGAAAATGGCCATACTGCCCAAGGTAATTTATAGATTCAATGCCATCCCCATCAAGCTACCAATGACTTTCTTCACAGAATTGGAAAAAAGTACTTTAAAGTTCATATGGAACCAAAAAAGAGCCCGCATCGCCAAGTCAATCCTAAGCCAAAAGAACAAAGCTGGAGGCATCACACTACCTGACTTCAAACTATACTACAAGGCTACAGTAACCAAAACAGCATGGTACTGGTACCAAAACAGAGATATAGATCAATGGAACAGAACAGAGCCCTCAGAAATAACGCTGCATGTCTACAACTATCTGATCTTTGACAAACCTGACAAAAACAAGCAATGGGGAAAGGATTCCCTATTTAATAAATGGTACTGGGAAAACTGGCTAGCTATATGTAGAAAGCTGAAACTGGATCCCTTCCTTACACCTTATACAAAAATTAATTCAAGATGGCTTAAAGACTTAAATGTTAGACCTAAAACCATAAAAACCCTAGAAGAAAACCTAGGCATTACCATTCAGGACATAGGCATGGGCAAGGACTTCATGTCTAAAACACCAAAAGCAATGGCAACAAAAGCCAAAATTGACAAATGGGATCTAATTAAACTAAAGAGCTTCTGCACAGCAAAAGAAACTACCATCAGAGTGAACAGGCAACCTACAATATGGGAGAAAATTTTCGCAACCTACTCATCTGACAAAGGGCTAATATCCAGAATCTACAATGAACTCAAACAAATTTGCAAGAAAAAAAGAACCCCATCAAAAACTGGGCGAAGGACATAAACAGACACTTCTCAAAAGAAGACATTTATGCAGCCAAAAAACACATGAAAAAAATGCTCACCATCACTGGCCATCAGAGAAATGCAAATCAAAACCACAATGAGATACTATGTCATACCAGTTAGAATGGCAATCATTAAAAAGTCAGGAAACAACAGGTGCTGGAGAGGATGTGGAGAAATAGGAACACTTTTACACTGTTGGTGGGACTGTAAACTAGTTCAACCATTGTGGAAGTCAGTGTGGCGATTCCTCAGGGATCTAGAACTAGAAATACCATTTGACCCAGCCATCCCATTACTGGGTATATACCCAAAGGACTATAAATCATGCTGCTGTAAAGACACATGCACACGTATATTTATTGCAGCAGTATTCACAATAGCAAAGACTTGGAACCAACCCAAATGTCCAACAATGATAGACTGGATTAAGAAACTGTGGCACATATACACCATGGAATACTATGCAGCCATAAAAAATGATGAGTTCATGTCCTTTGTAGGGACATGGATGAAATTGGAAATCATCATTCTCAGTAAACTATCGCAAGAACAAAAAACCAAACACCACATATTCTCACTCATAGGTCGGAATTGAACAATGAGAACACAGGGACACAGGAAGGGGAACGTCACACTCTGGGGACTGTTGTGGGGAGGGGGCAGGGATAGCATTAGGAGATATACCTAATGCTAAATGATGAGTTAATGGGTGCAGCACACCAGCATGGCACATGTATACATATGTAACTAACGTGCACATTGTGCACGTGTACCCTAAAACTTAAAGTATAATAATAATAAAATTTAAAAAAAGAGGCCAAAAAAAAAAAAACCAGAATACAAGTAAACCTAACTGAATGACACATTAAAATCATCATTCACCATGATCAAGTGGGATTCATCCCAGAGAAGCAAGGATGTTTGAACATAGGCAAATCAATAAAAGATAAACATCACATTACAGCCGGGCTCTTTGCTAAAGAGATAAATGCAAATAAAAATCACAATGAAATACCATCTCAACCCAGTTAGAATAGCTTTTATTGAAAAGACAGGGAAGAAGGGACACTGGTGAGGAAGCGTTTAAGTCTAATTTACTGTGGTTTTATGATTACAAATACTTCATCACATATACTGTTGGTTTTATGATTACAAATACTTCACCCTCATATACTGCTGATAAAAATGTAAATTAGTACAGCCACTATACAAAACAGTATGAAGTTTCCTCAAAAAACTAAAAATAGAACTTCCATATGATTTAGCAATCCCACTACTGGTTATATATCCAAAAAAAGGAAATAAATATATTAGAGAGACATCTGCACTCCCATGTTTATTGCAACGCTGTTCACAATAGCTGAAATATGGAATTAACCTAAATGCCCATCAATGGATACACAGATAAAGAAATGTAGTATATACTGCATATTCTCACTTATAAGTGGGAGCTAAATGATGAGAACACATGGACACATGGGGGAAACAACACACACTGGGGGCTGTCAGAGGTCAGGGCGTGGGAGGAGGGAGAGAACCAGGAAGAATAGATAGTGGATGCTGGGCCTAATACCTGAGTGATGGGATGATCTGTGCAGCAAACCACCATGGCACACGTTTACCTATGTAACCAACCTGCACATCCTGCACATGTACCCCTGAACTTAAAAGTTGGAGAAAAAATTGGTATATATACAAAATTGAATATTATTCAGCCATGTAAAGAATAAAATCTTGTCATTTGCACCAACGTGCATGGAACTGAAGGTCATTACAGTGAGTGAATTAAGTCAAGCACAGAAAGATAAGTGTTGCATGTGCTCACTCATATGTGGCAGTTAAATAAGTAGATATCACAGAGAGTAGAGTGGTAGTTATCAGAGGCCAGGAAGGGTAGAGGGGAGGGAGGGATGAAGAGAAGTTGACTGATGGGTACAAATATACAGTTAGATGGAAGAAAGAAAACGTGATGCTTTATAGACCTGTAGGATGACTATAGATAACATTAATCTATTATAAATTTAAAACTAGTGAGAAGAGAGTAGTTCACATGTTCTTAGCATTAAAAAAGATAAGTATTTAAGGTGATGGGTAAATCTGATTACCCTAATTTGATTACATGAATGTATAAAAATTATCACGTACCCTGAAAATATGTACGTCTATTTATATCAATTGAAAAAGACACACCAAAAATTTAAAAATATAGCATAAATGGATGAATGAACTGAAAAAAAATTTGAACACGCCTATCCATTTCTTTTTTATATTTTGGCTGAAAAAGTGACACTTTTAAATAAAGTCTTGCTTATGCTTGATTTACATGTAGTAAAGAAAAAGCTGAATGTCAAGAATATAAAGTGTACAGAAGTTTGAGTGACGGGAAAACAACATCATTTTAAAATTCCAACATTCTGTTGCTGTTTAAGTCTAATGTACTGTGGTTTTATGATTATAAATACTTTATCAGTTGCTACCATTGCTCAGGAGAATTTTATGAGTTAATAGAGAAAATAATGGAAAATTCTTCTCAAAGCTGTATATTAGAAGATAGGAGGAAAAAGGAAATTTAATGTAAGAATTCATTTACAGCCAATTAATAGTTTTGTGAGTAATCATAAGGACTATGGAAACATAAGAAGGGTTTGAAGTTTTATATATAAAGCATGTTAGGTACTACAGACTTAGATAGAAATAATAACCCAAAATGACCATTGTGTGTACCTCAGAAAAAGGAATTTTTTTTCTTTTCACTCAGGGTCATTGACTCTGATATTTGAAGCATAAAAAACAGAAGTTCCTAGTGAAAACTAGGTATTAGTTCTTTTTTTTTTTTTTTTTACTATAAAAATCAAATATGTGATTCTGAACCCAACTATAAATAATTCCCTTGGGGAATTCAGTACCACTTGTGGGGAAATTTGTATTCAATTTCCTTTTTGTTATGTTTTCTCTAAGTGCAATTATACTTCAAAAAAATTGAGTCTTTTTTTTTCTGCTTGGCATTGCTATGTTAAACTCATGAGTGGTTCAGATATAACAAATGGAAAATAATTAGTTCAAAAATAAGACCTGAGTGCTTCTCTTTTTAAAATTTATGATTGGCATGGCTAAAAGTCTTGTACTAAAAAAAAAAATAGTGTTGCATTCTTTTGCATTCTTACTCTCTATTGTCTGCTTTCCTTTAAAGTAGCCTGCCTAGATAAAAATCCAAATCATGTATCAATGATGAGGTAGGAATGAGAATATTATAAATATTATACTAACTTCTCAAATTTCTTGCTTACATTTGTATTTTCCACTTGGTGTAAGTGGGTGGTTTATCCAGAAAAGTAGTGGTAAACATGAATATTTATTATAAAGGTACATTGGAGATCCTGTAAGCAAAATGAGTTTAAATAGGAGGTAACTGTGAGACTGTAATGCAGTTTTCATTAATTTTGCAATGCTTGTTGCTCTTTAAAATGTAGTAAAAATGACAACCACCTCTATTCCTAACTCATTCAGTCTAGCTCAAGTAAAAGGGGGTTATTTTAAAGGATATCCGTAAGAAGGATGGACACCTAGTGTATGATATACAACGCGGGAAGGTGGGGTCTTGAATGGAGTGGAACTGGTAAGGCTGGCACAGCAGTTGGGTGGGAAGCTCTGCTCCAGTGCTGGGTAGTGAATGTCACTCAGCCTCTCTGTCTCTACTGATCTTGCAACTACAGCCTGGTTTCTTCACTATGCTTCTTCCCTTTAACATCTTATGCCTACTTCTGATTTCCTTTTCATAACCTGATTTAGTTCATCATGTCCTCTTCTTCACCTCATAGCTTCTATTTGAACATTCTTTTGCTTTCAGTTCCCACTGCTGACATCCAGTTCTTACTATGTTTCTCAGTATTGACAGTGAGATTTGAATGAACTCAGCTAAGCTTTTCACAAGTCAACTTATTGTCCACTGGAAAGCTGAAAGACGGTCTACCTTGGGTCAGATACCTATCCATTTTCCAATCAGCTGTGGCCCATGGGAGAGATAGGGGAGGTGGGCTGCATGATGCAGAATATAGCTTTCCCTGCAGAAGGAGAATCTATGGCTAATTTCTTTATCTGGAGCTGTGCACACAGCAGTTTCCTTGGAAGGTGTGGTAGGCACAGTGATTGATGTGTCTGATGCAGCACTAAACCACAGACTCTAATGATTTGTGAGGAGGAGCTGAACCATCACTCTGTATGTTATGGGAGGCAGTAGTCTCATGAGATTCTCATGCAGCAATATAAGCATCTCAGGAGTTTTGCTACTGGAATGTGATGCCCAAAGAAAACAACAGCTTCATGCAACCTGTAACTGTTAACGATTAGTGAAGGGATGGTTTTATCGTGTCATGAGTTTATCTATTTCGGGAGACTGCATGAGAATATTGATTAGTTTTACCACGAAGGCAAAAGAAGACATGCCTTGCAACGTTTTCTGTGCTTTTGGTTACCATATGCTGTGTGATTTTCTTTCTCATCAGTAGGCATTTAAAGACTGATCTATGATAATTAAATGTAGATTAAAATGTGACAAGATTTAATATAGACATCTATGCTTCCAAGGAAACTACAATTAGTAAAGCTTACATTTCAGACCTTTTTTTTAAAAAAGCTATGAACTGTTATTTTTCTCATCAGTTAGCTGTAAGCTTTGGATTTATTTACGGCTTTGGAAATAAAGTTTTTTCAGTTCAGCAGAAATGCTGGCATGTTTATTCATGGAATAAATGCTAAAAATCTTTAAAGAATATCTGCTTCTATCAAAGTTATGCTATTACAATGTTAAAATTGCAAATTCATTTTCTTTCATAGAGTTGATTTAGAGTTATACAAAATATAGAAATCATTGGATAAATCAGAAACTTCATTTTAATTTGGGGTGTTAAAATAGTTGGAAGATTTTCAAAATTATTTAAATGAAGGTAAGTGATAATAGCAATTTTTGGTTTGCTATCATCGTCTTTTAAGATAACATACTTTTTAATGAATCATTTGCTTAAACCAACTTGGTAGTAAGAATTTGGTATGAAATTTTCATAAATCAGTAATAAACTCAAAACCCTCTATTCTTCATGAAACAGAAATTGTATTTACCAAAATAAATCAGTAATAAACTGGAAAACTAGTTTTCTAACTTGTCTATTGACAGTGTTATCATAAATTTGTATATAAAGTATGCTATTGAATGTTTCACGTTTTTAAACTTTACCTAGACAGTGTTGTAACATACTTAATATTTAATTTGTTTTTTTTCACTTAACATCAGTTTTTTTGGGATGGACCTAGAGGATATAGGTAGCTATAATTCATTCATGTTTACTGTCGTATAGTATTATATAACATCTCATAATTTATTCATCTAATTTTAAATTGCTTTTAGTCTTCTGCTGCTATAAACATTTTTTGTATATGTTTTCTTGCGCATACATAAGAAAGTTTCTCTAGGGAAATACTTGTGCAGGAAATTGCTGGGTGGTAGGCTAAGCACATTTTAAAATATCCTAGATATTGGCAAATTATATTCTAAAGGGATTGTGCTGATTTGTATTTCCAAACTGAGAATACTGAGAATTCCCGTTTTCTCATGTTTGTGAAAAACTTGAATTTTAAAAAATTTTTGTATCACCAATTACTAGTTAGAACAGTGAGCATTTCATGTATTCATTGAGCATTTGGATATCTTAGTGTCTAAATTGTTTATATGCTTTGCCATTTTTATATTTTATTGTTTTTGTTTCATTTTTAATTGATCTATAGGAATTCTTTCTGGAATTTGAATAGTAATGCATGGTGATTTATATATATATTATATAACATATAAAAATTATATTATATATAATATATATCAAATATATATAAAATTATTATATATAAAATATATATAAAATATATTAAAAATATATATTATATAATATATATATTTTATATATATACATATTATATGTATCTTCTACCAGAATTGCTTGTATTATCACTTAAAAGACAAGTCTTATATTTGACAGAAGTATTTAATTCTAAATTAGTCAAATGTATTCATCATTTTTTATAGTTTGTGCTTATGCATCTTGTCTAGGAAATTATTCCTCACACTGAATTTATTAAAAAGATTTCCTATATTTATTTCTAAAAGTTATAAAGTTTTTTTTTTGACACTTAGGTCTTTAGTTCACTTGGAAATTTTTTAATGTCATGTAAGTAAAAATTGAATTTATTTTTATTCATATCAGGAGCATATTTCCCCAGTACCATTTGCTGAATATTCCATTATTTACCTACTGACTTGAAATGCTGTCCCTGTTGTATACCAAATGACCCAAAGTATAGATGGGCCTGTTTCTGAGTTCTCTCTTCTGTTCATTGGTCTATTTGTCTTTCTCTGCATGAATATCACCCAGTTTTAATTATTATAATTTTATAATAAGTCTTGATAGCTTGTAGAACTAGCCATCCAATTTCACTTTCAAAAATATCTTGGCTATTCTTGGTGTTTTATTTTTTCATTTAACTTTGAATATCCACTTGTTAAGGTCCACAGAAAACTGTTTGGTATTAGACGAGATTTATCTCCCTATTTATTTTAGGTCTGTTTTATGTCTTTGACAAAATTTTAATATTGTCATTAGAGTTCTTGCACATCTTTGCTAAATTTACTACTAGGTACCTTATAGTTTTTTTTTTCTTTTCTTTTTTTTTTTTTTTATTATACTCTAAGTTTTAGGGTACATGTGCACATTGTGCAGGTTAGTTACATATGTATACATGTGCCATGCTGGTGCGCTGCACCCACTAATGTGTCATCTAGCATTAGGTATATCTCCCAATGCTGTCCCTCCCCCCTCCCCCGACCCCACCACAGTCCCCAGAGTGTGATATTCCCCTTCCTGTGTCCATGTGATCTCATTGTTCAGTTCCCACCTATGAGTGAGAATATGCGGTGTTTGGTTTTTTGTTCTTGCGATAGTTTACTGAGAATGATGGTTTCCATTTTCATCCATGTCCCTACAAAGGATATGAACTCATCATTTTTTATGGCTGCATAGTATTCCATGGTGTATATGTGCCACAGTTTCTTAATCCAGTCTATCATTGTTGGACATTTGGGTTGGTTCCAAGTCTTTGCTATTGTGAATAGTGCCGCAATAAACATACGTGTGCATGTGTCTTTATAGCAGCATGATTTATACTCATTTGGGTATATACCCAGTAATGGGATGGCTGGGTCAAATGGTATTTCTAGTTCTAGATCCCTGAGGAATCGCCACACTGACTTCCACAATGGATGAACTAGTTTACAGTCCCACCAACAGTGTAAAAGTGTTCCTATTTCTCCACATCCTCTCCAGCACCTGTTGTTTCCTGACTTTTTAATGATTGCCATTCTAACTGGTGTGAGATGATATCTCATAGTGGTTTTGATTTGCATTTCTCTGATGGCCAGTGATGATGAGCATTTCTTCATGTGTTTTTTGGCTGCATAAATGTCTTCTTTTGAGAAGTGTCTGTTCATGTCCTTCGCCCACTTTTTGATGGGGTTGTTTGTTTTTTTCTTGTAAATTTGTTTGAGTTCATTGTAGATTCTGGATATTAGCCCTTTGTCAGATGAGTAGGTTGCGAAAATTTTCTCCCATGTTGTAGGTTGCCTGTTCACTCTGATGGTAGTTTCTTTTGCTGTGCAGAAGCTCTTTAGTTTAATTAGATCCCATTTGTCAATTTTGTCTTTTGTTGCCATTGCTTTTGGTGTTTTGGACATGAAGTCCTTGCCCACGCCTATGTCCTGAATGGTAATGCCTAGGTTTTCTTCTAGGGTTTTTATGGTTTTAGGTTTAACGTTTAAATCTTTAATCCATCTTGAATTGATTTTTGTATAATGTGTAAGGAAGGGATCCAGTTTCAGCTTTCTACATATGGCTAGCCAGTTTTCCCAGCACCATTTATTAAATAGGGAATCCTTTCCCCATTGCTTGTTTTTCTCAGGTTTGTCAAAGATCAGATAGTTGTAGATATGCGGCATTATTTCTGAGGGCTCTGTTCTGTCCCATTGATCTATATCTCTGTTTTGGTACCAGTACCATGCTGTTTTGGTTACTGTAGCCTTGTAGTATAGTTTGAAGTCAGGTAGTGTGATGCCTCCAGCTTTGTTCTTTTGGCTTAGGATTGACTTGGCAATGCGGGCTCTTTTTTGGTTCCATATGAACTTTAAAGTACTTTTTTCCAATTCTGTGAAGAAAGTCATTGGTAGCTTGATGGGGATGGCATTGAATCTGTAAATTACCTTGGGCAGTATGGCCATTTTCACGCTATTGATTCTTCCTACCCATGAGCATGGAATGTTCTTCCATTTGTTTGTGTCCTCTTTTATTTCCTTGAGCAGTGGTTTGTAGTTCTCCTTGAAGAGGTCCTTCACATCCCTTGTAAGTTGGATTCCTAGGTATTTTATTCTCTTTGAAGCAATTGTGAATGGGAGTTCACCCATGATTTGGCTCTCTGTTTGTCTGTTGTTGGTGTATAAGAATGCTTGTGATTTTTGTACACTGATTTTGTATCCTGAGACTTTGCTGAAGTTGCTTATCAGCTTAAGGAGATTTTGGGCTGAGACGATGGGGTTTTCTAGATAAACAATCATGTCGTCTGCAAACAGGGACAGTTTGACTTCCTCTTTTCCTAATTGAATACCCTTTATTTCCTTCTCCTGCCTGATTGCCCTGGCCAGAACTTCCAACACTATGTTGAATAGGAGCGGTGAGAGAGGGCATCCCTGTCTTGTGCCAGTTTTCAAAGGGAATGCTTCCAGTTTTTGCCCATTCAGTATGATATTGGCTGTGGGTTTGTCATAGATAGCTCTTATTATTTTGAAATACGTCCCAGCAATACCTAATTTATTGAGAGTTTTTAGCATGAAGGGTTGTTGAATTTTGTCAAAGGCTTTTTCTGCATCTATTGAGATAATCATGTGGTTTTTGTCTTTGGCTCTGTTTATATGCTGGATTACATTTATTGATTTGCGTATATTGAACCAGCCCTGCATCCCAGGGATGAAGCCCACTTGATCATGGTGGATAAGCTTTTTGATGTGCTGCTGGATTCGGTTTGCCAGTATTTTATTGAGGATTTTTGCATCAATGTTCATCAAGGATATTGGTCTAAAATTCTCTTTTTTGGTTGTGTCTCTGCCCGGCTTTGGTATCAGAATGATGCTGGCCTCATAAAATGAGTTAGGGAGGATTCCCTCTTTTTCTATTGATTGGAATAGTTTCAGAAGGAATGGTACCAGTTCCTCCTTGTACCTCTGGTAGAATTCGGCTGTGAATCCTTCTGGTCCTGGACTCTTTTTGGTTGGTAAACTATTGATTATTGCCACAATTTCAGAGCCTGTTATTGGTCTATTCAGAGATTCAACTTCTTCCTGGTTTAGTCTTGGGAGAGTGTATGTGTCGAGGAATTTATCCATTTCTTCTAGATTTTCTAGTTTATTTGCGTAGAGGTGTTTGTAGTATTCTCTGATGGTAGTTTGTATTTCTGTGGGATCGGTGGTGATATCCCCTTTATCATTTTTTATTGTGTCTATTTGATTCTTCTCTCTTTTTTTCTTTATTAGTCTTGCTAGCGGTCTATCAATTTTGTTGATCCTTTCAAAAAACTAGCTCCTGGATTCATTGATTTTTTGAAGGGTTTTTTGTGTCTCTATTTCCTTCAGTTCTGCTCTGATTTTAGTTATTTCTTGCCTTCTGCTAGCTTTTGAATGTGTTTGCTCTTGCTTTTCTAGTTCTTTTAATTGTGATGTTAGGGTGTCAATTTTGGATCTTTCCTGCTTTCTCTTGTAGGCATTTAGTGCTATAAATTTCCCTCTACACACTGCTTTGAATGCGTCCCAGAGATTCTGGTATGTGGTGTCTTTGTTCTCGTTGGTTTCAAAAAACATCTTTATTTCTGCCTTCATTTCGTTATGTACCCAGTCGTCATTCAGGAGCAGGTTGTTCAGTTTCCATGTAGTTGAGCGGCTTTGAGTAAGATTCTTAATCCTGAGTTCTAGTTTGATTGCACTGTGGTCTGAGAGATAGTTTGTTATAATTTCTGTTCTTTTACATTTGCTGAGGAGAGCTTTACTTCCAACTATGTGGTCAATTTTGGAATAGGTGTGGTGTGGTGCTGAAAAAAATGTATATTCTGTTGATTTGGGGTGGAGAGTTCTGTAGATGTCTATTAGGTCTGCTTGGTGCAGAGCTGAGTTCAATTCCTGGGTATCCTTGTTGACTTTCTGTCTCGTTGATCTGTCTAATGTTGACAGTGGGGTGTTAAAGTCTCCCATTATTAATGTGTGGGAGTCTAAGTCTCTTTGTAGGTCACTGAGGACTTGCTTTATGAATCTGGGTGCTCCTGTATTGGGTGCATAAATATTTAGGATAGTTAGCTCCTCTTGTTGAATTGATCCCTTTACCATTATGTAATGGCCTTCTTTGTCTCTTTTGATCTTTGTTGGTTTGAAGTCTGTTTTATCAGAGACTAGGATTGCAACCCCTGCCTTTTTTTGTTTTCCATTGGCTTGGTAGATCTTCCTCCATCCTTTTATTTTGAGCCTATGTGTGTCTCTGCACGTGAGATGGGTTTCCTGAATACAGCACACTGATGGGTCTTGACTCTTTATCCAACTTGCCAGTCTGTGTCTTTTAATTGCAGAATTTAGTCCATTTATATTTAAAGTTAATATTGTTATGTGTGAATTTGATCCTGTCATTATGATGTTAGCTGGTGATTTTGCTCATTAGTTGATGCAGTTTCTTCCTAGTCTCGATGGTCTTTACATTTTGGCATGATTTTGCAGCGGCTGGTACCGGTTGTTCCTTTCCATGTTTAGCGCTTCCTTCAGGAGCTCTTTTAGGGCAGGCCTGGTGGTGACAAAATCTCTCAGCATTTGCTTGTCTGTGAAGTATTTTATTTCTCCTTCACTTATGAAGCTTAGTTTGGCTGGATATGAAATTCTGGGTTGAAAATTCTTTTCTTTAAGAATGTTGAATATTGGCTCCCACTCTCTTCTGGCTTGTAGGGTTTCTGCCGAGAGATCCGCTGTTAGTCTGATGGGCTTTCCTTTGAGGGTAACCCGACCTTTCTCTCTGGCTGCCCTTAACATTTTTTCCTTCATTTCAACTTTGGTGAATCTGACAATTATGTGTCTTGGAGTTGCTCTTCTCGAGGAGTATCTTTGTGGTGTTCTCTGTATTTCCTGAATCTGAACGTTGGCCTGCCTTGCTAGATTGGGGAAGTTCTCCTGGATAATATCCTGCAGAGTGTTTTCCAACTTGGTTCCATTCTCCACATCACTTTCAGGTACACCAATCAGACGTAGATTTGGTCTTTTCACATAGTCCCATATTTCTTGGAGGCTTTGCTCATTTCTTTTTATTCTTTTTTCTCTAAACTTCCCTTCTCGCTTCATTTCATTCATTTCATCTTCCATTGCTGATACCCTTTCTTCCAGTTGATCGCATTGGCTCCTGAGGCTTCTGCATTCTTCACGTAGTTCTCGAGCCTTGGTTTTCAGCTCCATCAGCTCCTTTAAGCACTTCTCTGTATTGGTTATTCTAGTTATACATTCGTCTAAATTTTTTTCAAAGTTTTCAACTTCTTTGCCTTTGGTTTGAATGTCCTCCCGTAGCTCAGAGTAATTTGATCGTCTGAAGCCTTCTTCTGTCAGCTCGTCAAAATCATTCTCCATCCAGCTTTGTTCTGTTGCTGGTGAGGAACTGCGTTCCTTTGGAGGAGGAGAGGCGCTCTGCGTTTTAGAGTTTCCAGTTTTTCTGTTCTGTTTTTTCCCCATCTTTGTGGTTTTATCTACTTTTGGTCTTTGATGATGGTGATGTACAGATGGGTTTTCGGTGTAGATGTCCTTTCTGGTTGTTAGTTTTCCTTCTAACAGACAGGACCCTCAGCTGCAGGTCTGTTGGAATACCCTGCCGTGTGAGGTGTCAGTGTGCCCCTGCTGGGGGGTGCCTCCCGGTTAGGCTGCTCGGGGGTCAGGGGTCAGGGACCCACTTGAGGAGGCAGTCTGCCCGTTCTCAGATCTCCAGCTGCGTGCTGGGAGAACCACTGCTCTCTTCAAAGCTGTCAGACAGGGACACTTAAGTCTGCAGAGGTTACTGCTGTCTTTTTGTTTGTCTGTGCCCTGCCCCCAGAGGTGGAGCCTACAGAGGCAGGCAGGCCTCCTTGAGCTGTGGTGGGCTCCACCCAGTTCGAGCTTCCCAGCTGCTTTGTTTACCTAAGCAAGCCTGGGCAATGGCGGGTGCCCCTCCCCGAGCCTCGTTGCTGCCTTGCAGTTTGATCTCAGACTGCTGTGCTAGCAATCAGCAAGATTCCGTGGGCGTAGGACCCTCTGAGCCAGGTGTGGGATATAGTCTCGTGGTGCGCCGTTTCTTAAGCCGGTCTGAAAAGCGCAATATTCGGGTGGGAGTGACCCGATTTTCCAGGTGCGTCCGTCACCCCTTTCTTTGGCTCGGAAAGGGAACTCCCTGACCCCTTGCGCTTCCCAGGTGAGGCAATGCCTCGCCCTGCTTCGGCTCGCGCACGGTGCGCACACACACTGGCCTGCGCCCGCTGTCTGGCACTCCCTAGTGAGATGAACCCGGTACCTCAGATGGAAATGCAGAAATCACCCATCTTCTGCGTCGCTCACGCTGGGAGCTGTAGACCGGAGCTGTTCCTATTCGGCCATCTTGGCTCCTCCCGCCCTATAGTTTTTATAGCTAATAAAAATGGTAACTTTTGGGGCTGGTGTGGTGGCTCATGCCTGTAATCCCAGCGCTTTGGGAGGCTGAGGTGGGGGGATCTCTTTAACCCAGGAGTTTGAGACCAACTTGGGAAACATAGTGAGACCCTGTATCTACAAAAAAATTTAAAAAATTAGCCATGTGTGGCCGGGCGTGGTGGCTCATGCCTGTAATCCCAGCACTTTGGGAGGTGGAGGCGGGTGGATCACGAGGTCAAAAGATGGAGACCATCCTGGCCAACATGGTGAAACCCCGTTTCTACTAAAAATACAAAAAAATTAGCCAGGTGTGGTGGCAGGTGCCTATAGTCTCAGCTACTCGGGAGGCTAAAGCAGGAGAATCACTTGAACGTGGGAGGTGGAGGTTGCAGTGAGCCGAGATTGCGCCATTGCACTCCAACCTGGCGATGGAGCAAGACTCCGTCTCAAAAATAAAAAATAAAAAAAAATAAAAAAAAATAGCCAGGCGTCGGGGTGCACACCTGCAGTCACAGCTACTTGGGAAGCTGAGGTGGAAGGATTGTTTTAGCCCAGGAGGTTGAGGCTGCAATGAGCCAAGATTGTGCCATTGCTCGTCAGCCTGGGTGACAGAGAACCTGTCTCAAAAAAAAGGGGGAACTTTTGAAAATCGTATTTTAAAATATTCTTTTACTCATAAGTAGACATTGATTTTCATTATTAATCTTATTTTTTAAAAGTTGGCTGAACTCTCTTATTAGTTTTAATATTCTGCAGATTTTCTAGAAGAAAAATTGTGAAATTTTTTTTCTTCCTTTTTGTCCTTACACCTTTTTTTCTTTCTCATTATTTTAGCTAGGCATCTGGTACAATGTTGAATATAAGAGAACTGTCTTAGTCCTTCATTTAGATGATGTAGCCTAGCTTGTTTTCTTAAGCATCACCACCATTCCTAGGTTGTTGGGCCTGTTCAAAGAAGCAAGTAAAACTGGGAATAAGTATTAATGATCCCCTCTCCATCTTTCACTCAGGGCAGTCTCATGTTAGTAAGGGATAGGTGGAATACTAGACACAAGAGACTGCCACAAGTGTTACTATTTCAATTCAGCTTTGCAAAGAGTAAGTGTTCAGGAGCCAAACATGAAACAATGCTAACAAGCAGAGAAGGTAAGGAAATTTGAATTTGCTTAAATTGGGAGTTTCCATACATGTGAGAGAAATAAGAGGTTTGCTCAGGGCCAAAAAATCCCATGCATGGGGATATTATTATTTTGTTACTGTCTTTATATTTCCTTCTTTTTTTTTTAGACAGGGTCTTGCTCTATTGCCTGCTGTGGAGTACAGTGGTATAATCATACCTCACTTCAGCCTTGACCTCCTTGGCTCAAGTGATCCTCCACTTCAGCTTCTGGAGTAGCTGAGACTACATGCATGTGCCACCATGCCTGGTTAATTAAGAAAATTTTTTATAGAGATGGGGTCACACTATGTTGCCCAGGCCAGTCTTGAACTCCTGGGGTCAAGTGATACTCCTGCCTTGGCCTCCCAAAGTGCTGGGATGACAGGCACAAGCCACTGCACATGGCCATTGTCTTTATATTTCAATGTTTATTTAGATTTACCGAAATATTTTCTCTCTTTTTTTTTTTTTTTTGCCAGCTATTGCTTTTTGTACACTACTCTTCTCTTCTGTGGTTAGCTTTTTCTTCATGACACATATCCTTTCATAATTTTTTCAATAACAGTCACTGGTGGTAAACTATCTCACTCTTTGTTTTTCTGAAAATATATTTATTTTTTCCTTTAGTCCTCCATGCTATTTTAGCTGGGTTTCTAATTTTGATTGACTGTTTTCCTCCAATACTTTGAATGAGTAATATATTTGGCCTCTTACTATTTATCAAGAGTTTCTGGTTAGTCTAATTATTTTACTTTGAGGATTTTTTTCTCTTTGGTTTCTTTTAATATTTTCTTTTTGCCTTAGATAATTTTTAATTTTACTTTGATGTGTTTAGGTAGAGATTTATTCTCTCTCTGTGAGTCTTCTGCTTTTTTCAATTGAGTTTCTTTTAGTCATTTACTCTTGCTTCTCCCCAGTCTTTATTCTCTTTCACTGGAACTCATATCAGTTTTATGTTGAACCTTTGCATTCCAAACTCCTTATCTCTTAATTGTTTTTCTGTGTTTTTCATTTCCTTTTTATTAGTGCTATATTCTGAGTAATTTCCTCATATGTTTCCTTCACTTTACCATTTCTTCCTCTAGCTGTGTCTAGCCATTGTTTGACTTGTCAAAATTTTAACCTCAATATTATATTTTAAAATCTATATTTTTTATTCTGGTGCCTTATTCTCTTATTACATTTTTCATTGCTTCTCTTAAATGCTTTAAAAAATTTTTATCTTTGGATTTATCTAGTATCTCAGGTTCTTTGATTCCTAATTGTCCTGTTTGTTCTGTCTGATTACTCTTTATTATGGTGCATTCTTCCTTTGAATAGTTCATGAATTTTGATTACAAGCTCATTTTCAGTGTATGCATTCATTCTGTGAGCATCCCCTATAGCCTGAATAGAAATAGTGTCTCTGCAGAGTAATTTTGGGTTTGTTTTTGCCAAAGTCTAGATTCATCAGTTTTTATGTTAAATCCTGGGTTTTGGATTTTAACACTATGTGGATGGCATAAATTTGGGCTTCTTACCCAAGTACAGGTGTAACCATGGTGTTTTACCTTCCATGGGATTCTTTTTATTGCCACTGAGTTATAGGCACACAGTAAGTTTTCTTGCTGCTTTCTGGGTTGGTAGGTAAAACGATTCTACTGTCATTTTCATGGAGCAGTGTCAGTTCACAGTTTCCTGCTTTGCAAGAAATTCACTTTCAACTCTTTGCCTTATACAGGACCAAGGCACATTTTTAAACCACATTTGTTATTTGAAGCCCTATCCCTGCATCCCTAAGACTTATATCTAGGAACTGTATCCATTGGACACTTGACCTTTATCCATTGGCTCTTGCATTTAACACTGTAGTAGTCCATTTTCATGCTGCTGATAAAGACATACCAGAGACTGG
The DNA here is from genome assembly GCF_000001405.40 of Homo sapiens. Classification (NCBI taxonomy): domain Eukaryota; kingdom Metazoa; phylum Chordata; class Mammalia; order Primates; family Hominidae; genus Homo; species Homo sapiens. The sequence goes on from NC_000002.12 coordinate 153,016,870, forward strand.
GCAATTTACAAAAGAAGAGGTTTATTAGACTTACAGTTCCACATGGCTGGGGAGGCCTCACAATCATCATGAAAGGCAAAGAGGAGCAAGTCATATTTTATGTGGATGGCAGCAAGCAAAAAGAGAGAGCTTGTGCAGATAACTCACTTTATTTATTTATTTTTTTTTGGTAGATGAAGTCTTGCTCTGTTGCCCAGGCTAGAGTGCAGTGGTGTGATCTCAGCTCACTGCAACCTCCGCCTCCTGGGTTCAAGTGATTCTCCTGCTTCAGCCTCCCAAGTAGCTGGGATTACAGGTGCCCACCACCACGCCTGGCTAATTTTTGTATTTTTAGTAGAGACGGAGTTTCACCGTGTTAGCCAAGATGGTCTCGATCTCCTGACCTCATGATCCACCCACCTCAGCCTCCCATAGTGCTGGGATTACAGGCATGAGCCACCATGCCTGGCTGAAACTCCCATTTTTAAAACCATCAGATCTCATGAGACTCATTCACTATCATAAGAACAACATGGGAAAGACCTGCCCCATGATTCAGTAATCTCCCACTGGGTCTCTCTCACAACACATGGGAATTATGGTAGATACAAGATGAGATTTGGGTGGGGACACAGAGCCAAAACATACTCCCAAATCTCATATCTTCACATTTCACAATGAGTCATGCCTTCCCAACAGTCCCCCAAAGTCTCAACTCATGTCAGCATTAACTCAAAGTCCACAATCCAAAGTCTCATCCAAGACAAGGCAATTCCCTTCCACCTATGAGCCTGTAAAATCAAAAGAAAGTTAGTTACTTCCTGGATACAATGGTGGTACAGGCATTGGGTAAATATAGTCATTTCAAATTAGAGAAATTGGCCTAAACAAAGGGGCTACAGGCCCCACACAAATCTGAAATCCAGCAAGGCAGTCAACTCTTAAAGCTCCAAAATGATCTCCTTTGACTCCATGACTCACATCCAGGTCAGGCTGATGCAAGACGTAGGTTCCCATAGTCTTGTGCAGCTTTGCCCCTGTAGCTTTGCAGGGTACAGCCTCCCTGCTGGCTGCCTTCATGGGCTGGTGTTGAGTGTCTGTGACTTTTCCAGGTGCATGGTGCAAGCTGTCATTGGATCTACCATTCTGGGGTCTGGAGGATAGTGGCCCTCTTCTTATGGCTCCACTAGGCAGTGCCCCAGTAGGGACTCCGTGTGGGAGCTCCCACCCCACATTTCCCTTCTGCACTGCCCTAGCAGAGGTTCTCCATGAGGACCCCACTTCTACAGCAAACTTCTGCCTGGACATCCAGGCATTTCCATACACCTTCTGAAATCTAGGCAGAGGTTCCAAACCTCAAATCTTGACTTCTGTGCACTCGCAGGCTCAGCACCACATGGAAACTGCCAAAGCTTGAGGCTTGCACCCTCTGATGCCGTAGCCTGAGCTCTACATTGGTCCCTTTCAGCCACAGCTGGAGTGGCTGGGATGCAGGGCACCAAGTCCCTAGGCTGCACATAGCACAAGGCCCGTGGCCCAGCCTACAAAACCACTTTTTCCTCCTAGACCTCTGGTCCTGTGATGGGAGGGGCTGCTGCAAAGGTTTCTGATATGCCCTGGAGACCTTTTCCCCATTGTCTTGATGGTTAACATTCAGCTCCTTATTACTTGTGCAAATTTCTGCAGCCAGCTTGAATTTCTCCTCAAAAAAATGGGATTTTCTTTTCTATTGCATTATCAGGCTGCAGATTTTCCAAACTTTTATTCTCTGTTTCACTTTTGAAACTGAATGCCTATAACAGTACCCAAGTCACCTCTTGAATGCTTTGCTTCTTATAAATTTCTCCCACCAGACACCTTAAATCGTCTCTCTCAAGTTCAAAGTTCCACAAATCTCTAGGGTGGGGTAAAATGCCACCAGTGTCTTTGCTAAAATGTAACAAGAGTCACCTTTGCTCCAGTTCCCAACAAGTTTCTCATCTCCATCGGAGACCATCTCAGTCTGGACCTTATTGTTCTTATCACTATCAGCATTTTTTCAAAGCCATTCAACAAGTCTCTAGGAAGTTCCAAACTTTCCCACATTTTCCTGTTTTTTTCTAAGTCCTTCAAACTGTTCCACCCTTTTCCTGTTACCTAGTTCCACAGTCACTTCCACAGTTTTGGGTATTTTTTCAGCAATGCCCTACTCTACTGGTACAAATTTACTGTATTAGTCTGTTTTCACACTGCTGATAAAGACATACCTGAGACTGGGCATTTTACAAAAGAAAGAGGTTTATTGAACTCACAGTTCCATGTGGCTGGGGAGCCTCACAATTATAGTGGAGGGTGAAAGGCACATGTTACATGACAGTAAACAAGAGGGAGAGCTTGTGCAGGGAGACTCCCATTTTTAAAACCATCAGATCTTGTGAGATTCATTCACTATCATGAGAACAGCATGGGAAAGATCCACCCCCATGATTCAATCATTTTCCATCGAGTCCCTTCCACAACACATGGGGATAATGGGAGCTACCAGATGAGATTTGGGTGGGGACACAGAGCCAAACCATATGAAACACTATGACTGTGAGTTTTCTAACATGTTTTCTTATACCCAGAATTTTAAAAAATCCTTTTCTGTTCATCTTTATATATGAAAAATGAGTTATACTTTCTTGATTATATTTTTATAGTGAAATGGGGGTTTACATCAGTCTTCTAGGTTGTTTGTAGAGTATTATTTTCCCACTGAACTATTTAGAATATTAAAATGTAAAAAACACAACTTTGTTATGCAATGTTAAGTAGGCTTACAGGTGGCTTTTTTGTTGATCAGTAATGCACTTCAAAAAGAAAAAATAACCAAGTTCCTATTGCTTATCAAATATTTAAATTTCTTTAAAAAGTAGAATATTATAGCTCATATTGGGGGAGTGAGGGAGGTCTGAAAGGGGTTCCCAGACATAGCAGTGCAGATAATTTTTTTTATAAAGCACATATTACTTAAACATTAAACAGGCTTTTGAAAAAGTGAGTTATTTAAACATTTTGACATAAGTTACTGTTTTCTGAGAAATTTGTCTTCTAAAAGAGATATATTTCTACAACAACAAAATGTGACTCCAAGAAGTAATGCAATCATATTGAATAGTATCCAGAACTAGTCTAATATATGCAGTCTATATATATCTGGTATGTTAGTTGAGGAGAACTCTCCAAAATATATTTCTATTGATAATATCCTCTTCTCCTAACTGACCTATAATAAATACAGATTGGGAAGAATATTTCTAGGAAACCAGTATGAAAATGAAGTCATTGCCGTTCTTATCTGGGTTCCTTCAGAGAGCAGAGCCTAAGTCAAAAGTCTATGTATAAGTATTTTATTGGATAATAATTCCAGGGAGTAGGAGTGAAGGATAGAGGAATGAAGCAGAATAGAAAAGAGAGCAATATAAGACTATGAGTTGCTTACTGCAATGAGAGGCTGAACGTGCAGCTGAGTAGCCATGCAAAATGTATTCCAGACCATATGCTTGTATGCTAAGGGTGAGGAGATGAGGGGAGAATGGGAGAGGCATTGATGTGTTGGATTCTGTTCTCCTTTGGCCAACTTTGTGTCATGAGGAATTACATTCAAGGCTGTGTCTGTGTAAAGTATGAGTGCTTGTATTTCCATAGAGAAACTTAGGCCTGGAGAAAAGAGGCATGTAGAGTGGGATGGAGGTAAGACGCTGTGAAGCTGGGAAGAGCTCATGAAGAATTTGTTGCACTGGTGACTAGAATGAGAGACAGGTGAAACCAAGAAGACTTGTAAGAATGTATCAGATATGAAAAAGTCTGAGTTTTGTGCAGTTTAGTTAATTTTCTTATTATTATATCATGATATGTCCATGATTTTTACCTTGGACACTTCAGGTAAGATTCTGAATGAAGAATATACAGGGTGGAACATTTTGGCACTGGGAAACATGACAAAGACAAATTATTGTGATAGACTGAAGGCACAGGTCAGGTACACATATTATGTGTTTGGAGAACGTCATCTATTCTAGACATTTCTATTCTAGAAACATTAGAGAAGGCAGAGTTGGAGATAAGTATAGGGGTCTGCATCCTGTGGGTAAGCAAGGGAGGAGCTCCAAATGCCCATCAATCATACGCAGACTTGTTATATTGGAGTACATAGGTATATAGGGGAAAAATATTCCACCTCCAAGAGTTTAGCCCAACAACAGCTAGAGTGGCTAACACTTCCTCATTTCTTTCCATCAAAGTCTTATCTTTCCAAAAATTTACATCTTCTAGTAAGTATAGAGCATTCATTTTATAACCCATCCCTTGCCTGTTATTTTCTCCCACCTAGATAAGGGGTTGGGGGGAGCTCCAAGTACAAATGGTCCTCAACTTACAATGGGTTGACTTAAGAATATTTCAACTTTACAATGGTGTGAAAGCAATATGCATTTAGTAGAAATCATACTTCGAATTTTGAATTTTGGTATTTTCCCATGCTAGCGATATGTGGTAGGAAACTCTCTTAAGATACCAGGCAGTAGCAGTGAGTTGCAGCTCCTAGTCAGCTATGTGACAACAAGGGTAGACAACTAATACTCTGTAGAGTACTGTTACCAGTGGTTTTGGAATATTGTGTTTTGTGTTATCTCATCACATCATGTCTACAAAACACCCATCTGCGTATAGTACTCAAAACCTTATTATAAAATAGTCTTTGTGTTAGATGATTTTTGTCTAGCTGTAAGCTAATATAACTGTTTTGGGCACGTTTAAGGCAGGGTAGTCTAAGCTACGTTGTTTGGTAGGCTGGGTGTATTAAATGCATTTTCGACTAATGATATTTTCAGCTTACCATGGTTATATAACTCCATTGTAAGTCGAGGAGCATCTGTAGTTTGAATTCTTTCCTGTCCTGTAACAATAGGTATGCCATTTCTGATTGAATACAAATACATGCCAATAGCTTCTACAGATTACAAATTTGTGCATATCATTAGCTTATCAAATATCAACCCTAAACATTTGTGCATATCATTAGCTTATCAGATATCAACATTTGGCATATCATTTGTGCATATCATTAGCTTATCAAATATCAACATTAAACATTCATATGCCTGTAAATGAAGCAAGTATTCAAGAATTCCTGAGCTGAACAGTTTAAATTTCCTTAAATCTTCTCTACACTGTGATTTGGGGATAGAGATGTGAGTGGGTAATGAACTGAAAAGGAACAGGGCAGAAAAAGTTAAAATTCACAATTTTGCATAATGTCTGCCTCACTGGAACACATCTAATGTTTGATTTTATGTATTAAAGATGCTTCAATAATTGACTAAATTTTATGGAGTTTTTGTCTGGAGGTTTTGGTAATGATGTACCTTGTACATAGTAGTATCTTAATATTTTTGGATTGAATAAAAGAAGGAATAAATGGATTCAACTTGCACATTGGTTGTTGAACTGGTAAATAAAGAATTTTTAGAGTTTGTTCCTCTGCAGGCATTTAAACTGGGATTGATTATTTACTAATCTTAGGCAACTTTAGTAATGGGAATTGACTAAAGGTAGGAAGATGGCCAGATGAGTGCCTGTCATTCCTTCTGGTCCCATGATTCCAAACAGAATGGATGAAACTGTGATATTCAGTTATAGTTTAGGAGTTTCATTTGAATGTTTTCCCTAAGGAAATCTGACAATTTTTATTCTACCATCTTCCCTAAATGTCATAAATGTGTATGTGACTTCTTTTAAAAAAATTCTTTTATGCTAGTGGATTGTTCAACCTGCTCACACAATGACATTTCTGGGATATTTTCCAATCTTTTCTTCCTCTTAAAATAGACTGAGACCTCATGTTCCATCTTGGAAAGCATTACATTTACTTGTTATTTGGTATGTGAACTATGTATTTTGAATGCTACTGAAAAGCAATTCTCTAAAAGACATATAGCTGTCCTCCAGGTTTTTTCCTGGCTTCAATTCTACGTAAGCTTGCAAGTTTGTGTTTGTAATGTTATCAGTTTCTATGTGTAAAGAAATATGACTTGTTATTGGAACAAAAGAAAGGATAGACAAGATATAGTTAGTAAATATCCTTAGGAGAAAATTCCCAAGGGAATTTCAGGACATCTCTTCTCTTTCACATAAAATTCCTAAAGGTAGGAATTTAAACTGGAAAATTTAGATAATCCTTGGGGCTTCAAAGTAAATGAAGACAGATAGATTTCATAGATAAAGAAAAATGCAAAAGTATTTGCTATTGTACTATCAAGTGATAAGTTAAACAGCTGTCAAAGCCTCTAATAAAAAAGATACAAATCATATAGGCTTTCATTATAAAAATATTATACCTGGGAGGCAGAGCTTGCAGTGAGCCAAAATCACGCCACTGCACTCCAGCCTGGGCAGCAGAGTGAGACTCCGTCTCAAAAAAAAAAAAATTATAAAGTTAACATTTTAAACTCTGTAAAATATATGTATCCATAAAATGCAACACTCAAAGTGAACAGAAATTCAATGTAAGGAAGAAAAATCAAGTATGGTCTGTATACAAAAATAGAAAATGAGTTTCTTTAGATTCTCCACATGATAAAAACAAATAATTTTCCCAAAGGGAATAGACATCTTATCAGTCTGCAAGTGTTTCTCAAAATGAAGTTTAAGGATCACCTGTGTTAATGTTACCTGGAATGCTGGCAAAAATGCATATTCCTTGGTTCCACCTCAGACCTAAAGAATCACATGCTCCAGGGTGAAGGTGTCCAAACTTGAATTATTGACATGGCTTTGAGGTGATTCTGATGAACATTAAAGTATGAGAACCTGGTGCAACATTGTCTAATTTCAGATCACCCAGAAAACAAGGAAATAATAAAATCCCATTGGAAATCCAAAACCTATTTTCCTCAAATAAAAGCAGTCGTATCAAATTGCTTTCTCATTATCAGTTTACCAATAACATAGTAAAAACATAAAGGTAACTTGTTGATAAGAATATTTAAAAGGGTTTTATTTTCATTCTGGAAAGATTGTCTTCTAGGTAGAAATAAATCTGAATGAGATTGGTTTGATACTTTAGGGCCTAAGACTGACTTGAATGAAAACATCTGGATACAGTGGTTAGCCCACTGATTCAGGAATTATATATACCCTGAACAATTTTCCATGTTCAAAATGCCTGAAATGATTTAGGAAGTGATATTCCTAATGCTAACACCTTACTTAGGAAAACACTCTCAGATGAATATCGACCAAAAATAAAAGACCCTACCACTTTGCAAGGCTTATATATCATGAAAGCGGAAAAGAAACTAGTATTTTTTGAGAATTTACTATGCATAAAGAATTTATATACATAATCTTAATTCTTTCTACAGGCTTGTATCAGAGGTGTTACTATCCCCAATTTACCACCAAGGGAACTCAGATTCAAAGAGGATAAGTGTATTGTAAAAGAATCATATAGCTGATAAACGGCAGAGGCAAGGCTTAAACATAATACCTGTCTTAAATGGGCCCTTAATTCTTCCCAGGAATTGATGTTGTTTGAGAGTATCACTCTTCCACTTGTCATGAATACTATTTTATATCTTTTCTCTATAAAACTCTCGTTGAAAATCTTGTCTCATAAATCTGTGACCCAGTTGTGACAAAGCCTCTCTCGGTCATCCTGTTTTTACCCCAGTGCCTGTGGCTGTCTTCCTGCTGTCCCGGTAACCACTGTCATCTGACCTAAAACCACGGACTGAGGTGAGCCAGTTCTAGTCATTCCCCTAAGTTTCCTCCGTCTCCCGTGTTCCTCAGGTCAAATATGCACTGAAAGGGTCTCAGAAAGGCCATATTATGCTGGAGGACAGAAATCATTTTATATGACTTAGTCATGTTTTTGAGTCACCAAAGGAAGGGCCGGGGACCCTCAGACCTTCTAAAAGAAGGGGTCTCAAGTGGATATTCTCTCTCTCAGGTCTCTCTCTTTCTCTCTCCAGCTTCCATCACTCCCCATTTCTCTCAGTTTTGGAGCTCTTTCTTTTAAATCCTACTCAGGTCTACATACTCTGCCCCAGAAAATTCCACTTGTCATCGCAAGAGCCACCCCGCTCTTTCTTCCCTCTTGTCTTATACACTAGAATGTTTCAGGCCATGGCCAGTTGCTAATGAACTTCCTAGTTTGCATAGTTGTTGCTGACTCGGGCCATGGAGGATGTCCTGTGAGTGCAGACCCGTGTGGCTACTCAAGTTCCAGGTTAGTCTTCCCACTAGCCACAGTGGCTGATTTTCTCATTGTTAAGAAACAAGTATATGTTACCAACACAAGCTTTTAAACAGCCCAGAGAACATGCAGTCTAGTTCATACAAGGAGGGATCTTCCTCCCATCAGCATAGCTTTAATCTTGCCACTGGCAAAAAAGAAACTCTCCACAGTAATTGAAAAAAAACCTTTTTTTTTTTTTTTTTTGCCAGCCAAGAAAGGTGGGTGCCAATGTCTATTAGATTTCATAAAAAATTATTTCAGTGCTTTCTGCCTCTGTCATCTATGGCACAACCCCAAAAGGAGATTTTTGTTCACCTGGTGGAAAGGGCTTTGCCTTCTTATTAGGGTTGTTGAAAATATTCTTCTTTTTCTACATTTCTCCTTCTGCTGTAATGTAGGAATTCCTCCCATCAAAGAGTAGGCCCTTCATGTGCATTCTGGATTCCAACCCTCATTTTCAGGTCCTTGCTTCATAATTTACCACCTATCTTTCTCTCCTGTGTTTATGACTTCTCTTTCTCTACTGGACCATTCTTTCCAATACTCAAATATTATCTAGTACTGCCATGTTAAAAACAGGCTTCCTTGACCCCACTTCTCTCTATATCTGCTGGTCTACCTTTCTTCTCCCCTTTCTTGAAAAAATTGTCCCCACTATCATGCTACTTTGGGTCCCTATCTATTTTCTTTATAGCACTTATCATCATCTGTAATTACATATTTATTTGTTTATTGTATTTCTCTATTAGACTACAAGCCGCATGCAAGCAATGATTATTTGTATTTATTTAGACACCTAGCAAAGGTACACAATACCTTTTTGATAAATATTTGTTATGTGAATAGAACATTCTAAATCTAGTGTTCTTCCCACTGAAGAGTGATAGGGATGGAGGAATTGTGATGCATACGATTTGTTGACTTATGGTCATCATCTGTTTCATTGGTTTTATTTTTAAAAACTTTATATTTTAGAGAAGTTTTAAGTTAAAAATAAATTAAGCAGAAAATACAGAGTTCCCACGTAACCCCTCCCACATACATACAGCCTCCCCATCATCAACATCTCTCAGCAGCGCACCAGAGTGGTATTTGTTAGAATCGATGAACCAACACTGACACATCACTATCTACCCAAATTCATATTTTACATTAGGGTTCACTCTGTGTTGCATATTCTGTAGGTTTTAACAGATGTATAATAACATGTAGCCACCATTATGGTATTATACAGAATAGTTTCACTGCCTTAAATAGCCCCTTTGCTCTATCTATTTATCCCTCCCTCCCCCAAACCCTTGTCAACCACTGATCTTTCTTCTGTTTCCACGCTTTTGCCTTTTCCAGAATGTCACATCATTGGAATCATACAGGGTTTAGCCTTTTCAGACTGGCCCCTTTCACTTAGCAATATGCATTTAAAGTTCTTCCATTTTTTGAGTGTGGCTTGATAGCTCCTTTATTTTCAGTGCTGAATAATATTCCATTGTCTGAATGTACTGCAGTTTATTTACCCATTCACCTTCTGAAGGCCATCTTAGTTGCTTCCAAGCTTTGGCAGTTATGAATAAAACTGCTATAAACATTTGTGCGTAGGTTTTCATGTGGACATAAGTTTTCAACTAATGTGGGTAAATACCAAGGAGTGTGATTGCTGGATCATATGGTAGGAGTATGTTTAGTTTTGTAAGAATCTGCCAAACTCTCTTCCAAAGTGGCTGTACCATTTTGCATTCCCACCAGCAATGAATAAGAGCTCCTTTTGCTCCTGTTTCCAGCATTTAGTGTTGTCAGTGTTTTGGATTTTAGCCATCCTAATAGACATGTAATAGTATCTCATTTTAATTTGCAATTCCCTAATGTCATATCATATTGGGAATCTTTCTCTATGATTACTTGACATTTGTATATTTTGTTTGGTGAGGTGTCTATATATTTGCCCATATTTAAATCAGGTTGTTTGTTTTCTTCTTCTTAAGTTTTAAGAGTTCTATATATATTTTGAATAACAGTCCTTTATCAGGTATGTCTTTTGCAAATATGTCCTCCCAGTCTGTGTCTTGTTTTCTCATTCTCTTGATCCTTTCACATTTTACCCTGTCTCTGAAACTTTTTGGCACCCACTCTTCTTCTGTTATTTCTCTTATTATAGAAGAAAATTGTCTGAGAAATTCACACTAAGATATAAGTGCCTCATTTTATTTATTTCTCAAAAGAGGACTGAAGGGAAATGACAGGGCTTAACATTAGGAACTAAACTTCTGATGATAGAATTTAAGTTCTCATGATATTGAAGTGAGGTATTTTTTGGAAGATTTTTTTTTTGTAATTATTCTCCCCAAATATTGGTGACTATAATGTATAGATTGAGGGTGTTCAGTCACAGAATTTCAGTTTCCTACCACTGTTTGCTTGACACTTGAGATACTTTAAAGAAAAATAAAAAGGAAATATGACTTTATCAGCTGGTAGTTATCTTAAAGAACTCATCTCAAAATCCCAAGTTCCTAAATATAAATGTATTCAAGAGGGAATCAAGTAACTCCATGGTTGAGTGAATTATATTTGTCAGACTGTTTGCTTGCAATGGAAATGCAAATCAAATTACATTAGGCAAAAAAGGAAGTATGTTGGCTATGTATCTGTGAATGACAAGCAAGGAACTTTTTCTGAATGATGCTATTCAATTACTCAGCCCTGTTTGACTTTATTCACAAACAGGATTTCCCCAAATGGTGGGAAATACAGCTCCTTGTAGCCGCAAACTTGTGTACTTATAGATTACAATCCAAAAAAGAAACCCCCAAATTCTTTACTGTTTATATAGTAAATTTCACTGAAAATTATGATTGTCTGTCTTGGATAATGTGCCCAAGGAGATGAAGAACTTTATTCATTTAGGGGTCTTGTGCCTATCTCTATGGTCTGAGATGCAAGAAGTTCAATTTCACTTGTACTACAAGAATTTAATTAACCCAGGTAAGAGGAAGTTTGTTAAGAAAAGGGTGTGAGAAGCTTAAGACAGCAAAACCAATAGATGTTGGATTTATACATTCCTTATCTGGAATTCATATTATTCATTCCCTATTTTCAGAGGGCTCATCAAAAACAGGTTCTTGCTTTGAACAACAGAACACTTTGAGTGACTCACTGGTCAGATGCTGTAAGGTATTTTTTTATTTTTATTTTTGCTAAAGCTAAAAATACATTAATCAGTTATGTCTGTAGATGTTTTGAAGACCTAATAAAGAATGAAGAAAATATTCATTTGTATATTAAGCAGTTATTATTAGGCCTATATTTCTTTTTTTAGAGACAGGGTCTCACTCTGTCACCCAGGCTGGAATGCAGTGGCATGATTCTACCTCACTGCAATCGAGAACTCCTGGGTTCAAATGATCCTCCTGCCTCAGCCTTCCAAGTAGCTAGTACTACCAGCCACACCACCATACCTGGCTAATTTTTTTTATTTTAATTTTTTTGTAGAGACAGGTCTTGCTATATTGTCCAGGCTGGTTTTGAACTCTTGGCCTCAAGCCATCTTTCTGCCTTGGCCTCCCAAAATGTTGGGATTACAGGCATGAGCCACCCTAACCACCTAGGCTTATATATTTTTTTGCTCTATTTTATAAATAATTATTTTAGAGTAGAACAGGGAAATAAGAAGTGTTCGTTATTTTTGGCATAGTTGTGATGATTCTTGTGCAGTTGGTTTTCTCTGCCTGGCGGTAACCAGGCAACAAGAGTTGTCACAAGAATGAACTGTGAAGACTGAATTTTTAAAAATTAAGTCTTTAAAAAAATCACCTTCCCATAGTTCATATTTTCTATTTCATCCAAATTCTTTTTAATTTAAATCTTAAAATATAGTCAAACCTTCAAGATGGAATGCTATATTTTAATCAGTTTTTATTTAGCTGTTATTTAGACATTTTTAGTCAAACTTTAAACATTTTTAGCTATTCTGTTTTTGCAGTGTTTCTTTGAAAAGCTGGGGAAATAATTTTTGATAATGCTGATGCAGTATAGCACTAAGCCAAAAATTCCGTGTTGGATATTCTTTAGCTAATTGCTAGTTCCGTGACCCTAGGCCAGTTTCAATGTAGAAGTAAAATAATAGAACTAACCTCATAAGACTGTTTGGAGAATTCAGTGAGATTATGCACACAAAACACTTGACATATACCTTGGTACTCAATGAGTGGTTAGTCAATGTTAGTTTATATCAGCTATGTTAATACTTATCTGTTAAGAGATGCAGAAAATTTCTGATTTCAGTAATTATTAGTGTTAACTTCCTGCTTAAGGGGATCACTGCCTGGGGTCGGGAGCTGTCTTTTTAAACATCTGGTTCCAGTGTGAAGGTGAATATTTTACAGTCAACTCTTCCATGAGAACTACAGGTGGGAAATGCAGAAATAATCTTAATTGGATGCTCCAAAAGCCATTAGTGGATATTATTCAGAACCATTCCTTATTTTGAAGTATGATATATATTTAACAGGTAAAAATGTACATTTTAGATTAGAATTATGTAAAACTTTTATGTGTTGTCCAATAATCACTTACAGTTTTATCGTTTTCAATAGTTTTATTCTGTTTTTCTTTGTTTATATGTAGGTTAATTTATATTTTTTACCAGCAATCTTACTTCATTTTCTGCTGCCGAATAACAGGGAACCTCAGGTTGGGTAAAGAAAAATTTAAGTGGCCCATAGTTTTAGTGGCTGGGAAGACCAAGAGCATGGTGCCGGGATCTGGCAAGAGGCTTTGTGTTGCATCCTAACATAGTGGAAGTTCAGGTGAGCACACAAGACAGGGAAAGACAAAATGGGATCCAAAATTATCCTTTCATCAGAGCCCACTACTATGGTAACTAACTCACTCTCAGGATAATGGGATTAATCCACTCATAAGGGCAGATCCCTTATGACCTAAGCACCTCTTAAAGGTTCACCACATAACACTGTTACAATGGCAATTACATTTCAACATGAGTTTTGGAAGGGACATTCAGACAATAGCATCAACTAATCATGAAAATAATTTATCTGTTCCTGTTTTAATTTATAGATTTGATATTTCAAAAAAAGAAACTGCCCATTAATTTCTTGGTGCATGTGCAATACAATGTGAACAAAACATACAAATTTCGGAATTTTAAAAATCTATCTGGAGTTTTCATTTAACTTTGTATTACACTCACCTAAGTAAATTAGAGCCATTAATAATATTTCAACATGTGTACTTATTTTACATCGGAGAATATTTCTTTTCAAATATTTCAGAGCATATATATTTTCTGTAAATGAGCATACAATTAACAAGTATAACTGCATATTGTCTTTATTAACTGCAAGCATTTATTAAGTGTCTTCTGTGTGCAATAAATGGGGCAATACTTTGGAATACTAAGAATGAAAAAACAACAAACAAATGAATGAAAAACTCAGTTGATATTAAGTAATTTAATGGCCAATGCCCTCAGTGATATTTTCACATTGACTTCAAAGTCAGGTTATACATTTGTATATTTTAATAATGCAAAAATTATGTTAAGGGATATTTCAATGATAATGACAACATGATTTAAAAGAATTAAACACTCGCATAGACTTTTCTCCAAAGAAGATATATGAATGGCCAATAAGCCTATTAAAAGATGGCCAGGCATGGTGGCTCATGCCTATAATCCCAGCGCTTTGGGAGGTCAAGGTGGGAGGATTGCTTGGAGACAGGAATTTTAGACCAGCATGGGTAGCATAGTGAGACTTTGTCTCTACCAAAAAAAACCCTAAAAAATTAGCCAGCCAGGCATGATGGTACATGCCTGCTAGTCCTAGCTACTTGGAAAGCTGAGATGGGAGGATCACTTGAGTCCAAGAGTTGGAGATGATAGTGAGCTATGATCACACCACTTTACTCCAGCCTGAGTGACAGAGTAAAACTCTGTCTGAAAAAAAAAAAAAACAAACCTAAAAAACAAGATTTCACCTCACCATCTCACATCAATTAGTAAAACAAACAAACAAAAACCAAGAAAATAATTATTAGTGAGGATATGGAGAATTGGAACCCTTGGTCACTGTTAATTGGCATATAAAATGTTACAATGTTACAGCCACTGTAGAAAATAGTATGTCATTTTTAAATAAAAAAACTAAAAATAGATTTACTATATAATCCAGCAATTCTACTTCTAAGAGTATACCCCAAATTATTGAAATAGGGTCTCAAAGAGATATTTGTACACCCATGTTAATAGCAGCATTATTCATAATAGCTAAATTATGAAAGCAACCCAAAAGTGTTACTTTCATCAAGAAATGAATGGATAAGCAAAATGTATACATATACAATGCAATATTGTTTAAACCTTAAAAAGGAAGGACATTCTGTCATGTGCTATAACATGGATGGACCTTGAGAACATTATGCTAAGTGAAATAAGCCAGTCACAAAAAGACTGGGGTGTAAATCATAGAGTCAGAAATCCTAGAAACAGAAAGGTGAATGGTGGTTGCTGGACAGTGGGGAGAGGGTAAGGTAAAGAGAAGATATTGTTTTATGGCTATATAGTTTCCATTTTGCAAGATGAAGAGTTCTAGAGATAGACCATGGTGATGGTTATACAATAATATAAATGTAATACCACTGCACTTTATACTTAAAATGGATAAGGTAAATTTTATTTACATGTATTTTGCCACAATAAAATAATTGGAAAAAAAGGTGATCATCTAGCAGTCTAAGTTGGTTCTAAACTTCTTTTAAGCACTCTTTCCACCATATCATTTCTTTTGTTGGGGATTTATTTCCCAGTTGAGCTTTGTTGGAAATGAACTTAATTTATAATCTGACAAGTTCAAGAAAATAGCATTTTATGTTTTGAATTTCTTTCAAATTTGAATGCAATGTAAATTTATTCTTCTGATTTTTAGCTGGCTTGCACAATTAGTCTGAATTTGTGAAGTTTTATGATTCAGTTTACATTTTTTTCAGATAGCTTTGTGGAAGGTAATTATCTTCTGTTTGAAAACATGAGCTATGATATCATGATATATGAAATTTGACATTTATTAGTAACAGCTTTTGACATGGTTTTCATCATTGATTTTCTTTCCTCTCTTCCACTTGTTCTAGTTGTACTTTCTTCATTCCAGATGCACAGAAAAGAAATATTTTATTTATCTTTTATGACACATTGTGAACAATGGTGCTGGAAGAATGAACTTAGAATACAGGTGGTCAGGGGGCTGCAAGACGGCTGACTAGAGGCACTTGGCACTGGGCACTCACCTGCTTCACAAACAAGGACCAAAACAGCAAATAGATAACCACATGTTGAACAGAGCTTCTAAGAGAGAACACTAGCATACAGCAAGAAAGTGACAGGGAACCCCTGAGGTACAGAAGGAGAGGAAAGCAAGGCAGCCATACTGGCCAGGATTGACTTGGAGCCAGGAGAAATTCTCCATTATGAGGAAAATGTAAGTGAGAGATTCTCAGTGGTCTACATTCCCATCATGCACTCCTGCAATTCTAGCCACTTGATAAGCCCCTTAGCTCTTTTGGGCCCTGAGTTAGTACAGGGAGCTGCCTGGTGTCCAGATGACAGCACTGATCCAGAGAGGAAGTGTGTACTGGGTCCCATACATCCCCCGAGACTCAAGCAGCTGCAGCACAGTATAATTTTGTACTACTCTGGTGGGACTGGGCTCTCAAAATGATGAGATAGTACCTATACATCCACATTTCTGAAGCCTTGTTGATATCCCTGACATCAACCCAGAAGGCTGCAATATTGTGACACCAGCTGGACCCGGCAGTGGGAAGAGGGCCCCAGCATTCTAGCCCACTCAGTGTTCTACAGTTCAGGGAATAAGCAGTGCAGTGTACCAGGGAGGCTGCATCTGGGACAAAGAGAGGGTGTGCTGCTCGGAGCCAGAGAGCTGCCTGCCTGGAGCCGCTGCCGCTGACAGAAACCCCACCCCATTTGGCAGCAGGACCACTGTGCATCTGCACACACCTTTAAGTGGTCTGGGAACTAGAACAGTCTTGGGGCCTGAGGACAGGCCCATACGGACTGCCACTGCTAGTGCCCAAATATGTTTTTTGGCGGCCTGAAGACAGGCCCACCCAACCTGCCACTGATACCTGCATGCATCTCCAAGGGAACCAGGGACTGGTTTGCCCAGCCTTCCGCTGCTGCCACCACTGATACCCACTTGTGTTCACCAGCTTGACTGGGGACTAGCCTGCCTGGCCAACTGCTGCCTCTGCTGTCAGCCTTAGCATGAGGCTTGGGGCCTGAGGGTTGTCCTGTTGCCACTACTGCCATTGGTGATTCCACACATGCTGAGCAGGGACCCAAGGACCCATTGGCCTGGCCTACCAATGCCATTACTGGCACCCAAATAAGCTGTCTGGAGGCACAAGGACCAGCATGCTCAGATCTACCACTATTGGCATCCCTATTTGGCACCTGGAGGCCCAAAGATCAGCATGCCTGCCATACTGCCAAAAAATTGAAGAGGAGAGAATCTTTCTAAGCATACTAGGAGGCCAGCATTAACACTGGTAGCAAAAGCAGACAATGCTGTACATAAAAATAAAACTATAGGCCAGTATCTCTGATGAACATAGAAGCAAAAATCTCAACAAATGCAAACCAAATGCAACAACACATCAGAAAGATAATACACTGCGATCAAGTGAGATTTATCCCAGGAATGCAAGGATGGTACAACAGATGCAAATTAATACACATGATACATCACATCAACAGAACAAAGGATGAAATACATATGATCGTATCAATAGATACAGAAAAAGGAGTTGACAAAATTTAACATCTCTTCATGATAAAAACTCTCAATAATGTAGGAATTAAAGGAATATACCACAACATAATAAGGTTGATGTAAAACAAATCCACGGCTAACATCATGCTGAATGGAGAAAAGCTAAAAACTTTTCTTTTATGAATTAGGATAAGACAAAGATGCCCACTTTTACCACTCTTATTCAACATACTATTGGAAGTGCTAGTTAGAGCAATCAGGCAAAAGCTAGAAATAAAAGGCATACAAATCAGAAAGAGGAAGTCAAATTGTCTTTGTAGATGATGTGATATTATATTTAGAAAAGCTTAAAGCCTCTACCAAAAAAACTCTTTGAACTGGTAAATTCAGCAAAGTTGTGGGATACAATCAGCAAACAAAAATTAGTAGCATTTAACACACCAATAACAAACTAGCAGAAAAAGAAATCAAGAAAACAACATCTTTTGCAATAGCTACAAAAAATAATAAAAGACCTTGGAATAAATTTAACCAAGGAGGTGAAACACTTCTATAATGTAAACTGCAAAACAATAATGGAAGAAATTAAAGAGGACCCAAACAAATGGAAAGAAATCCCATGCTTATGGATTAGAATAATTAATATTGTTAAAATGACAATACTACCCAGAGCAATCTACAGATTCAATGCAGTACCCATCAAAATACCAATGATATTTTTCACAGAAGTAGAAAGAACAATCTTAAATTTTGTATGGAACCACGAAATACCCAAATAGCCAAACAACCCTGAGCCAAAACAAAATAAAAAACAACAACAACAACAACAAAAAACCCAAAGCTGAAGTTACCACACTACCTGACTTCAAGATATGCTGCAAAGTTATAGTAATCCTAAAGGCATGATATTGGTATGAAAACAGATACATATAGACCAGTAGAACAGGATAGAAAACCCAGAAATAAATTCACATATTTGCCGCCAACCAATTTTTGACAAGGTGCCAAGAATATACATTGGGGAAAAGGCAGTCTTTTCACTAAATGGTGCTAGAGAAACTGGGTATCTATATGCAGAAGAATGAAACTAGACCCCTATGTATTACCATATAAAAATCAAATCAAAGTGGATTAGAAACTTACACACAAGACCCAAAACATAAAATTATAGACAGAAACATTAGAGGAAATGCTCCCAGGTCATCTAGGCAAAGATTTTATGTCTAAGGCTTCACAAATATAGTCAGAAAAGACAAAAATATCCTAATGGGACTATATTAAGCTAAAAAGCTTCTACACAGCAAAGGAAATAAGCAACAGACTGAAGACACAATCTGTAAAATGACAGAAAATATTTACAAATTATCCATCTGACAAGTCACTGACATAAGGAACTCAACTCCACAGCAAAATTCGGCAATGCACATGTACTCCTCAATTTAAAATAAAAGTTACATAAAAAAAAGTCGACAAAGGATATGAATAATTTTCTTTTAAAAGAATACATACAAATGACCAAGAGTTATGTGAAAAAATATGCTCGCTATTACTAATCATCAGTGAAATGCAAATCAAAGCCACAATGAGATATCATCTCACCTCAGTTACAACGAGTATTATCAAAAAACCAAAAAATAACAAATGTTGGCCAGGATACAGAGAAAAGGAACTAAACAGTATGGAGGTTTCTCAAAAAACTAAAAATGGGACTGCCATACAAGCCAGCAACCCTACTCCTGGATATTTATGCAAAGGAAAGGAAAATAAAATTTTATTTTCTCTTTTTCTTCCACATTTTCATTTTCTACCAAATCAAAGAAATTACATTTACCTTGTATGTTCTGTATCTTCCTGCTTTTCTGCCATTCTTCATACTATTCCTTCAACCTGGAGTGCCCTTTCCCTCCTTTCTGTATAAACTCTTATCTTTCCAAATCTGACTCAAAGGGCAACTTCCTTAAAGCATTTTTCCTGATCTACTCCTGCTTTCCCACTTGCCAAAAGGAATTAATTTGTCCTTCCCTTATGCCTCCTCTGCTCTGTGCTATTAGTGCCAAGCAGATTTGCTAATAGCAAAGGTTATTATTAAGTCTACCGCCAGAAAGGCGTATCCATGTACTTATGCCCACTGCATCCTGGGCTACTGTTTAAGTCCACCAGTCACTGATTACCAGTTTGTCTAAGTCCAGTGAGACAGAAGATACTCACACACAGATTATGTAAAGCAAGTTAATTACTTATAGGTCAGCAGCAAGAGACAAAAAAAAAAAAAAACCACCTCAGATCCATTGTGAGCCAGTCTCCCAAGACTCAAGAAAGCTGCCATGGTGGATGGCATCTCGACTGCATATGCTGGACTTTGCACCACAGCTGAGGCATCCTGAAAGCCATCCTGCCTTGGTTATATACCTCAGAGGCCACATGACACAGTGGGCAAAGCTTTGAAGGACATCCTGTTGCAGATGAGAGAGGAGCAAAGTCTGAGCTGTCCCTGGCACTTACTCCCTAACTCAAGATGTTACCTTCTCTGGGAGGGACAGGAACAATGTCCAGGCTGTTTGAGGCAGTTCCTTCCCGATTTCAGGATATAATATTCCCAGCACATTCTATGGTTATTCTTGAGAACTATGAGCAAGAAAGGGGGAGATCTAGGTTGGTACAAGACCACCTGGAGAACTGTCCTGCAGATCTTTCCTCTATTAGGGGTTTTAAATTCATTGAAAGTATGACATTGGCTGATTTTTATTTATGTTCTATTTCTCAATATTCTTGGTATGATGATTTGAACATTAATAGTTTTTTCAAAATTACTTCAAAGAGGATGGATATGAAATCACCATTATAACCTACTAATTACATAGTTACCTTGAATACCTGAAAACCATAAGAGGATACTTGGGAATATTTTTTTTTATTGTGGTAAACAAACATGTAAAATAAAATTTACCCTGTTAACCATTTTTAAGTGTACAAGTGAGAACTCCTTTTTTTTCTTTTTGAGACAGAGTTTCGCTCTTGTTGCCCAGACTGGAGTGCAATGGCATGATCTCATCTAACCGCAACCTCTGCCTCCTGGGTTCAAGTGATTCTCCTGCCTCAGCCTCCTGAGAAGGTGGGATTACAGGTGCCCACCACCATGCTCAGCTAATTTTGTCTTTTTAGTAGAGATGGGGTTTCTCCATGTTGGTCAGCCTGGTCTCGAACTCCCAACTCAGGTGGTCCACCCACCTCAGCCTCCCAAAGTGCTGGGATTACAGGTGTGAGCCACCACACCCAGCCAAGTGTACAAGTCAGAACTCTTAAGTATATTCACAGTGTTGTGCAATTGAGCTCTATAACCTTTTCATCCTGTAACACTGAAACTCTTTATCCACTAAACTGCAGGTCCCCTCCTACCTCCCCCAGTCCTTAGCAACCAACTTTCTATTTTCTGTTTCTATGATTTTGACTAATTAAGGTATTTCATATGTGTGGAATTATACAGAATTTGTCATTTTGTGACTGGCTTATTTTGCTTAGTGTAATGACCTCGAGGTTCTTCCATGTTGTAGTATGTAACAGAATTTCCTTTTTTAAGGCTGCATATTTCATTGTGTATATATACCACTTTTTCTATATTCGTTCATCTGTCCGTGGACATTTCAGTTGTTTCCACCTTGTGTTTATTATGAATAATTCTGTGATGAACATGGATGTGCAAATATCTCTTCCAGGTCCTTCTCTGAATACTTTTAAATGTACGTACAGAAGTGAGATTGCTGGATTACATGGTAATTCTATTTTTAATTCTTTCGAGGAACCCTCACACTGTTTTCCACAATGGCTATATCATTTTACAATCTCAGCAACAGAGCATAAGGCTCCCAATATCTCCACTTTCTTGCCAACACTTGTTATTTTGTGTTCAACAGTGTCCAGCCTAATGACTGTGAGGCTATATCTCATTGCGGTTTTGATTTGTATTTCTTCTATTAGTAGTGATGTCAAACGCATTTTCATATGTTTCTTGGCCATTTGTATATCTCGTTTGAAGAATTGTCTATTCAAGTCCTTTGTACATTTAAAAATTGTTTGTTTTTCTTCTTGTTGCTTTGAAAAAGTTCACTATATATTCTATAAATGTTGACTTGTAACAATTTTTATATGTATATTAACCGCTTATTAGATAAACAATTTGCAAGTATTTTCTCCCCTTCTGTAGGTTGCCTTTTCACTCTGTTGACTGTTTTTTTTTGATGCATGGAAGTTTTTCTGTTTGATGTAGTCCTGTTTTTCTGTTTTTTCTTTTGTTGCATGTACTTTGGGTGTCATATTCAAGAAATTATTGCCAAATTCAAATGTCCTGATTCTTTCCCCCTAGGTTTTCTTCTAGGAGTTTTATAGTTTTTGGTCTTACCTTCAGGTCTTTAATCCATTTTGAGTTAATTTTTGTATATGGTATAAGGTAGAGGTCCAGCTTTATTCTTTTGCTTGTGGATATCTGGTTTTCCCAACACCTCTCACAACATTTTGAAGAGAGTGGTGTTTCCCCTTTGTGCAGCTTTGGCGTCCTTGTTGAAAATCATTTGGCCGTCTACGCAAGAGTTTATTTCTGGGCTCCCTATTCTGTTCCATTATTATATATATCTATGTCAGTACCTACTGTTTTGATTGCTGTTGCTTGCAGTGTGTTTTGAAATAAAAAAGTGTGAAGCTTCCAACTTCATTCTTCTTTCTTAGTTGTTTTGGCTATTTGAGATCCTATCAAAATTTGTATGAATTTTAGATTTTTTTTCTATTTTTGCAAAAATGCCATTGGGTTTGATGAGGATATATTGAATCTATAGATCATTTTAGGTAGTATGGACATTTAAAAAGTACTGTCTTCCAATTGGAGAGCATGGGATATCTTTCCATTTACTTCTGTCTTCTTTGATTTCTTTTAGCAATGTTTTGTGATGTTCAGTGTACAAGTTTTTCACTTCTCAGGTCAAATTTATTCCTAAGATTTGTATTCTTGATGCTATAATAAATAAAATTGTTTTCCTAATTTCCTTTTTCAATTGATTACTGTTTGTGTATGGAAATGCAACTGATTTTTATGGATTTATTTTCTATCCTGAGATTTTGATGAAATTATTTATTAGTTGTGACAGTTTGTGTATGTGTGTATATGTGTAATCTTTGGGGGTTTCTAAATGCAGTTAGCCCTCTGTATTGTGGGTTTTGCATACATGAATTCAACCAAACACAGATTGAACCCTGTGGATACGAAGGGCCAACTGTACGATGCTATTTTACATAAGCTGCTTACATAAGCACCTATGGATTTTGGTATCCATGGGGGATCCTAAAACCAATTCCTCATGGATACAGAGAGTCAACTGTATAAGATCATGTTATCTGAAAACAGGGATAATTTTACTTCTTTCCTAATTTGAATTCCTTTTATTTATTTTTCTTGCCTAATTGCTCTAGCTAAAACTTCTAGTACTATGTTGAATAGAAGTGATGAGAAATGGGCATCCTTTTCTTGTTCCTGATGTCAGACGAAAAGTTTTCAGTTTTTCACCATTGAGTATGATTTTAGCTGTGGGCTTTCCATACACATCTTTTATTGTGTTGAGGTAGTTTCCTTTTATTCCTAGTTTGGTGAGTGTTTTTATCGGGAAAGCTTGTTGAATTTTGCCAAATGCTTTTTCTGCATCAGTCGAGATGATTATCTATTTTTTGTCCTTCATTTTGTTAATGTGATGTGTTAATTCATTTTACTGTGTTGAACCATCTTTGTATTTTAGGTGTAAATTTCACTTGATTTTGGTGTATCATCCTTTTAATATGCTGTTTATGCAGCATATTAAAAGTATTTTGTTGAGAATTTTTATATCAGTATTTTAATAGTTCGTTGAGAATTTTTGTATCAATATACATCAGGGATATTGGTCTGTAATTTTCTTTTCATATACTGTCTTTGTCTGGTCTTGGTATCAGAGTAATAATGCTGGCTTCCTAGAATAAGTTTGGAAGTGTTTCCTCCTCTTCAATTCTTTGGAAGAGTTTGATGAGGATTGATGTTAATTCTTCTTTAAATGTGTGGTGGAATTTTTTAGTAAAGCCATCTTGGCCTTTTTATTATTATTATTATTATTATTATTTTGGTTAGGAGGCTTTTAATTACATTTTCCATCTCCATAGTTGTTATAAATCTGTTCAGTTTTTTTATATTTCTTCATGACTCAGTTTTGGTAGGTTATAAGTTTATAGTACTCTCTTATAATCTTGTTTATTTCTGGGACATCAGTTGTAATGTTCCTTCTTTCATTTCTAATTTTAGTTATTTGATTATTCTCTCTTTTTTTCTTAGTCTAGCTAAGGGTTTGTCAATTTTTTTTTATCTGAGAATATTTTTGACTGTCTATTCCACATGGCAAAGGAGAACATTCTACAGGAGTGGGAATAGTTGAAACTATATATAGATTTGACACCCATATATGTAAGTACTAAATGATTGCTACTGCATGAATTTCTAAGATAGTCTTAAGACTATGGTAGCATAGAATTTCTGAAAAATTTTTGAGAGAGAATACAATTGTTTAAAGCAATTGCCAATGTTTTTAATGGAGAAGAATATATGTACATATAGTTTATAAAAGACCAGTTAAATTCTGTGTTCCTATTGGGATATATTTTATAGATTAATGACATACTGGTAGTATATTCCTCTGATAGGAATTTTCAGTGAGAGGCATTCACATCTTTGCATTTTGAAGTTTATATAAGAATTCATTTTCATCATTCTTTCTCTCTCAGTGAAACTCTATTAGAAAATCATTATTTTTCTATGCAATGTCTCTCTTGGTTATATTTGCATTAGGCAATTACCTGTTTGAATTTCGTTATTCTTACTGTTTAGAATTTTCATTAAAATTAGAAATATTTCTGCTTAAAGAACAGTAGTTATTTTCTGAGGATAGAGGCTTAAATTTTTTATACAAATTCTCAAATGCCTGTAGAACAAATAGTGACCTAGGCAATTGGGATGTTTTTGTGTGAGTAAGAATATCTGCTGCATTTCTGGATGGATTGCCTTGTAGGGATCATGGTGGCCATAGCTTGTCTTGTGAATAAAGATTTTTCTAGAATATATTAAACACTTTGTCTCATAGTGGAAAAGGAAAAATCCTGGACTTGGAAAAAGAAGGCCCTTCCAACTATGGACTGTCCAGGTAAAATCCTTTATAATTCTATCTAGTTTTTCACTAAATCATTATACTTGTAATATTATGGTATTATCAACATTTTAAATATAATGGTTAAGGTTAATATTGAAATACAAACTTATTGCACAAATTTTTTTCTCATGATCCTTTCTTTAAAAATATAACCTCAATCTATCAACATTATAGTAACCTATTATAACTATCACAGTTAAAAAGAGAGATTTTTAATTACTCATCCAGAGTACAGCCCCTTGGGTTACCCACTTTCTCTCCCTTCTTTAAGAAAATGTTATCTTTTTAATCTCAATCTATCAACATTCTACTAACCTACTATAACTATCAAAGTTAAGAGAGATTTTTAATTACTCATCAAGAGTACAGCCTTTCGGGTTACCCACTTCCTCTCCTTTCTTTAAGAAAATGTTATCTTTTGCTTAAAACTTTAAAAGTTAAGAATGTAGTTTCTACCACTAACCCAGAAGTTTTTAAATTAGTTTTTCTACAATGGACTGAAGATACCCTAGGGAAGCTAAACATTCCCATTATTCAGTCAATATGGTAGAATGTGCCAGGGAAGCAGGTGCCTCAGTCATTTTATCTCTCCTAGAGTCTGGGAAACTCACTCAACTGTGTAGCCAAACTGGAATGAAGGCATGCTGTACTGATCTCTGAAAACTGGAGAAAACCAGTTAAGAAAGATCACCCTCCAGGTTCTCCCCACTGTCACTCCATTCTGTTTGATTTCTTGGGCTATGATTAAGACAGAGTTAGGAACTACCCACTATGAAGAGAAGCCATCCTTGGAACAATTTTCTGTGAGTATATGTTATGGTTTGAATGTGTCCCCGAAATTTCATGTTCTGGAAACTTGATCTCCAAATTCATATTTTGATGGTATTTGGAGGTGGAGCTTTAGAAGTTAATTAGGATTAAATAAAGCCATAAGATTGGGGTCCCTATGATGGAAATGGTAGTTTTATAAGAAGAGGAAGAGGCTGGGTGCAGTGGGTCATGCCTGTAATCCCAGCACTTTGGGAGGCTGAGGCAGGCAGATCACCAGAGGTCAGGAGTTCAAGACCAGCCTGGCCAATGTGGTGAAACCCCATCTCTACTAAAAATACAAAATTAGCTGGAAATGGTGGCATGCACCTGTGATCGCAGCTACTTGGGAGGCTGAGGCAGGAGAATCACTTGAACCTGGGAGGTAGAGGTTGCAGTGAGCCGAGATCATGCCATTGCACTCCAGCCTAGGCGAAAAGAGCAAAACTTTGTCTCAAAATGAAGAAACAAACAAACGAAAAACAAAAAAAAAAGAAGAGGAAGAAAGACCTGAGCATATACACTGTTGCTCTGTCATCATGTGATGCCCTCTATCATTTTATAACATAGCAAGAAAAACCCCACCAGATGCCAATGCCATGCTCTTGGACTTATCAGCCTCCAAAAACATGAGCTAAATAAACTTATTTTCTTCACAAATTACCCAGTCTGTGGTATTCTGTTATAGCAACAGAAAATGGAGTAAGATAGTATGTGTCCATACATGTACTTTTGTACGTAGACGAATGCCTTGGGAGGGTGAATCTTAAATTGTGGATGCTGGAAAGTGCCATTTTGGAGAGTTGTAAGCAACTTCTCCCAACTATAATAGAAACTTTGTGTTTATGGAAAACTTCTTTTCTATGAGTTGGGCCAATTTCCTACATCTAAATACTAGATATATTCTCAGGTAAGCCTAGAGAGCTGGTCCAAACACTGATGCTTGAATTTGAAATGTTAAATCCTCTTTTTAGTAATATCAATTCAGATTATTTTTAGCAGAACTGGAGTGCAGGCTACACGTTGTGGATAGGGTGAGGATTTTCTCCAAATAATTGGACATCGTCACCAAACAGGCCTCGATCTAGGTGAAAGAAAGAGCTTATTTTTTTTTTATTATTATTTTTTCCTCAGGATTAAAGGGGAAGAATTTGGGCTCAAGGTAGGGGTACACTTGGAGATTCTCATTTGTGGAAGCCATTCTGACCCCACATCTCCACCAGGATGAAATCTGAAATAGCTTTTTTAGTCATTCCAAGAATATGTGCCAGACAATGTGCTAGGTATAGGTGAAATGTTGAAGAATAAGAAGGAGAAGGAAGAGGAGGAAGAAGAGAAAGAGGTGGACACAGCTCCTCTTTATTAATCAAGTCACATAATTAAAATGTAAATTTCCAACTGTAATCAAGTGTTACCACATGACACCATGTGAATTTGGATAATTCGCCAAGTTAGGTAGCCTGAAGAATCCTTTTCTGAAAAAATGACAATTAAGCTGAGAACTAACACAGGAGAAAGAATTAGCTAGATGAAGCAGTGGGACAAGAACACTGTTGGAAGAGAGAATTAGACAGTAAGTACAAAAGCCCTGTGGTAGGAGGGAGCATAAAGAATATAAAAGATTGAGAGATGACTCATGTGGTTGGCATGGAGAGAGAGGATGGTATGTGTTCAGGCTTGTGAGGCATATGGGAGCCATACCTGGCAAGTCTTTATAAGTTTATAGGCTTCTTAAGGAATTTTATCTTTACCATTAGAGTAATTACAAGCTATAGCTTCTTTCTGTTTGATTGTTTTTTAACTTTAAGTTCTGGGATACATGTGCAGAACGTACAGGTTTGTTACATAGGTATATGTGTGCCATGGTGGTTTGCTGCACCTATTGACCCATCATTTAGATTATCTCCCCGTGCCCCCCACCTCCCAACAGGCCCTGGTGTGGATTGTTCCCCTCCCTGTATCCGTGTGTTCTAATTGTTCAACTCCCACTTATGAGTGAGAACATGTGGTGTTTGGTTTTCTGTTTCTGTGTTAGTTTGCTAAGTATGATGGCTTCCAGCTTCATCCATGTTCCTGCAAAGGACATGAACTCGTTCCTTTTTATGGAAGCATAGTATTACATGGTGTATATGTATCACATTTTCTTTATCCAGTCTATCATTGATGGGCATTTGGGTTGGTTCCATGTCTTTGCTATTGTAAATAGGCTGCAATAAACATACGTGTGCATGTGTCTTTATATTAGAATGATTTATATTCCTTTGGGTATATACCCCATAATGGGATTGCTGGGTCAAATGGTATTTCTGGTTCTAGATCCTTGAGGAATTTCCACACTGTCTTCCACAGTGGTTGAACTAATTTACATTCCCACCAACAGTGTAAAAGCATTCCTATTTCTCCACAGCCTTGCCAGCATCTATTGTTTCTTGACTTTTTGATAATCGTCATTCTGACTGGTGTGAAAAAGTATCTCATTGTGGTTTTGATTTGCATTTCTCTAATGATTAGTGATGTTGAGTTTTTTTTTCATATGTTTGTTGGCTGCATATATGTCTTCTTTTGAGAAGTATCTATTCCTATCCTTTGCCCACTTTTTGATAGGGTTGTTTGTTTTTTCCTTGTAAATTTGTATAAGTTCCTTATAGATTCTGGATGTTAGACCTTTGTCAGATGGGTAGATTTCAAAAATTTTCCTCCCATTTTGTAAGTTGCCTGTTCACTCTGATGATAGTTTCTTTCGCTGTGCAGAAGCTCTGTAGTTTAATAAGATCCCATTTGTCAATTTTGGCTTTTGTTGCAATTGCTTTTGGCATTTTCACTATGAGATCTTTGCCCATGCCTATGTTCTGAATGGTATTGCCTAGGTTTTCTTCTAGGGTTTTTATGGTTTTGGGTTTTACATTTAAGTCTTTAATCCATCTTGAGTCAATTTTTGTATAAGGTGTAAGGAAGGAATCCAGTTTCAGTTTTCTGCATATAGCTAGCCAGTTTTCCTAGCACCATTTATTGAATAGGAAATCTTTTCCCCATTGCTTGTTTTTGTCAGGTTTGTTGAAGATCAGATGGTGTAGATTTGCCATAGTTTTAAGAAGGGGTAGAGGGATGGGATTATCAGGTTTGAGTTTCAAAAGATTATTCTTTTCAGATTTTTATAGAATTTTGCATTTGGATTTAATTGCATTGGGAGAGTGGAGGAGCCTGTAATTCAGTCATACTGAGGCACAGATCCACCTTTAACACTCCATACCAGTAGTGGATTTGAGGAGGAAGTAAAAGTTCCTTGGAGAGTCCTAGATTTTCCTGAATGGAGAACCTGATGGAAGCATGGACTTCTGCAGAATGGGGGATCACATATGTTATCAACTGGCTGTTTAAAACAATGTAGCTTTATTTAGCACTCACAGGCCAGTCAGATCTGGAAAAATATGTTTACTATATATAACCAAATTGATATTATACTGGATGGTTGTTAATAAAACAATAAGAAAATTATTTCCTTTTACATATTAATATAGAGAACATTTCATTTTTATTACATATTTTTCTATAGCAGTTGCTTTGTGCAATAGCATTGCATGGATTTACTGTAATTTAATCAGTTGCTTGTTTGTGGATATTTGTATTATTTCTAAATTTTTAATCATTGTAAACAATGTTGTGAGATACAGTTATATCTATACACACATGCTGGATAGGTCCTTGAAACTGATAATTCTGGTTGTGAAGGACAGGAATGCCTGGGAGCATGTATATTTAAAAAGCTATTCTGTATAATGGCAAATGCTAACCATGTTTTTCTTACTAAAATGATCTCTCACCTCCAGGGTAACAGGGTTTGCCAACAGCAAACAGCAGTATTATATTCATTTCTGCCAATAATTTGATAAGTAAAATTTTGGATCTCATTTTAATGAGCATATCTTGAAATTTGAAAAAAAATTAAATCTGGAAGAAATCCTGGAGATACCTAATTTAACCAATTCATTTTACAAAGCCCATGGCACAGTTAGTGAGCTGCAGAACAGGGATCATGATCCAGTTCTCCTGGATATTATCCCACGACTCTTTCCATGGAAACAAACTTAGTAGGGGGTCCCTGCTGCAGTTCTCCAGCTGGAAGCATCAGAGCACAAGACTGTGGGAAGAGAGTACAGTTTTGTCCATTGAAAAACAATTAAGTTATTGATTGTAGCCTACAGAAGCAGTTAGTGAACCCAGCTTCCTGGAGATGCTTCTGCCCAGGAAGAAGGTCATGAAGAAGATATTACCCACAGAAGGACCTGGTTATCCTAGTACCAGAAGCTTCTCAGGAGAGGAGCTAAGAAACACTTACTTGGAGACCATCAAGCTTCCTGCTGTCCCAGCTTGAATCTTACTGGGGTCATCCCTTCTAGTTGGTAGACCTGAAGATGGGGATAGAAGGTATTTAACTGTCTGCTGGGTAGAGAGAATAACAATGGCGTATCAGTTTATTGGGCAGGCTGGAGTCCTATAAAATGTGGGAAGAAGCTTGAGGTGTATATAGCCAAAGATTCCAAATTATAATCTGACCCGAATTTTATTTTGTGAGGAATGCTGTGGGGGAAAAAGGCTATGTCTTCAGTTTCCTCTTGCCTGACTGTTTTGCGCATTGTTATATTTTGCAGGTTCAGTATCTTAAAGACTTTTTTTACATACCATGCCCCATTTGCCTTACATTATATATAATATTACATTATATTTAAATTAATGTATTACTGTAATATATTAATGTGTATATATGCACACACACGTATATGTATGTATGTATGTATATATCGCCCCCTTGGCCTTGACTTTCTCAGTGTATTCCGTCGGGACTTAAAACTACACACTTTTATCTCTTTTTTCTTGAGGGCTTTCTAAGTCCGAAACCAACTTTCTTTTCTATATAACATTTCAGCACAATTAACAGATGATGTTAATCTAAAACCAGGTGAGAAGAATCAAAACCAATAGGAGTGAGTCAGAGAAATCATGAGGACATTTTTTCTGCCTGCAGAATAAAGCCGGGTGCTGGGGCTTGGCATCAGAGACTGTTGTCTGTCCCCAGCCTTTGTTTCCAGGCTCATTTACCCACTCCTCACTTCACAGAACCTTTGGTCTGGTTAGATCGATCTGCCATTGTCTTAGAATGCCTGGTTGTTCCTGCCTCTGGGACTTTGCCATTTTCCTTCAATGGAGTGCTGCTTTCCCACACTTATTAACCTACTTGAAATCTTTCCATTATATCAACTTTATTAACCACTGCCTGCACTTCTCTCTACTTCTTTTGAAACCACTCATTTACTATTCATACTATACTGAACTTCTGATACTTGTCTTTCAATGAACACATATTTTGCCTATAACTATAATTGTAAGCTACTTTGGTAAAGGATCGAGGTGCTGTGCTTCTGGAGGCTTTGTAAAGTGTCCACTTGACTCAGCCAAACTACATTTCCCATAATTCCCTCTCCTGCATGTTTCCAGTTAGTGGGCCACAGGAGAGAGACTTGTGTGAGATTTGGAGGGAGGAAGGAAGGCAGCAGCTGTTTTGTAGCTCATGTATTCTGTGGCTGAATTATTGGTGGACTCATCTTGTTGCTGTGAGGCACTGACTGGGCTGGAACTGTTCTAGCATGTCCTGCATCCTCCTTCAGGGGTGTGTGTGTGTGTTTAGCTGTGTAATGAAGGGACCTAACTTTTGAAGGACATCCGTATCACTAATGCCAGGGGCAAGAGGATTGACACAGGTTTCAGTATGCTTTGTACTTGGGAGTTCCAGCTTTATCTTGCTCTTTCCCACCATACACCCACCTTTAAGCTCTAGCATCAGATGTGAAGAAAACAGCCTTACAGGGACTGCTCAACTGGCCCCCACAATTGTGTAAGGTCAAGTCACTGTAACATTTCCCATTTAGAGGGAAGATGAGGTACATAATTAGCTTTACACACACACACACACACACACACACACACACATCCACCCACCCAAACATGTAAAATGGGTATTTATGTGTTTGTACACAGACCTTCATGAAGCCAATCTTCTTTTCTTTACAATATAGCATTTCATTACAATAAGTAATTAATAATGGGAGATTTAGAAATCATTACAGAAGAGGAGGTAAATTATGATAGAAATCAAGCAAAAAGAATCAGAACCAATGGAAGTAAAGAGATATATCATGATTTACCCAAACAAACTGAAAGAAACCCTAATAAGCAACAACAGCGTGGGAATATAAACAAAAATAAAACAAGATGGGGATACATTAAAAGAAAAACTAATGCTACAGTAACCAAAACGGCATGGTACTGGTACAAAAACAGACACATAGACAGATGGAACATGTTACAGAACCCAGAAATAAAGCCTCACACCTACAGCCATCTGAGCTTCAGCAAATTTGACAAAAACAAGCAATGGGAAAAGGGATCCCCATTCAATAAATAGTGCTGAGATAGCTGGCTAGCCATATGCAGAAGAATGAAACTGGACCCCTACCTTTCATCATATATATAAATTAACTCAAGATGAACTAAAGTTTTAAATGTAAGACCTCAAACTATAAGAATCCTACAAGGGAAAGCTAGGAAATATCATTCTCGACATTGGCCTTGGGAAAGAATTTATGGCTAAGTCTTCAAAAGCAATTGCAACAAAAAAGAAATGGACAAATTGGACCTAATTAGACAAAAGAGCTTCTGCACAGCAAAAGAAATTAGCAGAGTAAACAGACAACCTACAGAATGGGAAAAAATATTCACAAACCATGCATCTGACAAAGGTCTAATATTATAATCTATAAGGAACTTAAGCAAAAAGTAAATAACCCCATTAAAAAGCAGGCAAAAGACATAATAGATGCTTCCAAAAAATCAACCTAGGTTCCCTTTATTCAATCAGTGGTGGATTGAATAAAGAAAATGTAGTACATATACACCATGGAGTACTATTCAGCTATAAAAAAGAATGAAATTATGTCCTTTTTGGCAACATGGATGCAGCTGGAGG
Source organism: Homo sapiens (assembly GCF_000001405.40). Classification (NCBI taxonomy): domain Eukaryota; kingdom Metazoa; phylum Chordata; class Mammalia; order Primates; family Hominidae; genus Homo; species Homo sapiens. Next base: position 153,048,952 of record NC_000002.12, read on the forward strand.
CCATTATCCTCGGGAAACTTCCAAGTGATTTCACACAGGAACAGAAAGCCAAATACCACATGCTCTCACATAAGTAGAAACTAAACATGGGGTACATATGGACATAAAGATGGGAACAATAGACACTGAGGACTACTAGAGAGGGGAGAAAAAGAGGGTGGAAAAGACTGAGGAACTACCTATTAGGTACTATGCTCAGTACCTTGGTAATGGGATCATTCATACATCAAACATCAGCATCATGCAATACACTCATGTAACAAACCTCTACATGTACCCCCGAATCTAAAATAAAAGTTGAAATTATTTAAAAAACTTAATAATATAAAGGAGATAAAAATAAATAGATAAATTAATTTTGTCGTGGGTTCAAACCCTATATGGGCTATCAAATAAATCTAAGGAAAATAAAAAAGAAAAGAAAAATTAACATTTGGCAAGGACAGAGTTTCCCAGACTTTCCCAGTTCCTTTAGTGTCTCAGTAATTTTTTCCTGCTTCTAGGCCCAAAGAAAAAATTAACAGTCTTGCTTCTTAAGTAATTAGGTCCAAATAACATAAGAATTTGTTATTTAACATAACTTAGTGCTTATTGGGCACTGCACATCTTTTCAAATTTTAAATCAAATTGGACACCTCTGCCCTACCTCTACAGCTTTCTGTACCATATTGATTTCCACGTGATACTTCCTTTTTATCATAGCCACTGCGGAAAACCCAGCTTGAGAAAGATATGACATTTTAAAAAAGAATGTAGTTATCTAATGTTGAAACTCTGAACTTCCTCCAGCTAGTAGTTTGCATGATATCTGACAGATGTTGCTATGCTTCTCTTGAAAATTGAAAATATCTCATGCTGTCCCTGTGAATCTGCTAAGGTACCCTGGGGCCCCTCGGCACATGGACTGGGAACCACAGATTTAGGTATTTTTATAATAAAAGAATAATGGAAGGAGTTGTTGAGGAAAAAAAGAAGAAGGATTTAACTGAAGGAATATTTTTAAAAGAAGAGAAAATGAGGAACAAAACCACAACATACATTTTGATATTTATTAATTTGTTCAGCAGATATTTATTGAGCACCTGTCTTAGGTCTGACATAGGTGTTATGTTAGGGATAGAGTATATAGTGGTGAATGAGGTGGACATGGTCACTGCCCCCAGATAGCTTTCAGTCTAATGTAGGCAACAGGCATTGGAAAAAAGTGAAAAATTATGATAAGAGATGAACATGGAGCTAAGAAAGCATATAAAAGTGAAATTCCATCTAGTCTAAAGGCCAAGCCAAGGCTCCTTGATGAAGTGTGCTCTGGCCTGAGACACAAGGGACAAATAGACTTATCCAGAAGAAACCCTTGGGAGGAAGAGTGTTCTAAGATGAGGTATCAACATCCACAAAGGGCCAGAGTTTAGGAAGAGCCTGGTCTTAAAGGCACAGAAAGAATTTCAGGATACCTGAAGTATTAAAATCCCAAGGAGATGGACCATGCAGGATGAAGCTGGGGAGACAGACACTATATCCTGAAAGGTGTTATAAGACAATTGAGAGATGGGATACTTTGACAGGTTTTAGGAAATAAAATGACACTAACAAATTTATGCTCCAAAAGAACTATACTGGCCACAGGGTGGAGAATTGTTTGTAGAACAAGTCTGACATAGAAGGGTGAGTTAGGGAAGGTGTTGACATAGGTGTTAAATAAAGTGGTGGCTGAGGGTGTTAATGATGGTGCCATTGCTCTAAAGCCGTGAGAGTGTGGTCTTGGGCAGGATCTGCAGCAAAGACAGAAGGATTAGCTTAAGATCATTGTTCTCAAATTTGAGCATGCATCAGAATCACCTGGAGGGCATTTGAAACTACAGATCATTGTGTCCCACTTCCAGAGTTTCTGAGTTGGAAGGCCTGAGGAGGAGCTGGAGGATTTCAATTTCTGACAAGTCCCTTGATGTTGCCAGTTTGGAAACTAGTCTGAGAATCATTGGCCTAAAACCTGCAGTAACGAGAGGTAGGAGAGAAGAAAAGCCACTGAGGGGCTTCATCCTATCTGGCTTTTCTTAGTTTCCTGAAATTGAAGGAAAGGTCATCTATTGAGAGCAGGTGTGGAGGCAACAAAGCAGCATGTCTGAGGACAGAGGATATTTAAGTAGTGAGGGTGTTACAATAGTATATGGGGATAGTGCTGAGCTTTCAGATGAGGTTGACAATCTCAAATTTATTATGACACAAACCTATCCATTTTAGTGATTTTGTATAACAAAATTCAATTTCCCAAGTGCGTGTCCTGAGAAGGCGGACATTTGGGTTCACCCAGAGTTGGTGTTTTTCTGGTTGGTGAGCTAAAGGAGAATGAGGGAGAGTCCCTGAAACATTAAGCCTTGAATATAAACTGAATTAAGGAGAAGAAAAGAACACCCTGAAAAATAAAAAGTTGACAGCTAGAGAAAATTGTTGGCAAGGAATCAATAAGCTTGTCACAGCCTCATTTCTTAACTTATAGTTTGCTAAGATTAGGGAAATGGATTTTGTACATAAAATTGCATTTGTACATTTGCTGAGATTGTCAATTAGTTAGGGAAAGTCATTTACATGCTCCTTGAATTCCAGCAGGTGTGGTTATATTAATGGCATAGAGGAAAAGTAAGAAAAATATATTTAATTAAAATATTGATCATTTGAAAGCAGAGACTGAGTTTCTATTATCTTATGCTCTTTAAGAATTACATCTATAAACCTTATAGAAATCAACTCAGAGATTTTGAGACCAAAGTCACCTATGTATGACTGACTAAAAAGGTTAATGTGATTGAGATTTATTATGCTCATTGCCCCTGCTGCAGTTTAAGACCAAGTGGTGGATGGGTTTTATTAAAAAGGAAGCAATTATACTGAATTTGTTATGTTTCTATACTAGATATCTTAAGCCCCATTGTAGAGCATTTTAGGTCTGAGTCCTTTAGGATAAAATAACTTTATATATCTATAAAAGATATATAAAGATTATATTTATTTTTTAGAGTCATATTCTGGTATAGGTGAGATTACAACTCTAAGTTTTTTGAGAATGCTCTCTTCTGAGATTATATGTAATGATTGTCATGGAAAGGATAGAACACAGATTTTTTATCTCACAGGCACAAAGCTAAGCTTTTGACTAGAAGCTGGATGGTTTTATCATCAGAAGAGAAGGGGGAGGTAGAGCTGTTCTGGACTTACTCTAAGATTTGATCTGGGCCCTTTCTTCTCCTGCTATGCTTGGTTTGGTGGGGGAGCTACCCCTACAGGATGTGCTTTCTGGGTTCTGTCTTGGGCTAGGCCAGTGGGAAACCTTGGCTGGAGATTGGTGCGCTGGAGGAAGGGAGATGTCAGGCTATTTCTTCCCCTCTTTCTCTGCCTTAGTCGCATCTCTGGCACGACTTGTTTCTTCTCTATGACCCCATAACCCTTTGGCAACCATGTCCTGAGTCCCGCTCTGCCAGTGCAGACCCTTGGTTTCCATAATCCACTCCTCACTCTGTTCCCTCTAGCTCTAGGGTGGTCACCATTTCTCCTGTTTCTAACCTCTGTGCTGCCTCCCTGATTTCTCTCCCAGATCTTCATCCCTATGTTAAATTGTCTTTGTTTTAAATGCTTAGAAAGGTTTCTGTTTTCCTAGTTTGACCTTGATTGATAGAAATGTCTAACTTATAAAGTCTGGTAAAGACTCTCTAACAATAAGTATTTGTAAAGAAAATAAGGCAGTGACTGACAGGTGGTTAATACATTTTCAAGTGGGAAAAGCAACTTCACAAAGCTGTTAGGCATCCTCTTTCTAAATGATACAAGAAAAAGGTCACAGGCATCTCAGAAACAATATATGGACGCATTAAATAGCTGCAATCACTTTCCTAACTCCTGATAAATCATGTTGGCGGAAAAAATTTTGAAAAGAATGGAGCCAAAGGCGTGCTGATTTGAATCATTTTGATAGTAGTTTGAGGAAAATAACAGTCATCAGAATAATTCCCAACTCTGAAGTACTTATTGCCACAGTTATAAGTAGTTCAAGGACTAGCATTTACATTTTATGCAAGGAATGTTTTTCTGAAGGCCACCCATAATTCAAAACTCTTATGGACTAAATTTTCCACAAGCCTGAATAAATCTAGCTTGTTTTTACCATTACAGGGTGCCATGACAATTGACTGGCCTCCTTCATGGTCTTTTATCATATCTGACTTTCCCCCATCATTATTGATTTTGGCATATTCCTGCACTAACACTAGCCCCATTACTTGATCAATAATATACAGCGTATTATATATAAGGAAAAATTAAAGTATGGTAAGAGTGAATGAAAATAGCACAAATATTTCCTGCACAATACTGATGCACATAAACAAAATACGATTACTGGCTACGGAAGAAAGATTGTGGGTGGGTAGTTTACATAAAAGTTTTCATTTACATAAAATCCTCATCTGTTTGGCAATTATGCACATATCATTTACAATGAAGTTGGCCTGCCAGCTCTGAAATAATAAAATTCTTGGTGAGCTTTTACAATTTAGGAGGTTTAAACAATTTTTTCCCCAAATTTTATGCTGGAATTGAGAGTTTAGCCACATGTTATTTTGCATCATGTCAAATTTGCACAGTTCATTTAACATAAAATGAAAACTCAAGATCATTGAAAAAAGTTTATACTGATCTAAAGTCAAAGGTCATATATGCACTCAGAGATTTTAAAAATCATTATGTAAAGTTTTTAGAAAAAACATAAAAGAATTGTTCCATTCAAGTTTTGAATAAAAATAGGATTTGATTAAACAGAATTTGGTAAGTGTGAATACCAGTGTAAAAGTGTCATTCATATACACATACCCTTTTGAATTTTACATTCACTTATTATTCTTTTAAATTTAATAATTAAGGATAGCGTTGGAACTTTAATTGAAATGTTATTCATGTCTGATAATTTCTCTTTACCCCGCAGCCTTTTTCCTATTTGGGCTAAAACACAGATTCGGGTATCCATTACTTTAGGGAAAGGCAATACTTTTGGCAGAAAAAATTTTTTTAAGTTTGAAGAACTTGGGCATTTGTAATGAATGACTTAAAAAGTCAGAGCACTGAAGTACTTGGTGCATGGAGTTATGCCATGAGCAATAGGTATAACCAAATACTGCCAAAGACAGTTTTCTGTCCTAAATCAGATTTATCCTAAATCAGATAAAAATCTCAAGAACTGGGAGAAAGGGAGTCTGAGAGAAGGACAGAAAAGAGCTCTAAGTATGTCTTTTGATAAGTGAACCTGGATTCTGCTCCTTCTGGCTGGAAGGAAGCAGATGGAAGTTAAAATCCCAGATCAGTTTGTGTATTCGGGCTCAGAGGCAACCGAAGCCTTAGTTCAGGAGTGGAGCCCAGGGAGACAGCACGTTATGAAGGGAAATGCTCCTGAATTCCTGTTTTTCAAAAATTTTGACCCATGACCTACTAAGAAAGACATTTTACACTGTGGCCCTAGACACAAAAAATGTTCATAAAACAATATTTGTGATGCTGGCTTATGTTTTATTCTCTTATTTTATTCTTTCATTAAAAGCTTCTGATGTGACCTAAATTGATTTCACAGATTAAAACCTATAGTTTTATAGTAAAAGAGAAATTTACACCATAATAATATGTACAAAAGAGCTCATCTGAAAATCAAAATTGAGTAGAAAGGAATGCTAATATCTTGCCTTTTGTAACTGTGCATGAACTTTTTGAACCATTTGACATAATCAGTGCAATATGGCTCACCTAATCGTAGCTTCCTGAATTGTAAGGGAAATGCATGTTTGTAAATCAACTCTTGGAATATCAGCTTTGCCAACTCAAGGCTATCACAGGGTAATGAGTACTTCTTCAGGAAAGAGTGGATAATGTTTAAGATTCTTTCAAATCATAGAGATGTACTCTATTTTATGCACATTGAAGGTATTATTAGAGTGGTAACATTTTGCCAGCATTGAAATAAGGGCCTGAGCTAGATTAACTTGTGCTGTAGTCCCTAGACTTCTATATCATGTTAATCACTCCTTTCTCCTCATGCATTTATGTTCTTTCCTTGTCTCATCAGTTACTCTCGAGGATAGTTGTACCTTGGCAGAAATGGAGTCAAATTCTGCCAAAAAATTAGACTGTTGATTTTCTATAATATTAAATCATTTTATTTTTTGGCCTGTAACTTAAACAAAATCAAGGTGAGACCTAGAAACAAGTTTCTTAAGCCTCCAGAGATATTGACCTAGGACAATAATAAGGCAATTGGGAAGAGAATTCTTGATTTACTTGTCAAGGGAGGTTGTTATGTTGACATACCAGTGGGAGCAGTGTGACTTAACCAGTAATGACAAGAAAGTGACAGAGGCACAGGCTGATGGCAAAGTTTCATTTGATCCCAAACCTCAGGCAGCCCGTGGGGTCCCAAACAAAGGCCTTTTGTTTATTTACATCAATTATCCAGATGACCCAGACTCACTCTATAGTTTCTTGAGCTCATTGAGGACCTGGTAGGAGCAAGATCTTTGGGCAAAAGATAATAAAATGGAATAATAACACTTGTGCTGAGAAACCTTTCCCTCTGTTCATGTATTCCTTGTCACATACTTATAATTAGAAAATCCTTGCTTTTTAAAGTAAGACATCTTACATCTTAACAAAGTCTCCTGTCTTAACTAAGAAGTCACAAAGTAAATCCCTCTAGGGGCCAGTTAGAAAACACACAAGTGGATGAAACCTGGTTTGAGAAAGAGTACAGGCAATTATAGAAAACTGGAAAAATCTATGTTCTACCTAAGGGCAACTAAACACACATTTAAAAAGAAATCACTGTGTAGGCTTAAAACGACTGTGGCTGGATTCAGCTTTGGTCTACAGTTTGCCTTAAATCAAGAAACAAATAATTCAGTTCATTTCAGAGGAGTACAGTCAGAATATAAATATAGGTTCCACTGCTCCAACTGAACTCAGTTCTGTTGGAAGCCCCCAGGTCTCAAATCAACTTCTGGTGATCCAGACTTTAAGCAGACATTAAGTCTGGGGAAGGAAGTGTGCAATTATGGTAGGGATGGAGTGGGAAGGGAGAAGGGTGGAAATTTATGTCAGCTTCACCTGGAAGCTCTTTCAAAATGCATACATTCGTTCATTTCCTCTCCTACCCCTTTGTTGTGCTGTGAACCACCCCAACCAAATCTGAATTCCCCTTCTCACATAAGAATTATTGCAATAATGAGCTACTGTTACTGCCGATGATAGAATGTGGTATTGCTTTGATGTGAGAGATGTAAACAAGGTTGGAAACCATTCCTTTAAAGATCACTTACTCAAATAAGATTTTGACTATTATTACATTATTAATGTATTATGAATTATTACATTCTTTTTCTTTCTAGCTCCAATATCTAGTCCCAATAAAGAATTAGAAGGAAATCTGATTTCATCTTGTAAAAACCCTATTCTTCTCCTTTGAATTAGTATGTCTTCATTATTTCAGATATAATTCTTAAGAAAAATAATCAGAACATAAATCTGAAAAACTTTTCCACAACAAGATCCCCCTTCCCTGGCCAAGCAAAACATAAAAAAAAAATTCTCAGGATGCCAAAGATGTAGCATCATATTTATGCAAATGAAGTTTATATTTAAAAAAAAATCTATACAATTGTAAGGCAGCAAAATTTGCCAGAAACTAAAGAAAAAGTTTAAAACATACTTTTATTAATTATATGCAAAGAGTAGACATATAGGTAGAAGCATATCTCATTTTATTGTGCTTCACTTTCGTGCACCTCACAGATATTTTTTTTTAACAAATTGAAGGTGTGTAACAACCCTGCATTAAGCAAGTCTGCTGGCATCATTTTTTTCAGCAGCATGAGCTGACTTTGCGTCTGTTTCACATTTTGATAATTCTTGAAATATTTCAAAATTTTTATTATTATATTTGTTATGGTGAGCTAGGATCAGTGAACTTTGATGTTACTCTTGTAATTGTTTTGGGACACCACAAACTGCACACATATAAGATGAAAAACGTGACAACTGTTGTATGTGTTCTGATTGTCCTACCTATTGGACATTCTCCTATCTTGTGCTGTCAGTGAAGTATTGACATCCCCCACTATTATTGTACTGCTGTCTATCTCAGCTCTTAGGTCTAGTAGTAATTGTTTTATAAACTTGGGAGCTCCAGTGTTAGGTGCATATATATTTAGGATTGTGATGTTTTCCTGTTGAACTAATCCTTTTATCATTATATAATGTCCCTCTCTGTCTTTTTTTTAACTGTTGTTGCTTTAAAGTCTGTTTTGTCTGATATAAGAAAAGTGACTCCTGCTCACTTTTGGTGTCCATTTGTATGGAATATCTCTTTCCACTCCTTTACCTTAAGTTTACATGAGTTCTTATGTGTTAGGTGAATCTCTTGAAGACAGCACATACTTAGTTGGTGGATTTTTATCCATTCTGCCATCTGTATCTTTAAGTGGGGCATTTAGGCCATTTACATTCATTGTTAGTATTGAGATATGAGGAACTGTTCCATTCATCATGCTCGTTATTGTTTATGTCTTTTGTCTTCAGATACCAGGGCAAGTAGAGAAAGCCCATCAGGTGAGGGCAGGTTTGGGTGGGTCTGAGTTCAGACTCTCCTTAGGCAGGCCTCGCTGTTGCTGTTGTGGGGGTTAAGAGCATGGTTCTCAGGCCAATGGAGTTATGTTTCCAGTGGGACTATGGCTGGCTCTGCTGCATCATACATGTCATCAGGGAAGTGGGGGAAGCTAGCAGTGACAGGCCTTACCCAGTTCTCACATAGCCAGCAAGGTCATTTTCACTCCCCCATGCCCTCCCTCCCCACTACCAACAGCACTGAGTTTATGTCCAGGCAGCTGATGAGCAAGGCTGAGCTCTTCCCCAAGTCTACAAGCCCCCCAGCTGACAAAACAAGCAGGACTCTCAGACCTGGCCACTCCCCACCTGCATGCACCATTGGCTGCAGCTTCTACACTCATATCTGTACTTCCTATTTTCCTGCCTCCAGATTCTGCTCAGCAAAATTTATGCTCAGTTGAAATTATTACGAAGTTCAGCTGGAATCTTGTTCACCCTGTAGCCCCACCCCAAGGCTGGCTGTCTTCCCATCCCCAAAGACCCTGTGAGATAAAAACCAGGAATGGCGGCCAGGTGTGGTGGCTCATGCCTGTAATCCCAGTACTTTGGGAGGCCGAGGCGGGTGGATCACGAGGTCAGGAGATTGAGACCATCCTGGCTAACACGTTGAAACCCCGTCTCTACTAAAGTCAAAAAAATTAGCCGGGCGTGGTGGCGGGCGCCTGTAGTCCCACCTACTCGGGAGGCTGAGGCAGGAGAATGGCGTGAACCTGGGAGGCAGAGGTTGCTCACTCTTGCAGTGAGCCGAGATTGCGCCACTGCACTCCAGCCTGGGCGACAGAGCAAGACTCTGTCTCAAAAACAAAACAAAACAAACAAACAAAAAAACAGGAATGGCTTTACTGGGCTTGAGCTGGGGACCGGCAATGACTATGGAGCTCTTCCTGCTGCTGCTGCTTCTACTTCTTCAGTTTGGCAGCTGAGTAAGGACAGTTTAGGGAAAGAAAGGTGCTGAACAAGGGATACTAACTTCTCAGGGCACATTTCGTTCCTGCATTTCCTTCAGCTCCCTAAATCTGTTTCAACTTTAGGTCAGCTCAAATCTTATCCTGTGATCTGAATTTTCAGGGTTCTCAGTGGGTGTGTGTGTTTGGAGGCAGACATACCCCACCTCACACTTTGGGAACTCACAGTTTTTTGGTTATCTTGCAGAGGCTGCAGCTGCAAGCCACTTCTTTCAAAGGGTCTGTGAATTCTTTCCTGTTTTTCTGGTATATTACCGTGGTGGTTCTTGGAGCAAAAGTTCACAATGTGAGTCTTCACACACTGTTCTCTCTGTTCAGGTGGGAGCTGCATGCTAATCCTGTCTCCTATCCATCATTTTCCAAATGAAGTATTTTTTAGTTAATGTAGTACACTTAAAAAAAAGTAATGCTATTGCACACTTAATAGACTACACTATAGTGTAAACATATATTTGTATATGCATTAAGAAGCAAGAAAAAATCATGTGACTCATTTTATTATTATATTCATTTTCCTTTGGTGGTCTAGAGCTGAATCCACAGTATCTCCATTGTATGCCTATGTATGTATAATAAGAGGGAGAAAATGTTATTCTTCAGAATTCCAGGGCCTGGAAAGGGCAGACTATCTGGACTGAGCTGCTTCCTAAAAAATCAGTTATTTGTGATGGGAGAAGGATGGGGAGTACTAGAATCTCTATTCTGCAGGGGTGTGTTGGGGGAGGAATTTCTAGGGGAGGAATTTCTAGGGGAGGAAGTGAAATAAAGACCAGTGGCTCAGATTCTTTGTAGAAACTCTTCAAGTTTCAGTAAAGCTACAGAGCTCCTATATTATCACAAATATGACTGGACTTCTAAAATGGAAAACAGTATGTCCATGTAGTGATTCTTGAAGTCTACTTTACACTGCAAGTTTTTTCTGCCTCTCACTTAGACTACTGCAGCTGTGTCCTGAGAAGTTAATATCCCTTGTTCAGCACCTTTCTTTCCCTAAACTGTCCTTACTCAGCTGCCAAACTGATACTTCCAAAGTATTTTTAAAACTGTGCCCTATTTTTAAAATAACAGGTGGTGACTGTTGGTTACATTACAATGGAACACCAAACTTTGTGTCACGACATGCACTGGGCTCTTTTGCGATGATGTCCCAATATAGCTTTCTAAGTTTATCACCTGTCATTCTCTCCTCCAAACTCCTCAGTGAAGCTTTGTCTAAGCAATGACGGGCTTGTTGACATTCCCAAAGGAAACATGCTCAGTCATGCTTTTGTCTCTCTTTGTTCACACTGAGAAACCTGTTGTTTAGTGACTCATGTCAGAAATATCCCTAGTGAAAACTTCAGTTACATTAAGGAGGAGAAAAGAATGTTAGACAAGGAAACTAAGAGTCAAACACAGATAATATTGATAGTATTGATAAATTTATCTTTTTTAGTTTGGTTATAAATGTTTACATATTATTTTTTTAAAAATTATAAAAAGGAGTATTTTCCCCTAGTTTCTTGGGTAAGAGTTGGATGCTGAATTGGCTTCATTAAATATATAATCAAAAAACTAGCATCATAAATCCAGGTTGGAAATCAGTTTTTCCAACATTCCTATTAGCAATAGTGTCTTACTTTTTCTGTACAGCCATGGCAACCAGTACTCTGCAAGTTATTTAGGTATAGTTCACATAGGGTCTCTTTTGTGGAAAAACTGCAAGCAATATGTTTTCCTTATGAAATGAACTGAGTGAAATGAGATTATGCAATATGAGACTATCAAGTTGTATTATGTAAATGCAAATAAAATATATTAGCTCTAAAGTGCCACTGGGTATTAAGAAGAGCCTAATGGGATTTACATGAATTCTCATAAATAAATCTCCTCAGGTTACCCAAGTGCTCAGATATGAGGCAAAGGACAGTGAACTGCAGTCTTTGAAATTTTATGAGATCATAGTATTCTTTGACTATTTTATACAGAAATCACTTAATACCATTCTTCACAAAATGATGAAAGATTTTAAGATTGTTGCTTCAGTCATCAGTATTTAGTTAGCATCTAAATGTTATTTGACCCAGTTGGATTTCACTGGTTTGTAGATAAGGTAGGTCATTCTGAGAACAACATTATATAGTCAAATTCATGCCAGGTTGTTGTCATTGAAAAATGAAAGTAATATTGTCTCTTATTTAATGGGAAACTGTGGATAAAATGTAACTCACTTGAATCAGAGCTTCCATATGGTAAAAGATTATAGTGCGTAGCCTTCTGCATTTTATTAAGTAGTCAAGGTGAGAAGGTTATTTAGGCATTTGAGTATTGAAATTGGAACACTGAAAACTGAAGTAACCTTTTTGTCCCCCCTGAATAATTTGAATAATATAAATCTTATCATTTCTTAAAGCTTTTCTATTTCTTTTAAGGGCAATGTTTAGATTTCAGATTTTTATGTTTGTTTCCTGCCACTTATTTTTACTGTGATCTACTACCTTCATCTGTATGCATATAAATTTATGTGTAATGTATACCTAGTGTATCAATTTTAGAATCAACCTTTTTACAGTTTTTTGTTACTGTAGGCAGTGCTGTGCTGGTAAATACGTAACAACAGAATTTCTGGAGGCAGAAGCCATGATTTGCAATATATGCCAATTTCCATGGTGTAAATATTTCCACCAGGGCTGATTTCAGATTATCAAAGTGACATCACTGAATGCAGAATTGGAAAGAGATGTGCAGGAACTCACCATTATATAGTATTTCTGCTGTACAGATACAATAGGCATAATGTCAACAGCATACGTAATAGTAAAATGCAGCAACATAATTAGGTGATGCTTTTTGAGTATTTATTACCTTTGTTTTTGATAAGACGTATTTCATTTCAAGTTAATATAATTTAATTTGTAATAGTGGCTGTAACAACCAGCTCACAAGATTCTTGACAATTTAACAACCTCCTTGCTCATCCAGGTCTAAATGTGGCTCCAGCACATTGCCAATTGTGCGCGATGTACTGTAGTATGGATTTCAGACAAGGCTTTGAGTGGTTAAGCTTTGAATATGTTTATAAATCTGTCAGTTCCTTTCAGAAATCAGAAAGCAGAAAATTAACTAAATGAAGGAGAACTGCCTGCAGTCCATTGTTGAAACACGTAAATGATGCATTATCATTCTTTGATTCTCAGATGTCCTCCCTTCCCTCTATGTGAACATCTCTGAAATTCAGATGCATTTTATGATTTCGGTACACAGTTTCTCATAGTTTATTTTACTTTGCAATGTTTTCCTACAGTACCTAAAATAATTGTGCATCTCAACAAGTTACAGCATCTTAGATTTGACAAAATATGGCATTTTAAAGTATGAGAAATTGCTGATTTTACTAAGACACTGCTAGATTATTTTTTTTCTTATTGGCAAATGCAAGAAACTACCTTCAGGCTCCAGGAGCTGAGTATCTTAGCATTAATTCAAAATATCTATGTACTGTGTTAGTATAAACAAGAAAGGCCCAATCTATCAAATGAAGGAAATTGACGTTAAAATGTTCTAGCTCTTAAAGCTAAAACTATCCGATTCTGATTAGAAAACTTTTTTTATCTTCATTATAGCTTCAGTGTTAACATCCACTGTGTGAAGAATGAAACATTAGCGTGTCTATTTCCCATAGTAATTGGCAAAATATTTTCTCCTCATCATAGCTTCAACATTAACATTTACTGTGTAAAGGGTGAAGCATGTATTAATATCTTTTAATGTTCACTGTGTAAAGAGTGAAGCATGTATTAATATCTTTTTGTAGCAATTGGCTATTTGCACTGTGTGTTTTAGAGATGTAAATAAGGGGTTGTTAATGCAGAAAAAACCTACAGGTGACATTTGAAATGTTACCTGGGTATTCAGACCCAGAGAGATATAAATTGCCTTCAGTTCATTTCTGCTGCCAAATCATTCCATCTTCCAACTTTAGTGAAAAGCCATGTTGTATTCATGTCAAGGCAGAGAAACAAATAGTTCTTTCTGTTTTCTCCCTGCACATGGCCTGCTGGGGCAAATCAGTTTATCTGCATCATCTTCACACATATTAATGGAATGAAGGTAGGAAAAGCAAAGGAATGGTGCTTTTCTTGTGGAGTTTGTTAGTTAATGTTTTTTTCTTTTAAAATAGAAAATAATATTTATGTAACATTTTCCTGTTTAAAACATTCTCCATATGTAGTGAAAATATTTGAAAATGACAGAAAAGTTTAAAAATGAAATGAAAATCATCCATAATTCCAGCAATCGGAAATTAAATTTTATGCCTAACTTTTTTTGTGAATAGCTCTGATTTTTCTAGAGAAAAAATTATTTTAAGTGATATCATGTCAAGAGAATGTACATTTATAAGGCTTTGTAAAGGCCTTTAGGGAATTAGATGAGTTTATACTCCTAACAATGCTATATGAGCGTGCCTATTTTCCTGCACCCATATTAACATCAGTTATTATCACTTAATTTGCCAAGTTAATAGCAAACAATGGTACCTCATTGTTTTAATTTAATTTGTATCTGTTTGATTATGGATGCTTTGATTTATGAGTCTTTGATGCTTAACCTTTGATTAAGGTTGGGCTGCCTTGTATATGTTTGTTAGCTTTCTATATTTCTTTTATGAAGAGCTTATGTCCTTTGTCCACTTTATTTTTGAATGCTTACATTTTACATGCCCATGTATAAAAACATCTCTATTTAAAGAATAAATGTTCTTGCCATGCATATTTCAAATCTTGCTTCCAAAACATAGGTTTTTAAAATTATAAAATAATGATGCTCATGATTGAAATTTTAGAAACTGAAAAGTATAGAGATAAAAGTCACGATAATCTCTCTTTGTCATAGATATAATGTTTATGTTCCTCCAGATTCATAGGTTGACATCCTAACCCTCAATGTAATGGTATAAGAGATAGTGCCTTTGGGAGGTAATTAGGTTGTTGGGGCAGAGCCCTCATGAATAAGCTTAGTGCCCTTAAAAAGGAAGATGGAAGGAGACCCCCTGCCTCTTCCACCATGTGAGACCTCCTTGAGAAGGCACTATCTATGAATCAGGAAGCAGACTCTCACCAGACATGGAATCTGTCAGAACCCTGATCTGGACTTCCAGCCTCTAGAACCGTGAGAAGTTTCTGTTGTGTATATGCCACCTCATCTGTGGTGGGAACAACCTGAACTGACTAAGACACTCCTTCTTGATATAATTATTGTTTACATTTTGGGGACTTTTCCTTTTGGCTTTGCTTTTGCACTTTCACATACACTCTCTACTTACAAATTCAAATTTATGTAGTATGTTATGTTTATATCCTCATTTTTTAGTTAATATCAGAATATGACATTATAAAAGTGATACATGCATTTCTTAGTTTCAGTTTCTCCAAATGCTGACCCCGAGCCAAGGACTTGAGTGTGTATGTTGAACACATACATGCAAAACAGGCAAATCCAAGGCCTAGTAGGTTCGATGGTAAAGATCCAATGAGCCACTCTTAGATTTAGACCATTCATTACTTGCGTAGCAGTGAAAAGATGAATGAGCCACAAGGCCATGGCCTTGATCCGTCTCCCACTCTCTGAAGCAAAAGGGGCCAGATGACTACAACACCACTCCTAGAACTCCATCTAGATGGGCACAGGTAGGTTTATGTTCTTCAACTCTGTTCTGGTGGGGCTGGAGTGGAAGATCCATATCTCACCTGAATTGGGGAGGGGATGAGAAATTGTCCTGTGATCGTCGACAAGGAGGTGAGTGGGAGGTGGCCTCATATCAACTCCTTACAGACCTTCCATCTTCTCATGTTTTGGACAGATCACAAGGCATTCCTTAAAGACTGAGTAAGTTATGGTTCAAGCCTGCAAGGTTGCCAGGTGCCACAGATGAGCTGTTTGCCTACACCAGGTGGTCTATATAGAAAGTGACCCAGGAAGCAAAAGTAATGAAATGGAAAAAGTAAAACATGGAAGAGAAAAAAAACAATAAAATGTGCATGAACGAATGTGTCATTGTTGTGGGTGACTGTGGCTCAGTCCCAATGGGAACCCTCCTGAGGAACTGTACAGACTGTGCCTCAGGCATGTGAGGGGACAGAACCTGGGATGTTTATCCCCCTACTCTGTCTCTCATTGGTGGTGGGTTTCCCATCATTAACTCCCAGGCTTTTCCGTGGGAAGTTTTGCATGTGGGTTAAGCAAGGTCTAAAGAACCCAGAGAAAATCCCTGGTCAGAGAAGTTGAGAGATGCAGGCCTTAAGGTTGGGATCTGTCAGTAGTTTGGGAACTGCCCACTGAAGCTGCAGGTGAACTGGGAGGTGGGCAGAAAGGCTATGGGAGGCAGAAAGAACATTGATGAAAAACCCAAGCATTTTAAAGAAAGAAAAATAAACAACATTAATTCCCTTACTATGAGATAATTCTATTAACATTCCAATCATATTTCTCTGCATCTTCTTCAATAATTAGATGATACTGTGTATTCAATTTTGCATTGTTTTTATACCCTGTACTATTTTATAATAATTCACTCACTACTATAAGTGCTTTGTAAACATATTTTTCCATAGACATTAAAGCTTATTTGGGGATAAAATACACATAGAACAGAATTACAAAAGTGACACAGTAAGTTAAAGGATTATTGTTCGAAAAGTTGTGTGGCTATTTCATTTAGGTAATTAGTGAAGAGAGAGATAGGATGTGAGGAGGTAGCAGAAAATGCTTCATGGTGGAAAATAATTTTAAGCTGGATGCTGAAGGACTAAGCAGAGAATGGCCCAGATGTTTAAGAGTTATCAGCTAAATTAGACCTCAGATAATGGTATGAGTGCAGATTCTGAAACATGATTAAGCAAACTCTATTAGGAGATTGAGGTAGGCAGAATAATGACCCTCACCCCACCCCACGAAGATGTCCACTTCCTCATCCTTGGAAACTGTGAATATGTTACATTATAATACAAAGGGCAATTTAGGTTGCAGATGGAAGTAAATTTGCTTATAAGGTGACCTTAAGTTAGGGAGATCAGCCTGTATGATCAGGTGGGCCCAATCTCATCCCCAGAATTCTTAAAAGGGGAAGGCAGAGGCAGAAGAGTTGTCAGAGTGATAAGAGAAGAATGCAGTCTGTCATTGCTGGCTTTGAAGATGGAGGAAGGCCCCCTCACACCCACCCCAAGGAAGAACCCCCACCTCCACCCCATGCTTTTTTCCCTAACCAAGAAAGTTTTGTGTGTTCATGTATTCCCATTGTTAATGCTCCTTCACAGTCATGTTGCATCTCTGTTGTCTGAGTATTTATTATCTTTCCTCTTATTCTACCCTTTTTGTCTTTTCTTCCACATTCTAAGAGAGGTACTCAATTTTGACTTCCACATCTCTAATTTTATTTTCTGCATTCGATTACATTTAGCTTTACATTTTTATGTATTCCTGTAAGATTTTCTTGTCTCACCCTTTCCCCTGACCTATCTTGTGACTCATATTTTTGTAGTCTTCTCCCCCAGTTTATTCTACTTATGGGTTTTTACTCCTGGTGATAGAGGCTTTTCTTCTTTTTTTAAAGCATCCTATTAAAAACTTTACAGAGTTAAACTCTTCTTGTTTTTATTCTGGATTTTTGAGTAAGTCATTTTAAGAGGCCTGTGCTTTCTTTCACTTATTAAGATGATGTTCCTTGTCCTTTGTTATGAGTAGTTTTTCATTGACTGCTCTCTCTCACTTTACTTCTCTCCCTGCTTATTTTTTCTTTCTCCCTCCTGGAATTTGTATGAGAGATCTATTCTGCTGTAATATTTATGAATAAAATGAATCCATGAGATATTCTTGGACCAACTTTCTATCTAAGAGGTAATACAGAGAAGTAAACGATGTGCAACAAATAATGTGATTAGTTGATTTGGTTTGAGAAAGACAAGACGGGTGGGGAAGAGAGGCTGCAGAGAAGAGATTTAAACTGTTGAAGTTGAACATTTCTCAAAAGTTCACAAGTGAATCAGGAGATATAGACTTCAGGTCCAGTATGAGTAAAGATACTGAATGTGTCCATCTGAACTTCAGTTAGAACTTCTAATTCTACCCTGTTTATTTCTTTTGTTCTATATTTTCCATTACATGTACCTCTAAGCTGCATTATGGGTAACTTCTTCAAATGTATCATCTAGTTCATGAATTCTGCTGTTTATCCCACCCATTGTGTTTTTGATTTAAACAATAAAATGAAACTTGTTCCTAAAAGTTCCACTAGATTAAAAAAAAAAATCTACCTGGTCACTTTTGCTCTCAGTGATGGCTCATTTTTGTGATGACATCTTCTGTTTTTGTAGACATTTTATACATATTTTATAACTTTTATTCTTACAAAGTAAATATGTAAAGTGTCTAGGGATTGCTGCTTATTTTTGCTGACACTCATGGTGACTTGTTTTCTTGTTGGCATGGTAAACTTTAATTGCGAGTTTATATTTGTTTGAAATTATTCTGTGAGCATCCTGGGGGCCTAACTAGAGAATGCTTTCCTGAACAGAGGATGCATATTTCTCTCTGCCTGGCACAACCAAGCTAGGACTAATTTAGTGCCCTTCATGTAACTCCGGATTAAAGAGATCATCTTAGATTGAGCTCCCTCTATTGTGCAGGTGCTTCTGTGCCCTACAGTACATATGAAGACATTAGAAGCACTAATTTCACAGTTGGAGGGTAGATTCACAAGTTTCAAGTGGTTTACTATTGTATGAGGAGTTCTCTTTTTCCTTGATAATCTGCCATTGCATTATGATGTATCTTTCCTTTTCTCTTTCTGCTAGGTACTTGAAATGCAATTTTTTTAATTTTTGAGATATAGTCTCACTCTGTCGCCAGGCTGGAGTGCAGTGGGGTGATCTCGGCTCACTGCAACCTCCACCTCCCAAGTTTAAGCAATTCACTGGCCTCAGCCTTCCAAGTAGCTGGGACTACAGACATCCACCACCACGCCTGGCTTATTTTTGTATTTATAGTAGAGTCGGGGTTTCGCCATGTTGGCCAGGCTAATCTAAAGCTCCTGACTTCAGGTGATCCACCCACCTCAGCCTCCCAAAGTGCTGGGATTACAGGCGTGAGCCACAGTGCCTGGCCTTGTGTTCTTTTTAATTTCATCCTCTACTTGCTTTTTTCCCCTATTATAATATAATCTCTTGCTCTTTTCTAAATGAAAGTTGTTTCTTCATATTTTTTGAGCGTCTTTATACTAATTTTAAAGCTTTTGTCAGACTATTTCATAAAACTAATCTTATAGTGACTTCCTGTTCCTATGTTTTAATATCATGTCTGATTTTAATTTTGTGTAGACGTTTTGCTCAACCCTGTCTCATGTTTTCTTATTCCCTGGGTACCTGGCCTAGAATGAGATTTTCATGATCATTTCAGGGCTTCTGTCCTATGACTATAGGATATTTCAGAGACTCTGTGACCCACTGTGACCCAGTGGGTAGCTTCATTCATTTATTATTCTTTAGATTCTGTCTGTGACCTCTTACCTCTCTAGTCTCAAAGCTTGCCGAAAACTTGAGCCACAGGTGGTAGTTGGTAGCAGTTTTAATTTAGCTGCCTTTCTGAAGACTGCTTAGGTGGCATCTCCAACTCCTCTCTTCACACAATCAGCCAGGCTACAGTTCCCCTTTTCACAGGGAGTGCTTTTCACTCTCTTAAATGGTAGGGCTGAACTTCTGCCTGCTTTCAGACCCAGAACTCGGTAAGGCCAAGGCTTCAATTATTATTGCTTTGCAGTTTTGTTCTGTTTTTGCTGAAGAGATGTTTACTGAGGTTTTGTGTCTGGCTATGTCTTTTTGGGTTTTTAATAATCCATCATTTTTCTATGTTTGGAATACAGATGGTTTTAGCCAAGTGTGAACTCATACCATTTTGACCAGAGCTCTTACTTTTGCTTTAGAAGCCATTATTAGACTGTCATTATTTACCTACAGCATTTGGTGTGGTTATACATGAATATGAGAGTAAAATTATATATATTTTTTATGGTAGATATGTAACAAAGTTTACATATTACTTCACCTTGGTGTGCTTGGTGCCTGTTGAGTGCTGTCCTGGATTTGCTAAGCCCTTGATTTGCTTGTCCCTTTTTAAGTAGCATAGGTATAGACCCCAAAGATGAAGCTTCTTTTTGATCTAACAGTGGTGCTTTAGGGGAGCCTGAACAGTTTGTTGTCCCTTTGTTTTGTAGGTAATGTCCTGCCTTCTCCTCCCCAATTGAATAAGCTAATGAAAAGAAATTGATTTGGTTTAGTTAGTGTGGCTAGCTTAGATATCTGAGTCAATGCCACTTATGGAGAGTTGTGCTTTCAATACTTGTCTCTCTGTTCAGCCAGTGAAGGCAGTGCACTTTGGAAGAAATCAGGTTTAACCACACTTAAGCATTCAGCAGGGAATACTTAGACGCCTCCTTCTTCTTATTGCTGTGCAAGAATGCCCTGTAGGAGACATTTGGGTGGTGCTACCTCTTTGACCTTCAGCGTCCAGGAGATGTGTGCTGCCTTTCAGATTCATTCTTATCTTGGAAGCCTAGAGCTTCTCCCCTGGTTTACACATTGCTACTGCTGCATTTTTCCTTCTAGAAAGGTTTTGTCACTTTTCTGTTGTCCTTTCTATAATACCTATTTACTTTTTGCTTGACAGGGTCTCTTATTGTCTCCCTACTTAAGCAGATTCTTTTTTTGTAAGGTCCTCTCGCACGCCATCTTACCTGGGAAGAGTGCTGCAGTGGGAGAGGGATGATGAAAGGGTTGGAGTACATCCAATAACATCAGCATTACAACACAAGAGCAAACCTTTTAATAGTTTGGAAGTATTTCCCCATGTATCACCTTTATCTCCTCTATTCATCTCAATCGCCTTTGATCCTCAGAATTATTTGAATCAGGAAGAGCAGCATTATTTTCTCTATGCCACAGAGAAAAAGTGACTCAGTGGAATCACAGAGCTATTAAATGGCTGAACAGGGACTATAGTCCCATGCTTGTTCTAGCAATATTTGCTGAGATGTAAGCTGCACAAGGTGGAGCTCCTTTATACGAAGGTGATGTCCTACAAATAGCACAGATGTAATTGAAAATGGGTTATTTTCTCTTTTCCTGAATGAATTTCACCTATTTGCAAATGGACATAACTTTGAAACTGGCAGGCACATTTATCTCCTTTATGTCTCTCTGCTCTGGTGGTGCTTGGCCCTTGATCATAACCTGGGGTGAGAGATGATGTGCATTAACTGTGTTTCTGCCATTTTTCATTATTTTGTGAATGCCATTATATTTGAAAATTCTATCTAGGGAAGCTGTATACTAACTTCTTGCATAAAGAGCCTGTGAACAATTTTGTCAGCTAAGTATTTACTGGTAAACTCACTTACTCACTCAGAATTTTTTAATATCCCTCAATAAGTGCCGTTTAGTGAGACTTCAACTACTTGAGGAGTTTGGGGAGTTTTTCTGCTCTTACAAAAGAGCCGGTGATAAGAAGAAATAATATATCAAGCCATGAAAAGACATGGAGAAACCTTAAATATTGCTAAGTAAAATGTGCCAATCTGAAAAGGCTACGTACTATAAGATTCCAGCCATATGGCATTTGGAAAAGGCAGAGCTATAGAGATAGGAAAATGATTGATTGGTGGTTGCCAGGTGCTCATGGGGAGAGTGGGTGGGATGAATTAAGTAGAGCATCAGGCATTTTTAGGGCTCTGAAACTATTCCATATGATACTATAATGGTGGACACATTATGCATTTTTCAAAAACCATAGAACTCTACAACACAGGGTGAAACCTAATGTAAAATATGGATTTTGGTCAATAATAAATCAACTTTGGTTCATCAGTTGTGGCAAATGTACCACACAAATGCAAGATGCTAATAATAGGGGAAATTGTTTTTGGAGGAGGAGAGAAGGTATATAGGAATTCTGTATACTTTCTCCTCGATTTTTCTGTAAGTCCAAAATTGCTCCAAAAAGTAAAGTCTATTAATTATGTATCAAACAAAACTAGTGTTCCTTGTGCCCTGCAGTACATATGGAGACACCGGAAGTACTAAGGAGCTCTTCTCTGCAACAGGCTTTGTATTCTTTGGAGAGACAAGCTGCACACATATGACTCTGTATATATTTATTACGTTTATAAAAAACCTCTGTGTTTGGAATCGCCTTTGTTAGTTCCCCTGAACTTTCTGAACAATTTCCTTTTCTTTAATCTGAAATATCACTAATCTTGGTCTTAGCTCAAGGGTGAATCTTAAAGGCAATGTGAAATTCAATTTCTTCAAATATGACTTATGAGACTGACACAAGAATAAAAACACTGAAATTATTATTTTTTTATTTAGCCTATAGGCATTTTAACACTCATAAATCATAAATAACCACAGTTAAACATCCAATTTTGCAGGGCTCAAGTCCTTTAGAAAAACTACAGTTGAAGAAAAAACAATTTCTTCCCTGGGATGTATTTATTTCATTTTCTGGTATCCAAAACTTATTACAAATGCAGTAACTATAGTTGTGCAAGAAGAGAGACTACTTTAAAATTTATGTGAGTAAAAACACAAGGAATTAAATATTTTATATCCAGCTTGATATAAAACAGGTAGCCTTCTCTGCACTAAAGACATTGTTGGCAGAAGCAAATAATAATATAAAGTTTATGCCTTTCTGTGTTCTCATCTCTTACATGATATTTAGTCCTTTTCACTTTTAATTTGAATCAGCAAGTACACTAAAACTGCCATGCAGCAGAGCACAGGATAATCAGCCAACAAGGAGAAGAGTGAAGCTTTCCTGGCAAGCATTGCACACACAAACCTCCAAAATTACTGGTTATGTTGAGCAATAACCAATGTGGTTATATGTATGGACATTATGTAAAGGGGTTTTATAAGCAATATCTCAGAGACTAACTCTATTATTAAACAGGGGCCAGAGCTCCAGAGTGGTTTTAACTAAGAAGTTTTACTGACCGACAGAAATTGGCTAATGTTTGTTTATTGGCATTTGTTTTGTAATTTTCACAAGAACATAATCCCCTTTCTGAAGAAATTATTTCTTGACAGAGGTTGGATAAACTGTGGCTCTTGAGCCAAATCTAACCTACAGCTTGTTTTTCTATAGCCTATCACCTTCTTTTGTACAGCTCACTAGCTAAGAATGGTTTTTATATTTTTTATGGGTTTTAAAAAATGTAACAAAGACCATATGTGGCCCAGAAAGCCTAAAATAGTTCTATCTGGTTCTTTACAGGTTTGCCAACACTTGCCTTAGAAGACAGAAGCTAGTAGGTTCAATTCATTGCACCTTGTTTCCTGTAACTAGCTCGTCTCTGTTTCCTTCACCACAAAACAGCTGGAATAATTTAAAGCATTTTTACCTCCTTTACTGAAGAACCTTTAGTGTGTTCCTGTTTATATTGTTAATAAAATATTTCAGTTCTTCTAATAACTAGCATCTGCTGCTCAATCTAAGTCCAAAACAAAATAATAAATAAGATAATGGGTGATTGATGAAGGCCAAACCTCATTTTTATCACTGCTAAAGGCTGTTTAAGGGCGTGGCTTTGTGTAAGGGCCAAAATAACTCTTACCTACCGCTAAGCAGTGTGGGACCGGAGCAGGATTCACCATGTGAGGAGCACAGCGTGGTGTGCCTCTGCAGACAGCCTCTCCCAAGAAAAAGGAGGGCCTAAGAGCCCTGACCATTCTCAGTTAATTTCTAAGTTTACCAACTACACAGATCATTCTTCCTCCAAAAGGAAGAAATAAGTAAATCGGTAAACAGAAGCCACGGATCAAATGCTTTCAGTGCTTGATTCTCTTTGGAGAAAAACTGAGTTATAGGGAAGCGGTACTTCTCCCTAAAATATTCAGCTATAAATCCTTATGCCTTTCTGCGTTCTCATCTCTTACATGATATTTAGTCCTTTTCACTTTTAATTTGAATCAGCAAGTATATCGCTGGAAGGGATGTTGTCCCTTCCTTTTTGCCCCAGCCTACCTCTCCAATTTAACCTCTCATTATTCTCCTTTGCTTCAGCATAAAATGACATTAAATATACATTGCTAGGGCTGTCTCTGCACTTTGACTCTTGTAATATTCCCAATTAGTGATGTCCTTCTTCTGTAATAACTATTCATCCTTTGCATAAAACTCCATTGCAGAATTTACTTCTTCCAGGGACTCTTTGCTGTTTTCCTTTTTTATTCTTTGTTGTTTAAATTACACAACGGTTTGCACTATCTTCTATTGAGCATCGTTCCATTTCCTGAATTTTTATTTTTATGCGGTAGCATGTTTCAGGAACAAGATTCCTGGATTAAGGACTGGCGGTTTCACAGCTACCATTGTCTAGCACTTATATTCGAGGCACGATGCTAAGTGCTTTTGACACATGCTCTCATTTAATTTCATAGCAGCCCTAAAGAAGCAGATCATAAGTAGGTTACGCGCTTTGAAATACAATATGCTGTTCAAAAAAATGAGAACTGTTATTTAATAAGGTCATGGATAAGTTTCCTAAGATATTTACCTATATTTATTTATGTCAGTAAATTTTCAGGTTCTCAAGGAGTGGGTTGTGGCTCCTCCTGTGTGGTTTTCATTGCATCTAGCAGATTATTCTGAATAAAAATAAATATCTATTTATTTTTATTTCTAGTACTATAAATTAATAATAAAAGGAATAAAATTAATTCTAACATGTTACGCAAACCAGCTGGGAGTTAATGGTGTAACAGAGGAAAGAAAGAAAAACTTGAAAATAAAAAATCGGTGAACAGTGTAGATTTTTTTTTCTTCTTTAACTTGTTAAAATGCAAAATGAAAGAATAATAAACTGATTTTTCATACTCTCCCACCAAGATTCAATAATTGTCAACTCATGTTTCATCTATATCCCACCCACTTCAGCTTAATTTGAAGAAAATTCCAGATATTCTATCAGTTTATCTGTGAAGGTTTCCCTATATATTTGTAAAAGATAAGCATTCTTTTTAAAACAAAGTGACCATTTTATTGTCCAAAAAGTTAACAATAATTCCTTAATATCATCAAGTATTCAGTTAATGATTACATTTTTCCAGTTGTGCACATTTATTTTAAGGTTATTTTGAATCAGGATCTGAATAAGATCTGTGCAGTGTAATTGTCTGACATGTTGCTTAAATCTTTAATCTACATGTTGCTTCTTCATCTTCCCCCCTCCCTTTATAATTTGTTTTTTAAGAGAAGCTGAGTTGTATTACTTTGATAGATTCTCATAGTGTGGACTTTACTGATTTCATCTCATAGTGTCATTTACCATATTTCCTTACTCCCTATATTCTTGCAAACTGATGGTCATATGTAGAGGCTTGATCAGATTCAAGTTCAAATATTTTATCAGGAATGTTTGTGGTATTAGGTACTTCTAGGAATTTCTGTTTGTTTCTTTTGTGATGTTAGCAGCCACTGACAATAACTGGCTAAATCCATTAACTTATTAAGAATTGCAAAATGGTGGTATTCTAATTTATCATTCCTTATTTATTTGCTAGGATACTTCTGTAAAGAGAAATAGCACTGCATTAGCTATTGTGCTACTTTGAGATACATTTATGTACTCTGAGATAAATACTTAGTTCATTTTTTTGACCATTTGAGTTAACTATTTTTCAAAATAATGAATCACTTCTCTAACATTTTTCAAAGGTGACTAACAAGATTCATTTTTTTAAGAATCATTATGAACTCCTGAATCCAGTAAAGTGTTACTTAACAATGGGGATATGTCCTGAGAAATGAATCACTGGGCAATTTCATTGTGTGAACATCAGAGTATACTTATGCGAACCTAGAAGGTGTAACCTGCTATACTTCTAGGCTACAACTCTGTACAGCATGGTACTTTACTGAATACAATAGGCAATTGCACTACAATGTTACCATGGCTACAGCATCATTAGGTGATAGGAATTTTTCAGCTTCGTTATAATATTATGGGACCATCATTTTGCATGGTGTCCATCATTGACGTAAATGTCATTATGTCACACATGACTATATTTGATGTGTTTCAATTTGTTATAATAGTGATTATTGATTATTATTTTTGGAGATATGATCTTTCTCTGTCACCCAGAGTGCAGTGACACGAACATAACTCACTGCAGCCCCAAACTCCTAGGCTCCAGCGATCCTATCACCTCAACTGGCTGAGTAGCTGAGATTACATACATGCCACTGTACCCAGGTAATTTTTAAACTTTTTATAAAGACCAGGTCTAATTTTGTTGCCCAGCCTGGTCTGGAACTCCTGGCATCAAGTGATCTTTCCACCTTGGCCTCCCAAAGTGCTGGGATTACAGATGTGAGCCACAGTGCCTGGCCTACAATATTATTAATGCTCAAATATTTTGGGCAAAGAGAACATCAAGTAGGTTTCTGAACCGTTTTAGTAGTTTTGATAACTTTATTGCCTTCTAGTATGACAACATTTTCCAGACTAATATTGAACATTTTCTTGCTAAAACCTGAAATCAGCTGTCTTTCTAAAGGTCCCTGGTTTCTTTCAGTGGAAAATAGAATACCGGTATCTCAGTAATAGGATTGTTAGTTACAACTGGGTTGGTCACTGTGTGTAGGCTTATTCAGACTGTTGAGTTAGAAGTTTTTTAAAAAGATAAAATCCATCTTGTGTGTGTACTGATAAGTTCCAGTTCAAACACAGGACTAAACAGTATTTGTTACCTCATCTAATTTACATTTGTATCTCACATACTAATTTTTCTTACAATTCAGATAACTGTCTTAGAATAATATCAACACTATGACCAATTATATAATTACTGGAAGCAGATTTATTTTTAGTGGCTCTTTCTGTCCTGAAAGTAAATCTCCCTAGGATTGAGCAACTAAATAATTCCTTTTTATATAGTTACACTATCAATTCAAGAGTTAGGTTCATTTATTTCAATTTTTAAGGAATTGAGTTTTTTATTATAATATTCATTTAGTTTTATTATTTACATATTTCCAAAATCAACTGTACAAAAACAAGATATGTCCAGAAAAATCAAGCTTCTATCCTTGTGTCCTCCAGCTTATTTTCTCCCTCTTTTATAGGTAACCACCAAAATATTTTGCAGTCTATCCTTCCATTGTTAAGTAAATATGCATATATATTGTATATTTGGATTGCCCTTTACTTAGATAAATGATGGAATAATTTACATATGTTCTCTACCTTGCTTTTTTTTAACTATAAAATGTAAACTGGGAATCACTACATAGAAAAGATATATTTCTTATTCCTTTTTATATCTGTGTAGTATTTCATTGTGTGAATATTTCATGGTGTATTAAATCAGTCTGCTATTGATGGGCATTTCTACTTTTTTGCTGTTATTAACAATAATGCCATTGATAGCTTTGTAAAAAGTCTTTTTGTTTTTTGCCGAGGTATCTTTGGGGTAGATTTCTGAAAATAAGGTGCTCGGTGAAAGGCTAAGTGAAGTTGTATTTTTGATTAATAGTGTCAGGTTCCTCTCTAGGGGGATTTATATACTTTGCATTGCTACTAGCAATAAGTGAGAGTGTCTGCTTGCCCATAGCCTTGCCAACGGTATATGCGAATTTCTTTTTGAGTAAACTGTCTTTCCATTTTTTTCCTTTCTTGCTACACTTAGAAGCTTTCTCTACATTTAGGATACTGAACCTGCATTATATAAAAGTTTTAAATGTATTTTCCCAGTATATTATTTGTCTTTTAACCTGGCTTAGGTTGTTCAATGTTTCTGTGCCATGAGGATATTTCTGTGGAATTTATCAGTCTCTTAATTACATTACTTAATTTATGTCATAGGGAATTTTTTCCCTCTTCAGTTGATAAGTTATTCACCCATGCTTCCTTGAGTACTTTTATGATATAATTTTTAAGATTTTAAATCTCTGGGATTTATACTATTGTATAGTTGAGGAATTGATCAAATTTTATACTTTGTCTTATAACTCTAATGATCACAATGGATTGTATTTAAATGTTCATCATTTTCCTCATTGATTTTTTTGGGCTACTTCTCATTATACTCTAAGTTTCCATAAGTTATTAAATCCATGTCTAGATTTTCAGCTCTATTTTGCTGGCTTGTGTGTCT
Organism: Homo sapiens; assembly: GCF_000001405.40. Classification (NCBI taxonomy): domain Eukaryota; kingdom Metazoa; phylum Chordata; class Mammalia; order Primates; family Hominidae; genus Homo; species Homo sapiens. Next base: position 153,076,799 of record NC_000002.12, read on the forward strand.
TTTTAAACATCAACACACTTCTATTGAGGCTTTATAATATGTTTTATTATCTAATTGTGCTAGGTCTCCTTCATAGTTCTTTTTCAGGGCTATTCTGACTAATCTTGCGTTTTTTGTTTTTTTCCATTGCCCTTTTATTTATTTTAAAATTTTTATATATTTATTTATTTTTAGACAGAGTCTTGCTCTTTTGCCCAGGCTGTAGTGCAGTGGCATGATCTTGGCTCACTGCAACCTCCACCTCCTGGGTTCAAGCAATTCTCCTGCCTCAGCCTCCCGAGTAGCTGGGATTACAGGTGCCCGCCACCACACCTAGCTAATTTTTGTATTTTTAGTAGAGAAGGGGTTTTGCCATGTTGGCCACGCTGGTCTCTAACTCCTGACCTCAGGTGATCCACCTACCTCAGCCTCTCAAAGTGCTGGGATTACAGGTGTGAGCCACCATGCCTGGCTCCATTGCCCTTTGAAACAACTATCTAGCTGCAGAAAAAAAAATGGTATTTTTATTGGAATTCTATTATATTTATATATCTGTAAAAGAAAAATCTGAGTCACAATAAAATTTTAAGGAGTTTTTGTGACTAAGTAGCAATTCATGAATTGGGAAGCAACAAACTGAAAGAGATCTAGTGCTCTGATAACGAAGTGTCAGAGGCAAGTGTTCATAGGGTGAATAAGGAAGCAAAATAAACAGATTGGTTCCAGTCATAAAATTGCCTTTTTCTGTTTACCTTGTTGGAAAGCCTTTAATCACATAACCATATGTTGTTTGCTGCTTACGACTAGCTGAGGTTAAGTTTTGTTGCTGTCTAATGTAAGCATGACCATTTACAGCATTTATCAGAAATGACCCAAGTTAAGTTTTGCTTAGGTTTGGAATTGTGTTACTTTTATAAATCTGTAAAAGAAAAATCTGAGTCACAATAAAATTTAAGGAAGTTTATTTGAATAGGTAGCAATTCATGAATTGGGGAGCAACAAACTGAAAGAAGTTTAGTGTTCTTTTTAAGCAAGTTTCGGGCTATTTTTAAGGTCTAATTGGTTTGTTTGCTTCGGAATTTATCAGGTTTGGTTTACATTTTAATTTTGCTTTAACAAATCAAATTAGAATAAAACTTTCACCTTTGTGATGCTGGATCTTCCTATTCAAGAATGTTATGTATGCTTATTTGTTCCAGTCTGGTTTTGTATTTTTCAGCAATATTTTATAATTTTCTTTGTAGGTTTTGGACATTTATTGCTAAATGTAGGCCTTGGTCTGGTTTCTCACTTTCCTTCTACCCTACTTTCTTCCTTGCCTTCTGCTTTTGTAAATGGAGATATCTTTTTCTTTGGTTATTATTTTTTTTTAACTTGTGAGTGTATAAATGAATGCTGTGTATTTTTGCATGGTGATTTTATAACTTGCTATTTTCTAAATTCTCTTATTTTTGTATTATTTTCTATCAACTTTGGGATTTTGACAGTTGTGTAATTATATCATCTGCAAATAAAGAATTGATAGTTCTTCCTTTTCATTCTTTTTTTTTTTTTTTTCTAAGATGGAGTCTCACTCCAGGCTGATGTACAGTGGCGGAATCTCAGCTCACTGCAACGTCTGCCTTCTGGGTTCAAGTGATTCTCTTGCCTCAGCCTCCCAAGTAGCTGGGATTACAGGTGAGTGCCACCACACTTGGCTAATTTTTGTATTTTTAGTAGAGAAGGAGTTTCACCATGTTGGCCAGACTCGTCTGAACTCCTGACCTCAGATGATCCGCCCACCTCGGCCTCCCAAAGTGCTGGGATTACGGGCATGAGCCATCACGCCTGGCCTCATTCTTATGCCTCTGCTTGCTTCCTCTTGATTTACACCTCCAACAAAGTATTCAGTAAATCATGAAGAAGGGAGGAATTTTTTTTACTTGTTTCTGATTTCATTAGGAAGATCTCTAGTGTTTCTCCTTTAAATAAGATGCTCTCATTACTTTCAGAAAATGTTCATCACTTCTTATTTTATTGAGTATTATCGTAATGAATGGGTGTTAAAATTTGATTTTTCTGAGTCTTTGGAGTTGATTATATAATTTCTTAATAGAATGCATTGTATTAGACTCCTGGGAATCTTAGAATAAACTTACTTAGTCATGATGTATTTTTATGTGTTGTTGTAATTTTGGGTCATATATGGTTAATAGTTTTGCAGTGATGGCACAGTGAGACTGGTCTACAATTTTCTTTTTAGGTGTAATTCTAAAATATAGGTTTTGTTGTTACTTAGATATGGCAAGGTCAGTAGATTAGGAGACGACTGCCACTGTGAGTGTGTGCCACTATGAGTATGTTTGTCATACTCATAGATCCCAAGTGGAGGGGCATGGAGGTGCCAAACAGAAAAGTACTGGGGTCTATCAGGAGCTAGAGGGAGGAGGGGATAATAATAGCCAGAGCTTTTACTGTGACTTGTAGCACTAGCATTGGCCAATGTCAAAAATAAAAACAGGTTAGAAAAATTTTTAAAGTTTATTGTCAGATGGTAAGAGAAAGTGCAGATTGCAATCCAGGGGATACCAAACCAAATGATAAGAAATTCTGCTCATAGCAGTTACAATACAATTTATAAAGCATAAAGGAGGAAGTATTTTGATTTTTTTTCTTTGGATTGGCTGTTATACATTAACATTCTTTTTAAGGTAAACAGAGCTATTTAAGATGACTTATCTGTATCTGATTGGTTTAATTTCACTGAATCAGTTTGACAAGGAAAAGTTCACATTCTGTGTTTTATGATTAGAGTTAGTGTCAGGGAAATCAGGACGGCTTATGTTTCAGCTACATGATTATGGGTAGTTAGCCTTGGGGTATATCTGAACTGAGGCCTGCATTTTAATTTTTCTTTAATACTACTATCAATAATTTCAGCAGGCCCTAGGCCATACAGGTTGTCCCTGGTCATTTGGTACCTGAGACTGAGGTGATCAGGCAGGTGGATAATGGCCCTGAGTGTGAGAACCTAAAAAAGGAAGTAGTTGCGTTATTGGCTCTGAATAGTTGGTTTGTGTTTAAAGGATGCGCTGCGCTATGGGCAAGGTGTTTTTACTATCTCTAAGAATTGGCTAACCCTCGGGGGCAGTCCCTCCAAGGTCAGCAAGTCCTAAGATATCAAAGCATCAGAATATAGAAAATAAAAGACATGGTTAATACATATGGCAAGTTGTATTTTTTTCCTGTAAAATATCATTTAAACTAAGTTTTCAAATTTATTTGCAAAGAGTTGTTCTTAGTTGTGTTTATTCTGATTGTCATTTCCTGTGGTTTTTGTCTAATTTGTCTATTTTGACTTCCCTCCACCCTTTTTTGCATTAGGTTAGCATTGGTTTGGTTTGTTAATCTTTTTCAAAGAAATAGCTTTTATATTCATTTTTTTCTAAAAAATTATTTTCAGATTTTATCTTACCCCTTTTTCTTTTTGGGGTGGGTAATTGATTTAAGCTGTTTAGGTTGGATGTTTATTTTCAGTTTTATTGATAAATGTATTTATGCTATAAATGGTCCTCTGGTAATTGCTTTAGCCCTGTCATAGGTTCAGATGTTGTGTATTCATTGATTTTATTATAAAGAAATACTGTGATTTGGTTTCATAGTTCTCCTTTGAGTTGTTTAATACCATGCTTTTAATTTTCAGAGATAAGGCTCTTTTTGTGTTAACATTTTGGTCACAGAGTGCTGTATTAGTTCTAATTTTGGTATTGATCTACCATTTCTTGTGACCTAAGATATAGCAATTTTCATAAATGTTTTGTTTACCCTTGAAAAAAGATATATTATCTATTGAAGTTTAGGGTTTTATATATAAGACCTTGTTGATTTGTTATTTAGGTTTTCTATAGTCTTACAATTTTTTGTCCGCTTGATCTTTCTTGGATTAGGAGAGGTGTGTTAAATTCTTCTAAAATCTTTTAAATATGGTTTTATGTATTCTCTTTGAATATTCTGCAGTTTCCACTTTATGTAATGTTTTGCTGTGTTACTGGGAACAGAAATTTTAATTATTAATATGTTTTCATTGTGAATTATACCTTTAGCATTTTTAATATTCTTTTTCTCCTTTAATGCTTTTTGTTTTGAATTCTTCCTTTTCAAATATAAACATTGTGATCATTGCCTTTTATTTATTTGCATTTTCCTTGTATTCACTGCCCACCCTTAAATTTTCCTGAATCTCTCTCCTTTAAAATTATATAAATTTTAGGTATATAAATATGTGTGCTTCTTATATATAGCATAATGCTGTATTTTGCTCTTTTAGATGATCTGAGATGTTTGGTTTCAGTTCTGTGTTTTTTTGCACACATATGTGTATATAAAATATTTCACTATATGGTATATACATTTTTACTTTGGTATTTATTGATACATATCTCCTTTTCTATTATTTACTTTTTTATTTTTAATTTTTTTTGGTACATAGTAGGTGTATATATTTATGGTGTGCATGAGATGTTTTGATACAGGTATGCAATGTGAAATAAGCACATGATGGAGATCAGGATGTCCATTCCCTCAAGCATTTATTCTTTGAGTTACAAACAATACAATTACACTCTTTACGTTATTTTAAAATGTATAATTAAGCTATTATTGATTCTAGTCACCTTATTGTGCTATCGAATTTTAGGCCTTATTCATACTTTCTGTTTTTTCCTACGCATTGACTATCCCCATATCCCCCTTACCCTCCCACTACTCTTCCCAGCTTCTGGTAACCATCCTTCCACTCTCTATGTCCACGAGTTCAAAGGTTCTGAGCTTTATATCCCATAAATGAGTGAAAGCATCCAATGTTTGTCTTTCTGTGCCTGGCTTATTTTACTTAACCTAGTGATTTCTAGTTCCATCCATGTTGTTGCAAATGACTAGATCTCATTCTTTTTTTGTGGCTGAATAGTACTCCGCTATGTACATGTACCACATTTTTTTTAATCCATTCATCTGTTGATAGACACTTAGGTTGCTTCCAAATCTTAGTATTGTAAACAGTGCTGCAACAAACATGGGAGTGCAGATATTTCTTTGATATTCTGATTTCCTTTTTGTGGGGTGTTTACCAAGCAATGGGATTTGGCTGGATGATATGGTAGCTCAATTTTTAGTTTCTTGAGGAACCTCCAAACTGTTCTCCATAGTGGTCTTACTAATTTACATTCCCACCAACAGTGTACAGAGTTTCCCTTTTCTCCACATTTTTGCCAGGATTTGTTGTTGCCTGTCTGTTGGATATAAGCAGTTTTAACTGGGGCAAGATAATGCCTCATTGTAGTTTTGGTTTGCATTTCTCTGATGACCAATGATGTTGAGCACCATTTCATGTGCCTGCTTGCCATTTGTCTTTTTGAGAAATGAGTTTTTGGATAACAGGTGGTTTTTGGTTACATGGATAAGTTCTTTAGTAGTGACTTCTGAGATTTTTGTGCACCTTTCACCCGAGCAGTGTACACTGTACTCAGTGTGTACTCTTTTATCCCTCACCTCCCTCTCATCCTTTCCTCCAAATCCCCAAAGTCTATTATATCACTCTTATGCCTTTGCATCTTCATAGCTTGGCCCCCACTTGAAAGGGAGGATGTATTTGGTGTTTCATTCCTGAGTTACATCACTTCGAATAATATTCTCCAACTCCATCCAGGTTGCTGTGAATGCCATTATTTCATTGCTTTTTGTGGGTGAGTAGTATTCCACGGTGTACACATACCATATTTGCTTCATGCACTGGTTGATTGATGGGCATTTAGGCTGGTTTATATATATATATATATATATATATATATATATATATATATATATACACACACACACACACACACACACACACACACACACACACACACACATATATATAATTTATTAAATAAATAAAGTTTATTTAATAAATATAAAAATATAAAATTTAGGCTGGTTTATATATATATTATTTATTGAATAAATAAAATATATATTATTTATTGAATAAATAAAATATATATTATTTATTGAATAAATAAAATATATTTTATTTATTTATTTATTTATTTTGAGACAGAGTATCACCCTGTCACCCAGGCTGGAGTGCAGTGGCACAGTCTCGGCTCACTGCAACCTCCGCCTCGCAGGTTCAAGCGATTCTCCTGCCTCAGCCTCCCAAGTGTCTGGGATTACAGGTGCACACCACCATGCCTAGCTAATTTTTGTATTTTTAGTAGAGACAGGGTTTCACCATGCTGGCCAGGCTGGTCTCAAACTCCTGACCACTTGATCTGCCCACCTTGACCTCCCAAAGTGCTGGGATTATAGGTGTGAGCCATCATGCCCAGTGAGTTTCATATATTTGCAATTGCAAATTGTGCTGCTATAAACATGGGTGCTCAAGTGTCTCTTTCACATAATAACTTCTTTTCTTATGGGTAGTTACCTGTAGTAGGATTGCTGAATGAAAAGGTAGTTTTACTTTTAGTTCTTTAAGGAATTTCTTTAAGGAATCTCTTAAGTTCTTTAAGGAATTAAAATTGTTTTCCACAGTGGTTGCACTAGTTTACATTTCTGCCAGTAATGTAAAAGTGCTCCCTTTTCCCCACATCTACCCCAACATCTATTATTTTTTGATTTTTAAATTATGGCTATTCTTGCAGGAGTAAGGTGGTATCGCATTGTGGTTTTGATTTGCATTTCCCTGATCATTAATGAATTTGAGCATTTTTTAATATGTTTGTTGGCCATTTGTATAGCTTCTTTTGAGAATTATCTGTTCATGTCCCTTGCCCACTTTTGATGGTATTATTTTTTTTTCATGCTGCTTTGTTTGAGTTTCCTGTAGATTCTGGATATTAGTCCTTTGTCAGATGTATGGTTAGTGAATATTTTCTCCCACTTTGTGGGTTGTCTGTTACTGTGCTGATTATTTCTATTGCTGTGCAGAAGCTTTTTCATTTAATGAAGTCCCATCTATTTACCTTTGTTTTTGTTGCATTTGCTTTGAGTTCTTGCTCATGAAATCTTTGCCTAAGCCAATGTCTTGAAGAGTTTTTCCAATGTTATCCTCTAGAATTTTTATGTTTTCAGGTCTTAGATTTAAGTATTTGATCCATCTTGAGTTGGTTTTTGCATAAGGTGAGAGATGAGGATCCAGTTTCATTCTTCTACATGTGGCTTGCCAATTATCCCAGCACCATTTGTTGTATAGGGTGTTGTTTCTCCACTTTATGTTTTTGTTTGCTTTGTTGAAGATCAGTTGTCTGTAAGAATTTGGCTTTATTTCTGGGTTCTCTATTCTGTTCCATTGGTCTACAAGCCTGTTCTTATACAAGTACTATGCTGTTTTGGTAACTATAGTGTTATAGTATAATTTGAAGTTGGATAATGTGATACCTCCGGACTTGTTCCTTTGCTTGGTCTTGTTTTGGCTATGTGGGTTCTTTTTTGGTTCAATATGAATTTTAGGATAGTTTTTTCTAGTTCTGTGAAGAATGATGATGGTATTTTTGATGGGAATGGCATTGAAGCTGTAGATTGCTTTTGGCAGTTTGGTCATTTTCACAATATTGATTCTACTCATCCATGAGTATGGAATGTGTTTCCATTTGTTTATGTCATCTATGATTTCTTTCAGCAGTGTTTTATAGTTTTCCTTGTAGAAATCTTTCACCTCTTTGGTTAGGTATAGTCCTGATATGGTTGGCTGTGTCTCCACCTAAATCTCACCTTAAATTGTAGTAATTTCCACATGTCAAGGGCAGGGCCAGGTGGAGATAATTAAATTATGGGGGCTGTTTCCCCCATATTCTTCTTGTGATAGTGAATAAGTCTCATGAGATCTGATGGCTTTATAAATGGGAGTTCCCCTGCACAAGCTGTCTTGTCTACCACCTTGTAAGACGTGACTTTGCTCCTCATTTGCCTTCAGCCATGATTGTGAGGCCTCCCCAGCCATGCTGAGCTGTGAGTCTATTAAATCTCTTTTCTTTATAAATTACCCAGTCTCAGGTATGTCTTCATTAGCAGCATGAGAACACACTAGTACAGTAAATTGGTAACAGGTAGTGGGGTGCTGCTGTAAAGATACCCAGAAATGGGGAAGTAACTTTGGAACTAGGTAGAAGTTGGAACAATGTGGAGGGCTCAGAAGAAGACAGGAAAATGTGAGAATGTTTGGAACTTCCTAGAGACTTGAATGGCTTTGACCAAAATGATGATAGTGACATGGACAATTAAGTCCAGGCTGAGGTGGTCTCAGACGGAGATGAGGAACTTGTGGGAAGTGGAGTAAAGGTCACTCTTTCTATGCAAAGAGACTGGCACATTTTTTCCCTGCCCTAGAGTTCTGTGGAACTTTGAACTTGAGAGAGATGATTTAGGGTATCTGGAGGAAGAACGTTCTAAGTGGCTAAGCACTTAAGATTAAGCAGAGCGTAAAAGTTTGGAAAATTTGCAGCCTGACAATGAGCGAGAAAAGAAATACCCATTTTCTGAGGAGAAATTCAAGCCTGCTGCAGAAATTTGCATAAGTAACAAGGAGCTGGATGTTAATCCCCAAGACAATGGGGAAAATGTCTCCAGGGCATGTCAGAGACCTTTATGGCAGTTCCTTCCATCACACGCCTGGAGGCCTAGGAGGAAAAAGGTTTTGTGGGCCAGCCCCCAGGGCTGCTGTGTGCAGCCCTAGGACTTGGTGTCCTGCATCCCAGCTGCTCCACCTGTGGCAAAAAAAGCACCAAAGTGTAGCTCAGGCTATGGCTTCAGAAGGTACAAACTCCAAGTCTTGGCAGCTTCCACATGGTGTTGAGCCTGTGGATACACAGAAGTCAAGAATTTAGGTTTGGGAACCTCTGCCTGGATTTCAGAGAATGTATTAAGATGCCTGGATATCCAGGCATAGATTTGCTGCAGGGGTGGAGCCCTCATGGAGAACCTCTGCTGGGGCAGTACAGAAGAGAAATGTGGGGTTGGAGCCCCCACATTGAGTGCCTACTGGGGTATTGCCTAATGGAGCTGTGAGAAGAGGGCCACTATTCTCCAGACCCCAGAATGGTAGATTCACTGACAGCTTGCACTATGTACCTAGGAAAGCCACAGATACTCAATGCCAGCCTGTGAAAGCAGACAGGAGGGAGGCTGTGCCCTGCAAAGCCACAGGGGCAGAGCTGCCAAAGCCATGGGAGCCGCCTCTTGCATCAGCATGCCCTAAATGTGAGACATGGAGTCAAAGGAGATCATTTAGAAACTTTAATATTTAATGACTCCCCTATTGGATTTTGGACTTTCATGGGGTCTGTAGCCCCTTCGTTTTGTCCAATTTCTCCTATTTGGAAGAGGTGTATTTATCCAAAGCCTGTACTCTATTGTATCTGGGAAGTAACTAACTTGCTGTTGATTTTACAGGCTCATAAGGTAAAAGGTACTTACCTTGTTGTCTCAGATGAGACTTTCTACTGTGGACTTTTGAGTTAATGCTGAAATGAGTTAAGACCTTGAGGAACTGTTGGGAAGGCATGATTGGTTTTGAAATGTGAAGACATGAGATTTGGGAGGGGCCAGGGATGAAATGATATGGTTTGGCTATGTCCCCACCCAAATCTCACGTTGAATTGTAATAATTCCCATGTGCCAAGGGTGGGGCCAGGTGTACATAATTGAATCGGGGGGCTGTTTTTCCCATACTGTTCTCATGGTGGTGAATAAGTCTCATGAAATCTGACGGTTTCCCTGCACACAGTCTCTTGCCTGCTGCCATGTAAGATGTGAATTTCCTTCTCATTTGCCTCAGCCATGATTGTGAGGCCTCCCCAGCCTGCTGAATTGTGAGTCAATTAAACCTCTTTCCTTTATAAATTACCCAGTCTTGTATATGTCTTTACTAGCAGTATGAGAACAGACTAATACTATTCCTAAGTATTTTATTTTATTTTATTTATTTTATTTTATTTTATTTTATTTTATTTTGCAGCTGTTGTTGGGTTCTTGATTTGATTCTTAGCTCCATCACTGTTGGTGTATAGCAGTGCTGCTGACTTGTGTGCATTGATTTTGTATCCTGAAAGTTTATAGAATTAATTCATCAGATTTAGGAGTTTTTTGGATGAGTCTTCTGGGTTTTCTAGATATATGATCATACCATCAGCGAACAGTGACAATTTGACTTCCTGTTTACCTATTTGGATGCCCTTTATTTCTTTCTCTTGTCTGATTGCTCTGGCTAGAACTTCTGTACTATGTTGAATAGACTTGATGAAAGCGGGCATCCATGTCTTGTTCCAGTTCTCAGGGGAGTTCTTTCAACTTCTCCCTATTCAGTATAATGTTGGCTGTGGGTTTGTCATAGATGGCTTTTATTACCTTGAGGTATGTTTTTTCTATGCCAATATTGCTGAGGTTTTAATCATAAAGTCGTGCTGGATTTTGTTAAATGCTTTTTCTGCTTCTATTGAGATGATCATATGATTTTTGTTTTCAATTCTGATTATGTGATCTATCATATTTATTTATTTGCATATGTTAAACCACCCCTGCATCCCTCGTATGAAACCCACTTGATCATGGTGGATTATCTTTTTGATATACTGTTGGCGTCTGTTGTCTAGTGTTTTGTTGATGATCTTTGCATCTATGTTCATCAGATAATGGTCCGTAGTTTTCTTTTTGTGTTATATTCTTCCCTGGTTTTGCTATTAGGGTGATAATGGCTTCATAGTATGATTTAGGGACAATTTGTTCTCTGTCTGTCTTTTAGAATAGTTTCAGTAAGATTGGTATCAATTCTTTTCTGAATGTCTGATAGAATTCAGCTGTGAATGCATCTGGTCCTGGACTTTTTCTATTGGCTATTTTTTTTATTGCCATTTCAATTCATCCTCTATCTGTTCAGTGTTTTTATTCCTTCCTGATTTAACCTAGGAGAATTGTATATTCCCAGGAAGTTATCCATCTCCTCTAGATTTTCTAGTTTGCATGTGTAGGTGTTCACAGTATCCTTGAATGATCTTTTGTATTTCTGTGGTATCAGTTGTAATGTTTCTTGTTTCATGTCTAATTGAACTTATTTCGATATTCTCTCTTCTTTTCTTGGTAATCTCACTAATGGTCTATCAATGTTATGGATCTGTTAAGAGAATCTGGTTTTTGTTTCATTTATGTTTTGTATTTTTTTGTATGAATTTCATGTAGTTCTGCTTTGATATTTGTTATTTCTTTTTTTTTCTGCTGGGTTTGGGTTTGGTTTGTTCTTGTTTCTCTAGTTTTTTGAGGTGTAACCTTAGACTGTTTACTTGTGCTCTTTCAGACTTTTTGTGTAGGCATTTAATCCTATGAACTTTCTTAGCACTGTTTTTGCTGTATCCCAGAGGTTTTGATAAGTTGTGTTACTATTATTGTTCAGTCCAAAGAATTGTTTCATATTCATCCTCATTTCAATGTTGACCCAAAGATCATTCAAGAGCAGATTATTTAATTTTTATGTATATGTATAGTTTTAGGGTTCCTTTTGGAATTAATTTCCAGTTTAATTCCACTGTGTTCAGAGAGAGTACTTGATATAATTTAGATTTTCTTAAGTTTATTGAGGCTTTTTTGGTGACATATTATATGGCCTATCTTGGAGAATGTTCCATGTGCAGATCAAAAGAATGTGTATTCTGCAGTTGTTGGGTAAAATGTTCTGTAGATGTCTAAGTCTATTTGTTCTAGGGTATAGTTCGAGTCCATTGTTTCTTCTTTGACTTTCTGTCTTGATGACCTGGCTAGTGCTGTCAATGGAGTATTAAAGCTCCCCACTATTATCGTGTTGTCACCTATCTCATTTATTAGGTCTAGTAGTAATTGTTTTGTAAATTTGGGAGCTCCAGTGTTAGATGCATATATATTTGGAATTGTGATTTTTTGCTGTTGAACTAATCCTTTTATTATTATTATTGTTATTATGTCCCTCCTTGTCTATTTTTTACTGTTGTTGCTTTAAAATCTGTTTTGTTTGATACAAGAATAGCTACTCCTGCTTGCATTTGGTTTCCATTTGTGTGGAATATCTTTTACCACCCCTTTACCTTATGTTTATGTGAACCTTTATGCATTAGCTAAGTCCCTTGAAGATCTCAGATACCTTGTAGGTGGATTTTTATCCATTCTGCCGGTGTGTATCTTTAAAGTGGAGCATTTAGGCCATTTACATTTAAAGTTAGTATAGAGATGTGAGGTACTATTCTATTTGTTATGCTGGTTGTTGCCTTAATACCTTGGGTTTTTTCCCATTGTGTTATTGTTTTATAGGTCATGTGAAATGCATCATTTAATTAAGATCTATTTTGGTGTATTTCAAGGTTTTGTTCAGTATTTACAACTCCTTTGAACATTTCTTGTGGTGCTGGCTTGGTAGTGGTGAATTCTCTCAGCATTTGTTTTTCTGAAAAAGACCTTACCTCTCCTTCACTTATGAGGCTTAGTTTTTCTGAGTACAAAATTCTTGGCTGACCATTATTTTGTTTCAAGAGGCTAAAGATGGGACCCCAGTCCCTTCTGGCTTGTAATGTTTCTGCTGAGAAATCTGCTGTTAATCTGATATGTTTTCCTTTCTAGGTAATCTGATGCTTTTGCCTCATAGCTCTTCAGATTCTTTCCTTTGTCTTGACTTTAGATAACCTGATGACTATGTATGTAGGTGAAGATCTTTTTGTGATGAATTTCCCATGTGTTCTTTGAGCTTCTTGTGTTTGGATGTCTAGATCTCTATCAAGGCCAGGGAAGTTTTCCTCAATCATTCCCTCAAATAAATTTTCCTCACTTTCATACTTCTCTTTTTCCTCAGGAACACCAATTATTCTTTGGTTTGGTATTTAACATAATCTCAAATTTATTGGAGGCTTTTTTTAATTCTTTTTTCTTTGTCTCTGTCTTATTGGTTAATTCAAAAGGCTTGTCTTCAAGCTCTGAAGCTCTTTCCAGTATATTTTGTACTTCTCTGAGTGTGTTTTTCATTTCTAGAAGTTGTGATTGTTTTTTTCTTTGTGATACCTATTTCTCTGGAGAATTTTTAATCCATATCCCATATTGCTTTTTGAATTTTTTAAAGTCGGTTTTTACCTTTCCCTGCTGTCTCCTTGAGTATCTTAATAACCAACCTTCTGAATTCTTTATCTGGCAATTCAGAGACTTCATCTTGGTTTGGATCCATTTCTGGGGAGCTGGTATGATCTTTTGGGGGTGTTATAGGACCCTCTTTTTTCATATTACCAGAATTACTTTTCTGGTTCTTCTAAGTTGGATATATTATGTCAGTGTTTCCAGTCTGGAAACACTTTTCAGTCTGGAACTCAAGGCCTGCTGTTGATTTCTCTGCTCCCATGGGTTGATCCTTTGGCGTGGTGCTCTCCCCTATCCCTTAGGATGGGGCTTCTTGAGAGCTAGACTGCAGGGATTGTTATTGCTCTCTTGGGTCTAACCACCCAGCAGGGCAAGATGGCTCCAGGCTGGTGGTAGGGAATGTCTACAAAGACTCCTGTGATTTGTCTTCAAGTCTCCCCACTGTGGCTACCAGCATCTGCTCTGGTGGAGGTGGCAGGGGAAGGAAGAAGATTCTGTGAGAGTCCTTGGTTTTAGATATGTTTAGCTTGCTAGCTTTCTCAAATGCTGGTTATACTAGCAGTGAAGTTGTCATGTGTACACACTCGGGACCTCTGGTTAGCCAGGATGTTGCAGGCAGTGGAATTAGGTGTTGTCTTCTCCTTCCTGGAACTGGAGTTATTCTGTCATGAGTTGCTGTAATGGGCTACATTGGTTGGCCTCCAGCCAGGAGGTGGTGCTTTCAAGAGAGTACGAACTGCTTTAGTAGTAGGGGGCTCTAAGCTTGCTCTAAGTTGGACAGCATATGGGAAGGGCCATAAAGCTCCAAAGAGTTTCTGTATTTTGTGTTTGGCTCCCAGGGCAGGTAGAGAAATACCATCAAGTGGGGGCAGGGTTAGGCAAGTCTGGACTCAAGCTCTTCTTGGGCGGGGCTTGCTGTGGCTACTGTGGGGAATGGGGAATGGTTCTCAGGCCAATGGTGTTAGTTCCGTAGGAGACCTTGGCTACCTCTGCTGTTTCATATAGTTTGCCAGGAAAGTGGGGGATAGCTGGTAGCAAGAGGCCTCACCCAGGTCCTACGCAGTTGGTGAGGCCAGTTTCACTCCTGCAGTGCCCTGTTGAGAACCTGCCTGAGGCTGTGAGCTTCCCTGCTGAAAAAGCAAGCATGGCTTTCAGACCTTGACCCTCCCTGTCTGCTGACTCCATTGGCGGTGTCTCCTGTGCTTCTGTACTCATACCTGTAGCAGCTCCCACTCATCCTCTGGATTCTGCTCAAGAAAATTTGTGCCTAGTCGAAACCACTATCAATTTCAGTTGGAAGATTCCTTCACCCTATGACTCCCCCTTCCCAATTGTGCTGGCTGCCTTCCCCAAGAACCCCTGTGAGATATAGTCAGAGATAGCTTCCCTGGGCTCAAGCTGAAGACTCAGAGTGTTTGCAAGGCACTTCCTGTTGCTGCTTCTACTTTTATATTTATCATGACTCCTTAAATCCATTTCAGCTCTAGGTAAGGTGAAATCCTTTCTCCCTGATCTGTATTTTCAGATTCCCCAGTGGGGATGTGTGTTCAGAGGCAGGTTTTCCCCATCTCACACTTGGGGAACTCACAGTTTCTTGCCTGTTTCACAGAATTTGCAGTGGCATGCTGCTCCTTTCAAAGGATCTGTGAATTATTTAAATTTTCCTGGTACATTCCTGTGGTAGTTCTTGGAGCAAAAAATCACAGTGTGAGTCTCCACATGCTGTTCTGTCTGTCCAAGTGGGAGCTGCATGTTAGCCTTGTCTCCCATCTGCCATCCTCCCAAACAATCACCTCTGTATTATTAGTTGTTTTTTCTTATTGGGTTGTTTGAGTTGTTTGAGCTCCTTATGTAGTCTGGTTATTAATCCCTTGTCAGATGGGTAGTTTGCAAATAATTTCTCCCATTTTGTCGGTTGTTTCTTCACTTTGTTGATTGTATCTTTTGCTGTACAGAAGCTTGTTTACTTGATGTGATCCCGTTTGTCCATTTTTGCTTTGGTTATGTGCACTTGTGGGGTATTGCTCAAGAATTTTATGCCCAGACAAGTGTCCTGGAGATTTTTCCCAATGTTTTCTGATAGTAGTTTTATAGTTAGCAGTCTTAG
This sequence comes from Homo sapiens, assembly GCF_000001405.40. Lineage (NCBI taxonomy): Eukaryota > Metazoa > Chordata > Mammalia > Primates > Hominidae > Homo > Homo sapiens. The sequence goes on from NC_000002.12 coordinate 153,091,983, forward strand.
ATTTAAGTATTTTATCCATTTTTATTTGAGTTTTGTACATAGTGAGAGATAGAGGTCTAGTTTCATTCTTCTGCATATGGGTATCTAGTTTTCCCAGAACCACATATTGAAGAGACTGTCTTTTTTGCAGTGTATGTTTTTGGCACCTTTGTCAAAAATGAGTTCACTCTAGGTGTGCAGATTTGTTTCTGAGTTCTCTATTCTGTTCCTTTGGTTATGTGTCTGTTGTTATGCTACTACCATGCTGTTTTGATGACTGTGGCTCTAGAGTATAATTTGAAGTCAAGTAATGTGATTTCCTCCGTTTTGTTCCTTTTTTAGGATAGCCTTGACTATTCTGGGTCTTTTGTGGTTTCATATACATTTTAGGATCTTTTTTTCTATTTCTGTGAAGAATATCATTTGTATTTTGATAGGGATTACATTGAGTCTGTAGATTGCTTAGGGTACTATGGATATTTTAACAAGATTCATGCTTCCAATCCAAGAATGTGGAATATTTTTCTATTTTTTGGTGTCCTCTTCAATTTCTTTCATCAGTGTTTTATAGTTTTTATTATAGAGATATTTTATTTCTTTAGTTAATTCCTGGATATTTAATTTTATGTGTGACTATTGTAAATGAGATTACTTTCTGATTTCTTTCTCATGTTATTCACTGTTGGCATATAGAAATGCTACTGAATTTTGTATGTTGATTTTGTATTCTGCAGCTTTACTGAATTTGTATATCAGTTCTAATATTTTTCTTGTGGCATCTAGGATTTTCCAAATATAAGATCATATCATCTGCAAAACAAAGATAATTTAACTTCATCCTTTCCAATTTTAATTTCCTCTCTTTCACTTTTCTATTGCTTCCATGGTACTAGAAGTGCAACATAGCACAGGAATTACAGTACCATGTTGAATAACAGTGGTGACAGTGGGCATCCTTGTCATGTTCCAGACCTTAGAGGAAAGGCTTTCAGTTTTTTCCCATTTAATATATTAGCTGTTGGTCTGTCACATATGGTTTTTATTATGTTGAGGTATATGCCTTCTATCCTCAGTTTTTGAGGTTTTTTTTTTAATCATGAAGAGATCTTGAATTTTATCAAATGCTTTTTCAGCATCAATAGAATTTATCACCTGGTTTTTATCCTTCATTCTCTTGTATAGTGTACCACATTGATTACATGTGTTGACCCATCCTTGTATTCCAGGGATAAATTCCACTTGGTCATGATGAAGGATCTTTCTTTTTTTCTTTTCTTTTCTTTTTTTTTTTTGTGGACATGGAGTCTTGCTCTGTTGCCCAGGCTGGAGTGCAGTGGCATGATCTCAGCTCACTGCAACCTCCACCTGCTGGGTTCAAGCAATTCTCCTACCTCAGCCTCTCGAGTAGCTGGGACTACAGATGCATGCCACCATGCCTGGCTACTTTTTTGTATTTTAGTAGAGACAGGGTTTCACCATTGTTGCCAGGCTGGTCTCGAACTCCTGAGCTCAGGCAATCCACCCGCCTCGGCCTCCCAAAGTGCTAGGATTACAGGCATGAGCCACCGTGTGTGGCTGATGAAGGATCTTTCTAATGTATTGTTGAATTCAGTTTGCTAGTATTTTGTTGAGGATTTTTGCATCAATATTCATCAGTAACATTGGCCAGTAGTTTTCTTTTTTTGATGTGTGTTTGTCTGGTTTTAGTTTCAGGGTAATATTGGCCTCACAGAATGAGTTTGGAAGTATTCACTCCTCCTCTAGTTTTTGGAATAGTTTGAGTAGGATTGATGTTAGTTCTTCTTTAAATGTTTGGTAGAATTCAGTAGTGAAGCATCAGGTCCTGGGCCTTTCTTTACTGGGAGACTTTTTATTATAACTTCAATTTCATTACTTTTTATTGGTCTGTGCAGGTTTTGGATTTCTTCCTGGTTCAATCTTGCTAGGTTGTGTGTATCTAGGAATTTGTCCTTTTCTTCTAGATTTTCTAATTTATTAGCATGTAGTTGCTCACAGTGGCCACTAATGATCCTTTGAATTTCTGCAGTATCAATTGTAATGTCCCCTTTTTTCATTATTGATTTTATTTATTTGGATCATCTCTCTCTGTTTTTCTTAGCCTGACTAAAGTTTGTCCATTTTGTTTAACTTTTAGAAAAAATCTTTTGTATTGTTTATTACAATTTTATTTGTGTTCTGACTTTATTTTTTTCATATTAAATTTGGGTTTGGTTTTCCCTTTTTTCATTCCTTAAGATGCATTGTTGGATTATTTATTTTTTGATGTAGGCACTTATAGCTATAACTTCCCTCTGTATACTGCGTTTTTTGTATCTGATATGTTTTGGTATGTTGTGTTTCCAATATAATTTGTTTCAAGACCTCTTCAAGGAGAACTACAAACCACTGCTCAATGAAATAAAAGAGGACACAAACAAATGGAAGAACATTCCATGCTCATGGATAGGAAGAATCAATATTGTGAAAATGGCCATACTGCCCAAGGTAATTTAGAGATTCAATGCCATCCCCATCAAGCTACCAATGACTTTCTTCACAGAATTGGAAAAAACTACTTTAAAGTTCATATGGAACCAAAAAAGAGCCCGCATTGCCAAGACAATCCTAAGCCAAAAGAACAAAGCTGGAGGCATCATGCTACCTGACTTCAAACTATACTACAAGGCTACAGTAACCAAAATAGCATGGTGCTGGTACCAAAACAGAGATACAGACCAATGGAACAGAACAGAGCCCTCAGAAACAATAACACACATCTATAACCATCTGATCTTTGACAATCCTGACAAAAACAAGAAATGGGGAAAGGATTCCCTATTTAATAAATGGTGCTGGGAAAACTGCCTAGCCATATGTAGAAAGCTGAAACTGGATCCCTTCCTTACACCTTATACAAAAATTAATTCGAGATGGATTAAGGACTTAAATTTTAGACCTAAAACCATAAAAACCCTAGAAGAGAACCTAGGCAATACCATTCAGGACATAGGCATGGGCAAGGACTTCATGACTAAAACACCAAAAGCAATGGCAACAAAAGCCAAAATTGACAAATGGGATCTAATTAAACTAAAGAGCTTCTGCACAGCAAAAGAAACTACCATCAGAGTGAACAGGCAACCTACAGAATGGGAGAAAATTTTTGCAATCTACCCATCTGATAAAGGGCTAATATCCAGAATTTACAAAGAACTCCAACAAATTTACAAGAAAAAATCAAACAACCCCATCAAAAATTGGGCAAAGGATATGAACAGATACTTCTCAAAAGAAGACATTTATGCAGCCAACAGACACATGAAAAAATGCTCATCATCACTGGCCATCAGAGAAATGCAAATCAAAACCACAATGAGATGCCATCTCATACCAGTTAGAATGGCGATCATTAAAAAGTCAGGAAACAACAAGTGCTGGAGAGGATGTGGAGAAATAGGAACTTTTACACTGTTGATGGAACTGTAAACTAGTTCAACCATTGTGGAAGACAATGTGGCAATTCCTCAAGGATCTAGGACTAGAAATACCATTTGATCCAGTCATCCCATTACTGGGTATATACCCAAAGGATTATAAATCATGCTGCTATAAAGACACATGCACACATATGTTTATTGCAGCACTATTCACAATAGCAAAGACTTGGAACCAACCCAAATGTCCATCAATGATAGACTGGATTAAGAAAATGTGGCACATATACACCATGGAATACTATGCAGCCATTAAAAAGGATGAGTTCATGTGCTTTGTAGGGACCTGGATGAAGCTGGAAACCATCATTCTCAGCAAACTATCACAAGGACAGAAAACCAAACACTGGATGTTCTCACTCATAGGTGGGAATTGAACAATGAAACACTTGGACACAGGATGGGGAACATCACACACCGGGGCCTGTCATGGGGTGGGGGGAGCGGGGAGGGATAGCATTAGGAGATATACCTAATGTAAATGATGAGTTAATGGGTGCAGCATACCAACATGGCACATGTATAGATATGTAACCTGCATGTTGTGCACATGTACCCTAGAACTTAAAGTATAATAAAATAAGTAAATAAATAAATAAATAAATAAATATAATTAGCTTCAAAAAAACAAATTTTTCAGTTTTCTTCTTAATTTCTTCATTGACCCATTGGTCTTTCAGAAACATATTGTTTAATTTCCATGTACTTGTATAATTTCCAAAATTATTCATGTTATTCTAGTCTTATTCCACTGTGGTCAGAGAAGATACTTGATATTATTTTAGTTTGTTTTTTTTTGGAATGTTTTAAGATTTTTTTTTGTGACCTAACATATGGTCTATCCTTGAGAATGATCCATGTACTAAGGAACAGAATGTGTATTCTACAGCCATTCGATAAAATGTTCTATAAATATCTATTAGATTCCTTTGGTCTATAATGCAGATGAGCCCTGATAGTTCTTTGATTTTTCTGTTTTGAAGATCTGTCCAGTGCTGAAAGTGGCATGTTGAAGTCTCCAGGTATTATCGAATTGGAGTCTATTTCTCTCTTTAGCTCTAATAATATTTACTTTATATATCTGGCTTCTCCAGTGTTGGTTGTATATTTAAAATTGTTATATCCACTTGTTGAATTGACTCCTTTATTAGTGTGTAGTGACCTCCTTTGTCTCTTTTTATGGTTTTGGCCTTGGAATCTATTTTGTCTAATGTAAGTATAGTGACTCCTGTTCTTTTTTGGCTTTCACTGGCATGAAATATCTTTTTCTATCCCTTTATTTTCAATCTGTGTATGTCTTTATAGGTGAAGTGTGTTTATTATAGCCAACAGATTAATGAGTCTTGTTTATTTTATCCTTTTAGCCAGTCTATGTCTTTTGATTGTAAAGTTTAGTTCATTTACATTCAATGTTATTATTGACAAGTAAGGACTTACTCCTGTCAATTTGTTATTTGTTTTCTGTTGATTTTGTGGTCTTCTTTTCCTTCTTTCATTTATTCCAGTCTTCTTTTTATTGAAGGTAATTTTCTCTGGTGATATGATTTATTTTTTTGCTTTTTATCTGTTGTGTGTTCGTTGTATGTTTTTTGGTTTGATGTTACCATGATGCTTGCTAATACTATTTTATAACCTATTATTTTAAACTTATAACAAAACTGTTTGGATAAACAAGCAAAAGGAAAACTAATAAAAACTCTATGCCTTAATTTTGTCCCCCGCTTTGTAACTTATACTGTTTCTATTTATATTTTATTGTACTGAATGTCTTGAAAAATTGTTGTAATTATTATTTTTGATCAGTTCATCATTTATTTTTTCTACCTAGGATAAGAGTAGTTTACACAGCACAGTTACAGTATTATATTCTATGTTTTTCTGTGTACTTACTATTACCAGTAAGTTTTGTACCTTCAGGTGATTATTTATTTCTCATTAATGGGATGATTGATGGAGCTTTCTATTGTGCCATCTTGTTCCACTTCCCTCTCTCCTTTTCTTTTATATTTTTGGTTTTATAGAGAAAGGTTTAAATTTTTGTTCAAATGCTTAGATGTATACCAGTAATTTTATAATAACCTAACACATATTTCTTAAAGGTGCACTATCTATTGGTAACTTATTATAAACAACATGAAGATCAGTAAGTAAGTTTGATCTCTTTTGTCTGTCAGAGCCTCTAATTTGAAGTAAAATCCTTTTATTCAGAGTTAATTTTTATCAGATGTTGAGTTTATTCTATGTTTCACCTAATCTCACCATTCTTTCCTAATTTTTGGTATTTGTGCTCTCTATTGTCAGATCATACAGGCATTACATAACATACAGTTTCCAGCCCGGCACAGTGGCTCAAGCCTGTAAGCCCTTTGGGAGGCCGAGGTGGGTGGATCACCTAAGGTCAGGAGTTTGAGACCGGCCTGGCTAACATGGTGAAACCCCCTCTCTGCTAGAAATTCAAAAATTAGCTGGGCGTGGTCGTGGGCACCTGTAGTCACAGCTACTTGGGAGGCTGAGGCAAGGGAATCGCTTGAACCCAGGAAGCGGAGATTGCAGTGAGCCAAGATCATAACACTGCACTCCAGCCTGGGCAACAGAGTGAGACTCCGTCTCAAATCAAAACAAAACCAACAAACAAAATGTAATAACATAGTTCCCTTATAGCCATCACTTAGTTGCAGTCTTTAGTTCTTCAGATAAATATATATTTAATGCTCACTACCAGTCTTTGGATCAGTGTTTTTCTGGTTATGTTAGTTGTCTCAAGTTTAATCTTTAATAGCCTTCTTCATGAAGGGCTCTTAGGAATAGTATTCCCTGAAGTCTTGCTTATCATAACTGTTTGTGGACTTTATACCTGAAGACCAATTTATCTGGATATAAAATCCTTGGCTCCCAGCTTATTTAATTTCTGTAAAGTGAAAAGCCATGTTTGCTATCACAACCTCTCTTTTCCTAATAAAATTAATCACTATCATGTGAGTATAGTTACATTTTCCTGACTTATCTTTATAGTTTTGCCACCTAAGTATGCATTCCTATACATAATATTTTAGTTTTGCTTTTCAAAAACTTCATAGAAATGAAACCATGTATTTTTCATGACTTAAAAAAATTTAAAATCAAATTCAAAATCACATTTGTGAGATTCACCCATATTGTTGCATATGGCTGTATTTCATCTTAATTGCTATATAGTATTCCATTGAATGGATATGCAACAATTTATCTATTGTATTGTTGACGAATATTTAGATATTATAAATTATGCTATTTTAAATATCCTGAACATGTTTCTCAGGGTGGAATTGACTGGAGTGGATTTCCTGAGTCGAATTCCTAAGCCAAAGAGTCATAGAATGTGTGTAATTTTAGCTTGACCAGATAAAATAAAAAGTTTTCCATAGTGGTTGTAGCAATTCACATTTTCACCAGTAGCCTGTGAGAGATAGCCTCTTAGAGTTGGAAGAAGACTTGGAAAGCATCTCTTTCAACTCACTGTAAATATGATAAAATGAGTTTATCATATTTAAAATATGAGTAGCTGTAGTTCGAGCTACTCCGAGGCTGAGGCAAGGGAATCGCTTGAGGCAGAGGTTGCAGTGAACTGAGATTGCGCCACTGCACTCCAGCCTGGGCAACAGAGTGAGACTCCATCTCAAAACAAAACAAACAAACAACAAAAAATAATAACATAGTTTTCCTTGTAGTGTGTATCACACTTTATCATTTTAAACATGATAAAATGAGTTTTCAGTAGGTTGCAAGTGACCGACTTGAAATTCCATTGTGACAAGTGATCACGTTGGGTGTAAATTCCTGATCTGGCTTTTCAGTTCAGCATTGTTTCTGTGACATTTTGATGGTAAAGGAATGGATTAAAAATGATCAAAATGAGTGCAAAATCTAAAGAAATTTTTGGGCCATACAGGAGCTTGAGCTACACATAACTCAAATGTACACAAGACTCTCACTGTTATGGAAAAGTACAATATTGATATATTGATAAACTCACATGTTAATAAAAGGTTGATTTGTTATGCGTTCTGCTAATAAAGGCAGGCAAATACATAATGCATTTAGAAAGATTTTATTAAAATATTTAGATGAAGTAATTATGCTTAAATGAGAATTATTTAAATGGCTAAACATTTTACTTTATGTGAAATACTGTACTATGCAAGATGTGGGTAAATTATAGGTGTAACTCTATTTAATGTTTTTCATTGTTCTCTGCTTATTTCATGGTATTTCTCTAAGTTATAGTTCTTATGGATGTATCTCTTATTTTCCTTTTATCACTTTGCATAATACGTGTTGTGCATTAGGCAATTAATATTTATTGAACATGTGATTCTCCTTATATCTTCTCACACAGTATGCAGCAAGTCCAGAGTCAAAACTGTAGAATTGACTGGGGCTAGGGTTGAGCTTCATAAATATTTCTGAGGACTATTGAAAGGAGTACAGAAGGTATCTCAGGAATTATGACTATAAGTTGAGGAAACACGTTTTTGTAACCTAATGGCTTTTGGTATGAAATTGGATTGGGAAAAAGAAAAAGCTAAAATTCTTATATGATCCTCATTTAGTGCAAACATAATTAACAATGTAAACAATAAGTTGAAAATTCAGAAGAGATTATTTTGAAAGGATCAGATGGTTTCTCAAAGTAAGTTCTTATGGCTTCAAATCAATGTCCAATGAACCTGAAAAGAGTAGATGAGTTTAATTAAGTAAATAAAAACCAAAACAAAAACCAAAACTTTCAGACTCTAACTGCCATCTCCACAAAAGATGGCAGAACTTGGCATGTGGATTTCCCAGATAATGAGCACATGCCATAAATTGCTATAGCTCTTTTACACAGAAGCTGCAGTGAATGGTGAGGAAAGCATTCCTTTCTTATCAGCACAGGGACAATAGCAGATGTAATTACAGCTTTCTGTCACCTGTGCTTGAAAGTAAATTTCTACTTAGAGCTGTATGGAGAAGGCTATTGTGACTATTTGGGGACTTGTAAACATTTGTACTTGGAGAAAATTGTTTTGGAAGAAATAAGGAATTACTCTCCTTAAATGTGACCTGTGGGGCTTACGGCTCTTGTAGGATTATCAGTCTCATTATTTTATGCTCCATGGGAAATAAGAGTCTCTTCTTTGCTCACCTTTATTCTGTTTGACCTTAAATATTTATGTAAGTATATAAATGTCTTTCTTCATTAACAAAATTGAAAGACAGGCATACACATAGACTGATCATTTCAACTGGCTTCTAATAATATGTAATATCTAGGCCAGGCACTATGGCTCACGCCTGTAATCCCAGCACTTTGCGGGGCTGAGGCAGGGAGATCTCTTGAGGCCAGGAGTTTGAGACCAACCTGGCCAACATGGTGAAACCCCATCTCTACTAAAAAATACAAAACTAGCTGGGCATGGTGGTGCATGCCTGAAATCCCGCCTACTTGGGAGGCTGAGCCAGGAAAATCGCTGGAACCCGAGAGGCAGAGGTTGCAGTGAGCCAAGATCGTGCCACTGTGTGACAGTGTGAGACTCCAGCCTGGGTGACAGAGTGAGACTCTGTCTCAAAAAAACCAAAAATCTAATATCTATGTATATTTATAATTATGTATGTTATGATGTAAATAACATAATTTATAACTTATGTATGCTTATGTAAATTATATAATGCAAATACTCTATTATAGGTTCATTAAAAGTTATAGGTCCAGAACACAATTGCTTTGTGTGAATCTTATATTGGTGAATTATTTTAGTGAGCTAGAGGGTAATATTATTTAATTTTGTGCTTAAAAATTCTCAAGTGTACCTAGATTCTCCCAGGCCATGGCATGAGTCTGCTTGCATTTGAAAAACACACTGTGTTTTGAACCCATTGGGTCAGAGATTGCTTTTTTACGGTCTTGGCAGAAGTAGAAAGGAAACTTTCAAGGTTGACCAACTCCAGGAATGTCAGGCATACGCTGTTTGTTATCATCTGTTGTGGTTTTACTGTTGAAGCAGGGATCTGTTTTTTTGCACTTTTGAGATAGTATTCTTCCCCTTATTTGCCATTATCTGAAATGTAATGCACTGCATTCTAGTCTTTTTTTGTTTTTTAGTCTACAGGCATTTTGCTCTCAGCAATTAAAAGGACGTTTGTGAAATTTAACAATGGGTTTTGTGTCACATCATAAAAAGTTCTTCAAAATTGACCTACCTGGCTATCCGTCTTTTTGTCTTTTGAGATATTAAAAAATAGGCAAACACAAAGAAGGCTGCAACAGAAATTTAATAGCTTCATCTAGAGCTGTTAAAAACTGATGGTTTCTTCATATAGACATATGCACGTGCTCATGCACATCTGTCTTTGCGTAGAAATAAAGGTTACCTCAACCCACTTTCAGTCTATTCTTCCTTTCCATCTTCAGAAGTAACTATTATTAGGAATTTGAATACTTTTCCATTTTTATACTCTTACATACATTTATGTATCTATAATATTTCAACATATAGATAATGCATAGACATAAATGCTATATAGACATAAACAGTATCATTTATTTTTATGCATTTTGTGTTTTTTGTTATTTATGGAAATAGATATTAGATTTAATTCTCTCTTGCTCTTTCCCTCTTTTGGGGTCTCCCTTTTGCTCTGTCAGGGTGTCCTGTGTGTGTCTCTTGGGAACTCTGTGTCTGTCTGTCTGTGTCTCTGTCTTGCTCTGTCTCCCTCTTTCTCTCTCTATCTCCCTCTCTCTGTCTTTGTCTCTTTGTTTCTCTGTCTCTCTTTGCTTCTGTCTTTAGATATAGAGTGTATCTAACCCAGAAAAATCATTCATTCCTTTTTTTCAAATGTATTGGCTTTAGTTTTTACTGTCTTATGATTTTTTTTAAATCTCAGAAGTATCTTTGTAATCATTTCAGTGGCTACATTGGAAGGTAAATTATTCTGTTAAATAATCATTATTCACTGGGGAAAGAACATTTACTCTAATGGCTCCCCAATTTTCAGTTTAAAAAATTAAACTGTTTGTGCAGATATACTTCCTTGGAGGAAAATGTAATCACCATTACAAAGAACATAGTAAAAATCTGGCTGCATTATGATGTGAATTGCTATCATTTTAGGCAATATTATTTAAATGAATGAAGAAGAAACTCAAACTTGCAACGTTTGAGGTAGCAAATAATACTCTCTCAATTTCTTGTTCTCTCCCTGAACCATTCCCCCGAAACAGCTATTACTTATCTTCTTCAAGTTTACCTCTTCAAGTTAAGTCAGTCCTTTAACTTGGTTATCAGCTGGTGTGCCATGTCAAATAGTATACTAAAACCACTTCACAGGCATGCCAAAAGGTGCTATGTAACATGAAAATGTATTTTTACCAATATTGTCATGGCAGTGTCTACCAGAGGGATAATTGAAGTCTCCTGGTCATGTGATAAGGGTGGAGCTAGCTACAACCTCCTTTACATAACCAGTAAGAGGTATAGCATGTTGGCAAGAGGAAAGGCATGTTTACTGAAGCACAGCCCAGGGTATTAATGCTGAAACGACCTCCCAACTAGTCCCCCTGCCTTTAAACTTGCACCTCCCTCCCCACCCTTCATCTTTCAAAGGCCAACTGGACTGATCTCCTTAAGGCCTAAATCAGATCATGTTAATTTCCTGTTCTAAATCCTTCAGTGACTTTTTCCCTGCAACCAGAAGAATAAACGTTTTACCATGGCCTGAAACACTTGCCACTGTCTACCCCACTGACCTCAACCTTTCTGTGCTGCATCTTGTTCACTGTTCCCGCACACTGTCCTTCTTTCTGTTCTTGAAGTATGTCCAGCTCATTCCCTCCTTGGCCTAGTTCTTGTTGTTCCTCTTGCATAGAACACTCTTCAAAACTACTCATGTCTGGCTTCCCAAATTAAATGTGATGCCTCCAGAGACACCTTTCCTGCCCACTCTACATAGGCCCCCAGCTCTGTATCTCATTACTGTATGTGTGATGAAAAGATAACAATGGATAGTTTGAGAGGGTACATTTTTCTCTAGTGGTGAAGAATATGGAATTTTAAGAAGATTAGCTTAACCTGTTTTCAGATGTAGATTTGGCCTTTCAGGCCCCTGGGATGTACAGAGTGAATGATGCCAACGCTATAAATGGATGAGGGAGGTCTGTCCTTGGACCCTGGATGATTTTCTTTTTAGCACTTTTCAGTATTTGAAAGTCTTTTTTGGTTTGCTTTTCTATACATTGTCTGTCTCTCTACACTAAAATGTAAGCTCCTTGAGAGCAGGCTCTCCTGTGCCTTATTCATGACTGCATCCCACATACCTAGATTGTGTTTGGGAGGTGTTCAGCAGAAATTAATCTGCTGCTTGGCTGAGAAATCTGGTCTCTACTGCCCAGTTCATTCACTCTTTGAGAAAATTTTTTGTGGTTTTAGTGAAAATATAATTCTTCCTTCTCTGAGCCTTATACAAACCCTCTAATGATACATTATATTCTTCTTATATTTTCACTATTTCTATTTCCTACCTTCTGAAGAGTAATCTTCTTGAGGGCAAGGTTAGTGTCACACTCATCTTTATATCCCCTACAACACTTAGCTCAATGCCTTCACAACTTTACTATTAGTACATATTTACTGAATTAAAGCACTATTAATTTTGCGTTTAGGCTCTTACAGTTTGAATCACAAAATTTTGAGTTATATGCTTTTTACATTAAAAGGAAGCAATACTTTTTCCTTCTAAAAATATAATTGTTTTTTATCTGGCATCATTTCTTGTGTTTTCTTTGCCCAGATGTGCTCCACTTAGGGATTGCAAACTGACAGTTCACAGTCTAGATACAGCCATCAAATAGGTATTAATGGGCTCTCCCAACATTTCAAAGTTTTTAAATTAGATGCTACCACTTAAAAATTAGAATTTGTAAAAAAATTTTTGGATTTCTGACTTTACTAAGAAAAGTAGGACAATCTGGTAGCCCTAGGCATACATACCCTCCTGACAAAAAACAATGAAAAGGTACATGTTTCTGGTTTACTGTAGTATCCACTGGTCTTGCCTCATTCATTTGTTGTACATGTTTGGACTCTTTATATTTTGGAGTTTGAGGCCCCTGCTTTATCTGATTCTTACATATATGTAGTTTCAGTTAGTGGCAATCAAATGGAAGTTAGACTTACTATTATTCCAAAGTCTGAAGTATTTCCATTATCTACCATGTTTGACTAGATATATAAACATGTAAGGCTGTGAAAGAAAAAATATTCTGTAACCTATGGAAGCTTCCATTTGCTTTTCATTTGCAATGAGAAGAGGCAGATTTCATATAGAAGTTAGAATGCTTTGGTTCTATTATCTCTTTTTCACAGACCTATTTTGTAATCATTTTACCACTTTAAACTGCACTTCCTTTTCTTTTTTTTATTATTATTATTATACTTTAAGTTTTAGGGTACATGTGCACAATGTGCAGGTTAGTTACATATGTATACATGTGCCATGCTGGTGTGTGCACCCATTAACTCGTCATTTAGCATTAGGTATATCTCCTAATGCTATCCCTCCCCCCTCCCCCCACCCGACAACAATCCCCAGAGTGTGATGTTCCCCTTCCTGTGTCCATGTGTTCTCATTGTTCAATTCCTTTTCTAAACGTAGGAATTACTGGCAAACCGAATCCAGCAGCACATCAAAAAGCTTATCCACCATGATCAAGTGGGCTTCATCCCTGGGATGCAAGGCTGGTTCAACATATGAAAATCAATAAATGTAATCCAGCATATAAACAGAACCAAAGACAAAAACCACATGATTATCTCAATAGATGCAGAAAAGGCCTTTGACAAAATTCAACAAAGCTTCATACTAAAAACTCTCTATAAATTAGGTATTGATGGGACGTATCTCAAAATAATAAGAGCTATCTATGACAAACCCACAGCCAATATCATACCAAATGGACAAAAACTGGAAGCATTCCCTTTGAAAACTGGCACAAGACAGGGATGCCCTCTCTCACCACTCCTATTCAACATAGTGTTGGAAGTTCTGGCCAGGGAAATCAGGCAGGAGAAGGAAATAAAGGGCGTTCAATTAGGAAAAGAGGAAGTCAAATTGTCCCTGTTTGCAGATGACATGATTGTATATCTAGAAAACCCCATCATCTCAGCCCAAAATCTTAATCTGATAAGCAACTTCAGCAAAGTCTCAGGATACAAAATCAATGTACAAAAATCACAAGCATTCTTATACACCAATAACAGACAGAGAGCCAAATCATGGGTGAACTCCCATTCACAATTGCTTCAAAGAGAATAAAATACCTAGGAATCCAACTTACAAGGGATGTGAAGGACCTCTTCAAGGAGAACTACAAACCACTGCTCAATGAAATAAAAGAGGATACAAACAAATGGAAGAACATTTAGTTTAGCTTTTACCATCTATGCTTTCTTTTTATTGAATCATTTTTGAATGTTTTCTTTATATGTTGCTTTCAGTGATTAACCTTGACATCCATAGAGCTGTCAAGTCTCTGTTGACATGACATTTGTTCAGAGGGCACTGTCTTTTCTGTGTTGTGCACACCCGAGTGATGCTTTCTAGGCACCCCACAGACACTCAGAAGGGTTAATTAAATAAAATGCTATCATTTAAATAACTCCCTCAAAGATTACTTTTGACAGTTGAGCTCTGTGATTCCATTTCCCTTGACAACACTTGGATTTCAAAATGCAAGGGGAAAGTTCATGGCAAAATGTATTCCAGCTTTCCAAAAAATTATGATAAATTATGCATTGCTCCCTCCCTGTGTAGTTGGCATATCTCTGAACATAGATCACTTGGCCTGTGTTCAGGGGGATTGTGGCCTTTTCTGAACTTAACCCGTCTGAACTCCTCCTTGAAGCATTTGTCAAGTCCATTGTCTCTCCATGTGAATCTGAGTCAGATATGAGTGAGTACCATGCTTTCCATCATGACTCTACAGAACCAGAGAGTAGTGGCTAAGTCATAACACAGCAAGCCCATCCCTTCTTGCTTCTTAGGCAAGTGTTTTCTTAGCAGGAATAAAAATGATGCAGTCCATGCTGACTGTGAAAGAAATCCAAGACAACTTCACACTCTTTAATTGATGAGTTGGTCCAGAGATATTGTTTTCTAGCTGGTGTCAGTGTGAGGTGATGTATGCCCAAATATTTGACACCAAAAAATGTAGGTCTGAGCCTATAGGATTAGGAGTGAAGATGAAGGATATTCTTTATGACTTGCAAATGGATGCTGGAAGAAATATTTTTTTCCACGGATGTGAGGCATGGAAATTAGTGCTCACCTACTATTTACAGAAAACTCTTTTGTTATAAGCTCTGGGACTTGTTTTCACTGATAGATATTTGTAGCTATAATTAAGAAATCTGTTTAAATTGTGCTTATAATTATCCTAATTGGTATGAAAATCTGATTGAATACTTAGAGGAGTAAATTGCCTGAGCTGCATTTTGTAAGCAACACACTTTTCAAAAAGGAAAGTGAAAGTAGGTAAATAGGTTTTCAAAAATAAAACCCCTGCTCCCTATAAGTAGGTTACATTTAAAAGTGCTCTTTGTGTTTCTGTTTATCTGTTCATCTTAATTTGGGCAACTTGGTGGCCTTGCAATATTTATATCCAGGATTAAAATAAAGTTCCATATAAAGAAAGGACAGTGAATTATTTGAGCTTTGTGATGAAAGGTCCTCGCTGTCAAGATTCAAACACTGAAAGCTCTCAGAAGAGCCATAGGGCTAAGACAATGTCCAGTTGAACAATCAGATGTAGAGATTCAATTGTGGTCCCATCCAGATCTGCATGAGATCAGTGGTTTTCCAAATGGGCTAAAGGAACACCCATGATGTATGTTAAAATGTGTGTTTCCAGGCTTTTCTCTAGATTTAGTGATTAGCATACCTAGAAGAAAGGCCTGAGAATCTCTGTTTTTTAAAACATGTTCCTTAGGTGACTCTTTTTAATTCATTTTAAATTTGAGATTATCACTGCATTAATCTGACCAAGCTGAGTGCATATTTCAAGCAGCAGAAAAGAAGGCAAACTAAAGGAAAATACATCTGAACCAAAACAATAAAGTAGATTATTTTTCCTGGAGAGGAGTAGAGAAGTAGGTAAAAAATGGATGGCCTCAAATCATTTGTATTTGCCTTTGGAAGATGTCCTGACTATGTTTTGGCAGCAGATTTACTGTCATAACTTAGTTTTGCTTAGGATAATAATAAATAGGTTTTCATTTCCAAAATATACACTTGAGAATGCGTGTGGGTGGAGAGAAATAGCTCCACATTGCAGGGAGATGACAAAGGAAAGCCATTTTGGGATTTAAGGTTTGGCACAGAAAATCCACAAAGTGAACAATAAAAATACATATGTATAATTAAGAGGTAATTGTTTATAAGTTAAACACCTCTACAACACATATCATTTCCAAAAGAACACACTGTCTTACCTCTGCTTCCCTGGGTTCAAGCAATTCTTGTGCCTCAGCCTCCCAAGTAGCTGGGATTACAGACATGCATCACCACACTCGGCTAATTTTTGTATTTTTAGTAGAGACAGGGTTTTGCCATGTTGCCCAGGCTGATCTTGAACTCCTGGCCTCAAGTGATCCACCTGCCTTGGCCTCCCAAAATTCTGGGATTATAGGCATGAGCCACCGTGCCTGGCTAAGAGCACACTGTCTTATAGGTGGTTCATAGTAGTGTGCCATTTGTTGCTATTGCAATAAAATACATGGAATATAACAAATAAATTTAAAAAGAACAAGTTTTTTTTTCATGTGGTAGTCACTTTGCAACAATAAATGCTGAATTGTATGCTGTGTATACTGCAGTTGGGGAGGGGTGCTGTGAATATGATGGGCAATCTGAATTTTTTGTGACAATTATTTTTTAACTCTTTATCTGTCTTTCTACCTCAAACATTACAATTCCCTAAACTATACCCATTTCTCAAAGCAAAACAAATATTCAGGAACTTGGGAATGGAAAGGATAAAGACATTGGTTTGGTTTTCATTCTATTATTACTTTTAATTTTGTATAGAACATTACAATATATGTTTACACATACTACCTCATTAGTGATCTGAGCCCAACTCTGCGAGGTGGGCAGGGATTTCACCACCTGGGGATATTCTCTATTCCTACAAATGGATGAGAAGCTTAAGCCTCTGAGAGATAATAACTCCCAAATGTTAAAAGAAGTTGTAGTATCAAAAGACTTCCAATCCTAAAAACAGTGATGTCTGTAACCCTAAAAAGTCAAGTTTTATTAACTTGCTAATTAGCCAAGGGGAGGTCATATATTTCCCTTCTGTTTCATTTCTGGATGCTCCAGGTTGGAATATAATTTCTAACCATGTGCTGATATAAAGACATTTCATTCAATAAGTAGTATATGTGGGAGTTGCAATTTGGAGTCAATTACAAATGTATTTACAGAGATATGGAAAACATATCTGGAGCCTCAATTGAAGCCAGAATTGTTTTGAAGATTCTGATAAAGGCAAGATAATATGGTTGTAGCCTTTGGGTTTCAAGAGATGTCCAAGAGATACTAGAGATGTCTAGATTGACTTGCTGTAGAACTACTTCTTAATACATCTCTTGTTCTGTTTTAGTACCCTACATATCATGGGATGTTGGTAATTCACGTATGTCATAGACTGTGAGACTTCATTCTAAAGATGAAAAAACTGAAACTCGAAAAGCAGACATCTACCTGGCTAATAAAACAGTCAAGCCAAAGGTTGAAACAAGTCTCTCTGACTCTCTGCCCAGAAACTCTAAGATGACATGTAGTCATTCTCATTCCCATTGACAGGTATTTTGTGGGCTCCAAGCATTTGCTGGACATGTTGAAAGCAAAGCACTATAATACCTGGCCCTGATCTGAAGGCATGTACATGCTGCTATGGAAAACAGAACAGACCCTTTCAGAGAGTTCAATTGGTTCTATTAACATTCAGAGAAGGAGACTTTTCTACCCACTCTTGAAGAAAGGTCTTCTGAAGTTCTACTAGTAGTAGAAAATAACTTAGTGTCTCTTGCTGCAACAGAGCTTGTGTAAAGTAGCTGGAAATTTTCAGATTAAGTTGTAACATACCTGCATGACTGATCTTCCTAAGCTATTGCTTAGGAAGGTCATTGGCCCTTATGCCAATTTTATTCTTCTTCTGTGGACCCTTCTGTTCACTATCATCTTAGGACAATAATCTGACATTTCCAGTAAGCCCAAATCAATTTTAATTCTTTTAAAGTGTTAAAAATAAAGGTTCAGTGGTGATGTGAGTGTGCAGAAGGCAGGGTGGCTTTGAGCTGTATCGGGTTTGAAAGCTAAACAGTTTTATTTGTAGACTTTTGTTCTGCTTGAAATATTAAACTATAAAAGCACAAGGTAAACAGATTTATTTTTAATTTGTGTATATGACATCCTAGACATCTTATCAAGCTTTAGAATAGGCTGAGCGATTCTGAGGTTTGGGGTTAAATGTACATCTGTTTTATCTCTGTGTTGAGAAGACAACTCATAAAAATTCATTTTCAACAGATGGTTTTAAATGAAGACAGACTACCTTATTCGGATTAATACACATTCATGAAGAATATGTTACTTTTTGATGAAACTAAATCATTCCATAAATTCTATCAGTAAACAAATCTGGAATTTCTTTAAAATGTACCAAAACATAAGTAATAAGTGGTTGGAATGTAGCCCTCCACTTCCTGTTCCTGGGCCCCCAATTTTCCACATACTGTCACTGATAGCTTAATAGTGGATATAGGATTTTATCCTAAGAGATCTAAGTATAGATCTATTTTCATGAGGATGGACAAAAAGAATCATACTACTGACATTTTGAGGTAACCAACAGCTACCATCCAAATGTAAATTCTAAGTCTTTGGTAAAGGATTCTTTTTGAAAACGCTGTTCTTTTAGTAGGTTTGAGAAGTAAAATTTGGTCTGTTTTTTTCCTTATTCTAATGGTTAAACCTCAGTTCGTGCCCTAAGTCTAGTAAAGGAAAGGCCTTTGGACTTGGATCAGGAGCTTTTGTTCCTAACTCTCCCTTTGCCTTTCACAGGATGTGTGATCTTAGGCAGGAGACTAATGTCTTGGAACCTGTTTTCACATCTTTCAAATGAAGGACCAGACTGGTCTCTGGGATTACAGCTTTCATGTTCTAGGACTGTGTATGCGATTATAACTGAGGGGGTGGGGCAAGATCCTTTATTGCGTTAATACCTTCTTTGTATTGCTGTAATATATTGCTTTCTTTCTAACTTAGAGCTATTTTTAGTAAGAAGGCGGTGAGACTATCACACACACTGAATCTTGCCTATGATCAGTTGGAGTTTTAGAAAAAATCATTTTTCATTCTATTTCCTAAACAAGGTTCTTTCAAGGAATATAAGGGAAGAAGAACCTGGTTAAATCACTTATGTGTGCAAATGATTTTGAGACTGAAATGCCCCCCATAGAAGCTTATATCTTTTTTCATCTGCTCTATCTCCTTCCATAATTAGTCATTGATAGCAGAGAGACATAGATTAATGTGAATCTGCTTCGTAAATGGCACAAACTATTTACTTGTCCCAATTCAATAGGGGTTTCCAAAAGTGTATTTCTCATTGTTAAAAGTGTGCATATTATATTGTTGATTTAAAAGGATCTATCTTTTAGGAGATCATGATCTTGCATTTCTGATTAAATCCATTGAGAGATATTAAAGAATGATACCTTAGAAATTCCTTTGATAACATAAAACAAATCTGAAATACTAGGATAACAGTAAAAAACTAAACCTGTTGTTTTCATTTTAAAAAAAAACACCTGCCATAATGATGCTTTATTCTAATCTCTTGATTGGAGATTCCATATGATCTCATTCTGGATAAGGTATTGTAAGCCAGTTTTTTTCACTGTATTTACAAGTAGAAATAGGGATGTGTCTAATTTAAGCCTAAAAGATATAAAAACAAAGAAATTCGCCCAGTGTGAGAGGAGCAATTTGGTGAGCTTACAAAATGGAAAAATGTAATTTTAAAGCAACATTACTAGGCATGGAAATAGTTTGCTACCCAGATTCCCAACACGAATAATTCTCAGCTCAATTTGGGTACAGTCTAGGTAAACTTTCTCACAGTTCATATGGATATCATGAGTAAATAATTAAATTACTCTCTAAAAGTAAGTAATTTTAGTAGGCTTTCCTAGAATCTTCTGTAACATAATAGACCATACTAATACTATCCTTTCCCCAAAATTTGACCTGTCCCTCCTTGTCTTCCCTCCTAAATATAAGGACTCTTGCTACAACAGTTTTAAAGTTCTACTCAAACGTAAATGCTGCTGTGTTATCTGTTTCTGAAAGTTGACTATTGCATTGTAAGAAATCTAATACTTATGGCTTATTACCTTAATTGGTAATTTACATAGGCCATTATCCTAGTACTTATTTAAAAGACTATACTAGGCAATGGGGATATGAATTTACCCCCTCTCCAAACCCCTACCACCTATCACCAAATCAAGTGACTGCCTGGATTACAGTACTGTTAGGAAGAGACACTTCTTCCCCATTCCTATGTTTCCTTCCATATGGCGGGGGCAAGAGTGTGACATTTCTAGCCTCTGTCTGCCTCTTCACTCATCCATTCCCAGGGGAACTGAACCCTTATCTCATTTGCGAGTTTGGGTAGAATAAAGCGAGCATGCTTGGATCTACTCCTTCCTTTATTTCTTTTGAAAGTCAGCTGCCTATAGGCAGTAAGTGCTCTACTCATCCTAATGAAGGCTCTACCCTTCATTAGCTGTGGATGGAGTGGGAGCCCTGTCTTGTCCATCAGTGCCTATGACTGGGTGTGTTAGTCTGTCTAATCTAGGTTCAGTATTAGGCACTCTCTCTCCCACTGATATAAGCCACATCCACCTACTCAGCTATTTTGGTAGTAACTGACATTTTAGTCCCCCATCTGCTTACTCTTTTGTTTTATTTCTCAATTCCATATTCAAGTGGGGAAGAGGGACATTTTAACTAGTCCCTCTCACATACCAGAATGGTGTACATAGATCCTGACCATGTTAATCTTCTGTTCCCAGGCTAATGTTTTGTTAGAGAATAAATAAGCACCAGAATTTTGAAAATTAAAGAGCGTGTTGAATTAGGCTTATATTTATGTTCTTAATTAGAAGAACACATTTTAACACCCTCACTTGAAGTATTAACTTCCCCTTTAAAAGACACACAATTTATTAGTTCAACTTAGTTGTAAACAGAATAGTTCTCACCATCAAGTTTTAAATATACTCTTCTTTGTTATATGTTTGTGACTGTGGTTTAGTTTTAATCTATATAAGAAGGCATGGAAAACAATAGAGAACAAGTTGTCAAAATCTAAGAGCTTTTTTCTCACAGATTCCAGTCAGATGATCTGCAATTGAAAATTGCAGACAGAAATGAGATACTTCACTAAAGTTTAGGTTCTTCCAGATCAAAATCCATTTAAAGAATGCTAGGTAGAAAGGAAGAGAGATGTTTGACAAACATGTTGGTATGTATGTCTTCACTTTGATTCATTCCAGTTACTGATTTTCAAAAACATGTTTACATAAATACGTCAAGAGATTGTATTTGTTGAGGAGGTTAATGTGCTGTTCACTTCTGGCAAGATTCTTGAATGTCTTATTTTTACTCCTCCTCTCCCCATTATTACCTGAGTGTACAGGATGGAGATTCAGAATTCTTCTGTCCATCTAGGCAGGAGGACAGCTTTTAACTCTCTGTACTCTAGAAGTATTTCCTTTGATGTTTCAGTCCTTTCATGCTGGATTCCATGTTGAAAGCATCAACAGGATTGCAAAACCTCAGCAAACCCACCTAGATTCTCTATTTTTCTGTTAGTGAGTTGTTAAACTTTTATAGCTCTAGTGCAGTTAAATAAGAGTATCCCTTAATCTTGTACTCCAGGTTTCTCACAACCTGGAGTTTCATATGTGCTTAGGGAAGCACATATGAAATATCTGGCAGAACTGAATCCTGTGAAAATCAGAGTACTTATAATACTTCATGAATACCTATGGCATTTTGAAGATGGATTGTTGTAGTCTTTGTAAGTCAGTCAGCTAACAGCACCATCCCTGGGTAATTATTCTTCTAAAAGATATGTAATTACATACTAAGAAATGTGTTTATTGTTGTCATATATATTGTGTATGTCTAGCCTCATATGCAGAAGGCTACAAAATTTGAAAGAATCTACAAGATCATTGAGTTAGACACCTCATTTCTTATTTGGGGAAAAAATACTGATAAATAGGCTACATGACTTGCCCAAATTTGTTCGTGGCCACTTTGGTGTTAGAAACTTGTAATTCTGATTTAATCCTGTGTGCTTTTCATTACATCTTATTTAATAGAAAGGGAAGGCTTACTAATTATACATCGTTTGGGCCCATGATAAGAAGTTCTTCCCAATGTTTTCATTTGTTGCCAATACCAGCCATTTAGTTGCCCAACCCCATTTTAGCTAGGCTTTCCCTAGGGCTACACTGCTTGTTCTGTCTCCTTTCCTCAGCATCAAACTATGATGTGGGTTAATGCTATGGACAGGACCTGATGGCTACATTGCCCAATCCAAACTTGGAGATGATGCTTGACCTGCCTCACCATAAATGCCAGGATGTGCTCAAAATAGATTATAGTCCCATGATCTCGCTTGAACGTAAGTTTAGTTGGTCAGCTCCTCTCTGGAGCTGTGACTTCTTAGCTTTTTCTCTCCCTGAGGCTGCTCTCTTTCTATCATGTTGAACAACCAACCCCATGGTTTCACTCCCCTGACCCTGGCTCTTGCACTGTGGCTATATGCTTTCGCTAGAGAAGACGTCAGTCAATTCTATTTGTTGTCAGCAGTCTGATGAAAAGGTTGAAGAGTTAGGAGTAGAAACTATTGACTAAAATAATTTAAGTTATCCTGCTCATCCTTAATTGATTTGAAGTCTACTTCAAAGAGAGTTAATAAGCTTTGGATTTCAGTGTGTAGAAAAATGTGAACACATCTGAGAGCTGACACCAGTGAAGTTTTGATATTAAGATTGCTTTTGACAACTCAGTGTAGGAAGGAGATAACAGTTGAAATGACAGGCTAATGGGAACCCAAAACCTACCTGGCGGTGGAAAGATGTAGCAAAGATAGATAATTCTTTTTTTCTACTCTTTTATTGCTATCATTGATTTGTCAATGAGCTTAAACAAAGTGGCAAAAACTGAGTTTACCAATGAATTTCAACAGTAATCACTACTAACACTTGTTTTTCTTTTTTCTCTTTCCAATCCCCCTCCATTATAGAACAGTATAGCATAGTAGTTAAACATTGGACTTTAGAGTTGGATAGGCCTGAGTTTAAATGGAATTTCAGACAAATACAAACCATGTGACTTTGGGCAAATTACTTCATCTCTCTGAGCCTTAGTTTCTTTGTAAGATAGGGGCAATAATACCTACCTCATGGGCTTCTTGTGATAGCTAAATGAAATAATGTATGCAGGTGCTAAGCAGAATGCTTTCTTCATAATGAGTACTAAAAAATAAAGGAAGATAATCATGACTGTCCAGGTAAAGGCTTGGCCTCTCCAAATAGCTTTTCAAACCCTATAAAAAGTGAAGTGGTGGTCCTCATATGTTTGGATATTCCTGGGTCATCACTCTTTTCATTTTGTCTGCTCCATATTCCAAATGAACTTGGAAATTTTCCATATCCAAGTTATCCAGGAAGCACTGGGTAAGTCAGCAAAAGTAATGGGGAAATACAAGATTGAGAACATATGTTTATGATCCCAAGTGCAATAAAACAATGCCATTCAGAAGAACTGTGTTAAGACACATTAGAAAGTGTTGTCATCAAACCAGTGCATGGTTTTATTATGTGAAGACCAGTAAAGCTTTTTCTCATGTTTTCACTTGATTTTGGTAATCATACTCAAAGCTCTCATCAAAATAAGATGTATGTGACATTTGATCATTGTCGGTATTTCCTTTAGCGCACAAGGGAGTATGGAAAATATATATAGAATCAGAAGTCATTCATGATGTGTTCTAAGAGCTCTGAGGGTAAGGATTGTGTCTGTGTCTATCTGTTTTCTGCTGTGTTTTTACTACCTAGCATTGGTCCTGGCACACAGTAGGTACTGAAAAATAAAATAAGTCATTTAATTGCCTATTTTGTATATAATTATTAATATAATTGAACATTGGTCTTATGCATTTATAAAGTAGTTGGTAAAAAAATCTAAAGATGACATTCAGCTAAAGGTTACTGTCACATTTGTCTAATAAGACTCCTTTTCTGTGAACCAATTAAACTTAGGTCATTGCTCTGCCTTAAGGGAGCAGCATTCAGTCATGATCAATTTGTGTGACACTTTTCCAAGGAGTATTTTATTTTTAATGAAAAATTGGCCAGTGGTATTTTTTTAGACTTATTCATTAACATTTCAGCTGTGTTGTCTAAAACATTGATGTATGGTTAAATTAAAAGTGTGGTTTTAGGGGATAAACTAAAAAATACCAGAATGTTACATTATATATAAAGGACAAGGAGATTTAAATTAGTAATAAGCCAATCTAAATTGGGTTTTCTTGATATCCTTAATTATTGTACAAAGGACTAATGGTGAGTGTATATATATATTTAAAGCTTCAGCATCTATTAAAATTTGTGTAAAATTAACTTATTTGGCATGTTTTGTTAAATGTTCTTATTAAAAATATGAAACACTAGTGAAATATGGAGACTTTATAACAAAGTAAATGAGACTGATTTTTTTCTTTTAATGAACGGACTGGAACATATAATGTATATTTAATGAACTGACTAGAACACTGAATATATATTTACTTCAAATTGGTCATTTATTCCAATTATCCAGTCATGTTCAGACTTCGTGTTTGGGATTTTCATATAGAAATAGGAAAATAGAAGAAAACCATCACAATTATTTTATGATTATGCTTCACTCTTGAACTTACTTATATACCTTAATCACTTACATTATGTGTCACAGTTGGCTGCAAATGATATTTAGAGCATAAAAAAATCAAATCTAGCTTTAAGTGATTAGAATTTGCTGTCATTTAGTACATTAAAATAGGAATGCCAGGCTTTGATTATTCTCAAGGAATTCTAATGTTTGGAAAGATGGCAGTATCATTGGGAAAAAAGTGTACAGCCTCATAAAAATGACCACAACATTGAGGATGCAAACAGAGATAGGTGTGTTGTCTTCTTTTTTTTTTTTTTTTTTTTTTTGAGATGGAGTCTCACTCTGTCCCCCAGGCTGGAGTGCAGGGGCGCGATCTTGGCTCACTGCAAGCTCTGCCTCCTGGGTTCACACCATTCTCCTGCCTCAGCCTCCCAAGTAGCTGGGACTACAGGCGCCCGCCACCACGCCCGGCTAATATTTTGTATTTTTAGTAGAGATGGGGTTTCACCATGTTAGCCAGGATGGTCTCGATCTCCTGACCTCGTGATCCACCCGCCTAGGCCTCCCAAAGTGCTGGGATTACAGGTGTGAGCCACCATGCCTGGCTGGGTGTGTTGTCTTCTTTTTAAGAAAAACCAGCCTCATTATTTTAAAGTTCTAGCAGAGGAGCACAGTTAAAGGTACAATCTTTGCTTGAAACACAGGCCTCTTTGATCTACGAAAGTCTTCATTAACAGTAAAATGTTGGGATACGTACTTATAAGGTAAGAAAGGAGAAAGCAAACTTTCTTAACAAACCACTCTCTGAAATCAGTATGGGCAGTCAAGTGGTCATTGACAGATTAACTTCTGAATAACTTCGTAGTTATCAAGGCTTATATAGTCCAGATTTGACTTTTCCTGTCAAATATAGAGTGGGTATGTGGATCCTCATAAAGTGGAATGGCCACCAAGCTTTATTAGAAACATGAAAGAGAAAATGTTATGGTTATATGGTTATGTGGTTATTTCCATATAAAACTTACTCATGGAAAAAGTGGGAATGGGAGTTGTTATTCAACTTGATGGATACACCCATCTTGTATTTATTTTGGTGCAGTTGAGGTAGCATGGTGTCATCTAATTTTATTCAAAATAGAGTATAACTTCTAGGTGAGTTCATTTACTCACATACTTACATGTTGATGTCTCCTAAATCCAAAGATACTCAAATAGGCACTTTTGCTTGAATTTCCTGTAGACACCTCACACTTCACTTACCCTGTTTTTATCTAAAGTCATCATGGTCTTCCTCCTCCCTTCCACTAACTTGGTTGTCTTCTGTATTCCTTATGCTTGTTATTGTCATGGCCAGTTAAGTCCGAAGAGCTGGAAATCATTTTCTTTCTTAAGCAGTCCCTCTGCCGTGCCTAATTTGTCACGAACTCCAAAAGTTTCCTAGAACTGTCATTGTTCTTAGTCCCTAATGCCTCTGCCTTGGTTTGCCTTATTATCTATTATCTTTTCCTTGAACTGTGGTCATAGCAGGTTTTTGGTTTTCTTGATTCCAGTCAATCCTTCACATTGATAACTGAATTCTCTTTCTAAGAAACAAATCTATAATGTCACTATGTACCAACACACACACACACACACACACACACACACACACACACCCCACATAAACCTACCTCTGGCTTCCTTCTTTACAAAAGAAAAGTCAATAGTCTTTACCTGGTGCACAAAGGCATTTTCTCCCTAGTTGCAACCTAAAACTTCTTCAAACACAACACCTGAAATTTCAATTGCCCTTAATTTCTTGCAATGCACTGTGCTAGTTCACAAGTCCTCTTCCTCAGACAGGCTGTCCTTCCTTCCCAGGGCAACCATCACCCCTTTCTGTCTCACAGTACCTACTTTCCCTCTAACACCAACTGCAAGGGCAAACTTGACTGGCTTCATACAAGCAGGTGGTTGCTGCCTGTTCTGTGCTCTTTTGGATCTTCCCACATTGGGGTACAATTATCTAATTAGTTATAAGTGGTCCACCCACTATTATTATTAGCCTTTTTTTTACTAGGCTGTGGATACTAGAGGTCTGCCACATATCTTACTGATCTGTGTAGCTGTAGGGTCAAGGAGAGCCTCTGGCATAAAGGCTCAATAAATAATTGTTGAATTAAAAAATGAAGAAATATTGATAATAGCTAATACCTTTATAGTTCATTATGAGCCATGCATTATTCTAGGAGCCATGCATTATTCTAGGTTATTTATATTAACTCATGTAAATTTTACCATAGTGCTATCAAATAGATAAAATTATTATCTTCATATTATAGGTGAGAAGACATTGAAGTACAGAGAGGTTAAATAACTTTGAGGTTGGTATGGTTTGACTGTGTCCCCACCCAAATCTCATCTTGAACTGTAGTTCCCATAATCCCCATGTGTTGTGGGAGGAACCTGGTGGGAGGCAATTGAATCATGGGAGTGGTTACCTCTATGTTGTTCTCATGATAGTGAATGAGTTCTCATGAAGTCTTATAGTTTTATAAGGGACTTTCCCTACTCTTCGCTTTGCACTTCTGCTTGCTGCCACCATGTGAAGAAGAACATGTTTGCTTCCCCTTCTGCCATGATTGTAAGTTTCCTGAGGTCTCTCCAGTCATGCTGAATTGTGAGTCAATTAAACCTCTTTCCTTTATAAATGACCCAGTCTTGGGTATGTCTTTATGAGCAGCATGAGAATGAACTAATACATAAGTGCACAGCTAGGAAGCATCTGAGCTCTTTATTAAACCCATGCAGTTTGGCTTTAGACACAGGGCTTATTAACAACTATACCTTACCACTTCTCAGTGTAGCCCAATACTAGAACCCTAAATTAATCAGTTTTTCTAAAATTCTTGCCTTTAGGGGAAAGAAGGGGCCATTACAATAAAATTAAATCACTGGAGATTTATTTATTGAAAAGTAGTTTCTAGCTTATATTGGAGAGTAGGAAACAAAATTTGTCCACCATGACCGCAATATATAGTGTTAAATAAGTTATACATAAAATAAGATAAAAATGGCACTGTTAGTGCCCCAGATATGTATTTTATACATCTTAATGTGTTTCAGCTGACTCCTGCTGACAGGCTTTGCACTTGTTTGTAAGGTTCTTTGAGTTTTCTGAAACTGTGACAAGCCATGTTGCCTATGCGCATGCCAGGTTAGAAGAGCCAAGGCATTAGTACCCTTTGGGAGCAGCCTTGCCTGACCCTTCAGAGAATACCCTAGCTGTCTTGCTCCTTGAATGAGATTATTCTGAGATGTGAGTTTTGTATAATTTCCAGAGTTTCTCTGAGAGTTTAAGCTTCAGTTGTGAACTGTGGTAGATATCTTAACACGTGTTCTACGTTTTCTGGCTTCCCTTCCCTACATCATGTTTTCCTATACTTTAAAATATTGCCTTTATATGCCCTACATATCCACTATCTATCATAAATAAGCTATTTTTCTTGGAATGCTTCTCTCAGGATTTCCTTCTGGGAGAACTCAACTAAGACAGTGATGTTTATAATTATTACCTTGGTTGCAAAATGTTGAATAAACAAAGTTTTGAGTGTGTTAATATATTAAGAAGAAAGTTATAGTAACTTGGGGAATACTTTTTATAGTCATTGATTGTAAACTCACCTCAAAGTTCTGCTCTGGGCCTCTGGTAATCTTTCCAGTTTACTGTTTCAATTCTACTTTAACCAAAAAGACAAAACAACTACCTCAACACACACAAGGACCCCACCCAACTCTTCACGTGGTAGATTCTTTTCAGTATGAAGGAAAATAAGTCTTCCCCTCAAATATGCAAAATTTAGAAATGAGAATTGACTATTATCTACCAAGGGTTGAAGTGGTCACAACTATAAAGAAAAAATTATTTGGATCTTTTAAGTTTCTCCTTGAGTGGACCATAGGATCTTGACTGTGATTTGTCTTTAGGCCAGTTTTTTTCTACTTATGACCCTCAGGCATTTGAGGACAAAGTAATGGGAATGCAGCAGCTACTTTTAATATTGTTGGATTCCTAATGGAAATAAGCATTTATCTATAAAAATAATTGTCCAAGATAACTATGATCAAATATACTTCCTTTTAGTTGGAATTTTACTGCCTCATGTGTGTCTAAAGCTCTATCTGGAAATTAGTTTTTATCTTTAATATAAAGATAAATTATTTGTTATTTAGTACAAGCAATTTTGTAAGTAAACATTTTAGAAGCTTGGAGTTAGAGCCAGAGGAGGAGTGAGAGGGTCCTTGTTGGTCAGAAAGTTGGGAGTAGAACCCCTCCTTCTTTTTGCCAGGCTCACAGCTGGAGGGGCCAGAGAGAAAGCTTTCTGTTAACGAGAGTGAAGCCAAACGTGATGTATCTAGGAAAAATAATTCAAACTCTAGTTATTGCGTGATCTGCTCCAAAGTATTAGTTATGATTAGGAAAATGAATCTGAGGCATTTGGAGCATTTCAGTGTGATCCTATAGTTATAATCTTAGTGTCTATTGTTAAAGTGCTGCTCCAGTTAGAAAGACCACCAAAATACTGGGCCTCATCAGGAGGATACTGGGGTAGAAGAGAAAAACATGATGGCATTCTTGGATTCAAGCCCAGTGCATCTAGCATTAGAAGAGTTTCATTTGAGCTGTGTGCTGCAAGATAGACTTTCCAAAGCTGAAGACCACCAAATCCCCCTGACATTTGTAGATTGTTTGCCAGGCACTGTAACCAATTAATTTACAAATAATTTAAAAACACATTTTTTTCTAATTTCAAAAGCAGTCCATTCCTCCTGTGGAAATTAGTTTTAGAAATCTAAAATAGATGAAGAAATGAAATGCTTTCGTTCAGTGATTACTGTTAACTTACACTCTATTTTTTTCTGATTTCAAATTTACAGTAATACTTGAATATATAAAACAGAAAGTAGAAGTCCCTATTAATCCCATTCTCCTCAATTAACTACTGTTAATGAGCTGGTACAGATGTTTTTCATCTCTCAATGTAATATAACCACATTTTATTTTATTTATTTATTTTTGAGGCGGAGTCTCACTCTGTTGCCCAGGCTGGAGTACAATGGCATGATCTTGGCTCACTGCAACCTCCGCTGCCTGGGTTCACGCAAGTCTGCCTCAGCCTCCCAAGTAGCTGGGACTACAGGCACCCACGACCATGCCTGTCTATTTTGTATTTTGTATTTTTAGTAGAGACAGGGTTTCACCATGTTGGCCAGGATGGTCTGGAACTCCTGACCTCAGGTGATCCACCTGACTAAACCTCCCAAAGTGCTGGGATTACAGGCATGAGCTACTGCATTTTTTACGACACTGAAAACAGAGGAGTAAAAAAAGTCCCTTATAATGGTATCACATTATCTTAACCACTATCTTATTTTGGTCAGTTTTATTTGATTCTTCTATACATATATTTCTATTTTTATGTTTGTAATTATGGTATGCATACAGTTTTGTACCATACCTTTTATTTCACATTATAAGCATTTTTCAGATTACCACACAGTCTTGTCATGTGTGTATAGTGTTTCACTCAGTAGATGAATAATTTCTCTATTGCTAGATATTTGTTATTTCACTTATTTAGTTAATGTTGGCATGAATAGTTTTGATTAAAAATAATTTTAGATTTCTTAAATTATAGTTCCTCTAGAATGAGGTATAAACTTTACCTATTGTTTACTGTAGCACCCCTTGTACCAAGTGCAATGTCTGCTATATGGTGTTATGTTAAATGAACATTATGTTAAATGAACAAATGATGAAGAAGAATTATTGGACTAAATGGCATGAACAAATTTTTGTTGCTATTTTTTATCCCCCAAAATGTAGTATTTTGACCTGGCTAGATACTTTTACAAATGTTAATTCTAAGAAAAACTCAGTGAGGCAGTTGAAGAAATGGAGGTTCAGAGTCGATTTACAGTCATACAGCTAATGTGGAGCCAGTGTTCAGATTTACATCCTTTGATGTGCTAACCTTAATGTTCCATTCACTTTGCCACACCTACATTTTGTCCCTCACCTACATTTTCTGATTAAGAGGATGCAGAAGACAAAGCTCTGGAGGCTTGTGGTTAGTGGACAAGGATAGCTGGTTGGCTTGAGCAGAGCTTGCCAAATTGTGGTCTGGGCGCCACTTTCATAGAGCACGCCTGCAGAGCTGGTCCAACCAGCAGATACCTTATCCCTTCCAAGACTTGTAAATATCAGTTTCCAGGGGATGAAAGGTTCTTATGGGGCTGGAATCTGCATCTTTACCAAGCACCCTGTTGTGTGTTTAATTATACCCCCTCCCCCCAAAAATATATTAAGTCCTAACCCCATAGCTGTGAATGTGACTTATTTGGAAATAGGTTCATTGCAGATGTAATTGAGTTAAAATAAGGTTATACTAGATTAGAGTGGGCCCTAGTCTAATGACTGGTGTTCTTCTAAGATGAGGGAACTGGAGGTACAAAGGAGACACAGAGGAGAATGCCATGTGAAGATACAGAAGACCCAGGGGAGAATCCCATGTGAAGATACAGAAGACACAGGGATCAATGCCATACGAAGATACAGAAGACACAGGGATGAATGCCATATGAAGATACAGAAGACACAGGGATGAATGCCATACAAAGACAGAGGCAGAGACAGGAGAGATGCATCTGCAAGCTAGGAAACACCAAGGATTGCTGGCAACCACTAGATGCTAGGAAGAGGCAAGAAAGGATTTTTCCCCTAGAGCCCTCAAGAGATTGCCGACCTATTGACACCTTAACTTTAAACTCCTAGCCTCCAAAAGAGCCACTTGGCTTGTGGTACTTCTAGTAGGGCAGCACCAGAAACCTGACACACACCCAAGACCTTAAATTTGACTAAATTTAAATCCAGAGTTGATGGTTTACTAACCTAAAATAGTAGTTTAGACCCAGAAACAAGTAAAGGACAAGATTAAGGGTGTTAGAACATCAATGAAATAAGAAGTAATAAACATGGAAAGTTTGAATCAATAAAGTTACATTTCAGCACACCTGAGTTGTGACTCCAACTTTTGAGACAGGAATAAACCAAATCTCTATCTGCATGCTTCTTATGGCAAAAAAGCAGATCTATCAGAGATCTTTGGAAGCAAGCTAACTACATAGGATATAATGATAATAATGACTAAATTTCATTTCATCCGAAGCCTAATGCCTTTAATGTTAGCCATTAATTTTTAAGGGCCAAATACAGAGCCTTCATATTAATTGATAAATTACACTTAGAATAGCTGTTCAGTATTTTTTCCAGAAAAAGATTGTTCAAAGTGTAGTAAGCAGTGTCTAAAATTGTTCTTAATGATTCTCACCTCCTGATATTCACATTTTGTATAACCTCTTCCCTAGATTGTGGGCTGGACAATCTGAGACTGGACTTGCTTCTGAGAAATAGCATATGGGAAACATAATGACATATCAATGCTAAGATGAGGTTATAAAAGACTGTGAGTTCTATCTTGTTCACTCACTCTCTGGCCCTTCTTGCTTGCTCTGATAAATCAAGCTGCCGTGTTGTGAGCTGCTTTATAGAGAGGTCCACATAGCAAGGAACTGAGGGTAGCCAGCAGCCAGCCAGAAACTGAGGCCCTCAGTCCAACAACCTGCAAGGTACTAAACCCTGTTAGGATTTAGTGTAATGTGTTAAGTTTAGAATCGAGTTGTCCATTTGACCTTTGAAATAATAACTGTAGCCTTAGTCAAAATCTTCACTGTATTCTTATGAGATCCTGAGCCAGAGAACTCGAGCTGTGTGTGGATTTCTAACTCACAGAAACTGTGATATAATAAATGTTGTTTTAAGCCACTAAGTTTTGAGGTAATTTATTATGCAGCAATAGATAGCAAATATAAAAGCTATTAAAATGCTTGAGCTTTTTCTCCAAGTTTGGAAATTTACAGAGATACTATATCCATCTTCATCATGAAGCAAACAGGTTAGCTCGCTTTGTTTTGTTTGTTTGTTTGTTTGTTTGGAGACAGAGTCTTGCTCTGTCACCAGGCTGGAGTGCAGTGGCGCAATCTCAGCTCACTGCAACCTCCACCTCCTGGGTTCAAGCGATTCGCCTGCCTCAGCCTCCTCAGTAGCTGGGACTACAGGTGCCTGCCACCATGCCCAGCTAGTTTTTGTATTTTTGGTAGACACAGGTTTCACCATGTTGGCCAGATGGTCTCAATCTCTTGACCTCGTGATCTGCCCACCTCGGCCTCCCAAAGTGCTGGGATTACAGGTGTGAGCCACCATGCCCAGCCAGCTTGCTTTGTTTTAAATGTGTGTAATTTTCATGAATCTCTGCTTAATAACTAGGGCAAACAAATACGGCAAGTTTTGCTCCTTGCTTAATCTATGAACCCAATAGTTTCATGGTGTCTCAGTTAGAGGTCATTCTGTCCAACCCCTGTACTTCTCAAATGATGAAGCTATCGTTGTATTAATAGCTTGCCCAAGTAAGATTGCCAGATTTAGCAAATAAAAATACAGGATTACCAATTAGATTTGAATTTCAGATAATCAATGAATCATTAAAAAATATAAGTATATACCATGTAATATTTGGGACATACTTACCCTAAAACATAATTTGATATTGATTTGAAATTTGAATTTAACTGGTGTCCTGTATTTTATATGGCAACCTTATGCCCAAGGTCAGGCAACCAATTAGTAACAGAATCTGCATTAGCAGCCAGGTGTCTGGTTTCCAGGCCAGTATTCTTCCTCCCACATGACACTGTGATGCTGATGAAAGTGTTGCTTTAGAAACTCATCTTGTGGTTGTGCATGTTTGAAGTTTTAATGTAGTAACCATTACTGAACTGATTTTGAAAGGAGCTCATGGGTCATTAAAGGACAAAAGCGATGTCTTTTATACAATCAATGGGTCTGATTCTGCAAATGACAGTCCAGTCTGAGAGCGTTAATGGAAGGCAGCTGTGGACCCTGATGTTCCTATAATAGTGCGCAGGACTAAATGTTCTTAGTTTCTGACTTGACTGCATTAATATAGTGATTTTAAGTATGCAGGCATATTATGAAAAGGGGCAATTTGTGGGAAGAAAATTGAATCAATTTAAAGGAGCTTTTATATTTATATATTTAACATATGCAGATCTATAAGCATTAATGTAATTATGTGAAATACATAAAAGTACGCAGTAAGCATTAAGAAGCCCTCTGCTAACGTGTACTAAGAGACTTTAAGCCTATGTGTGATTGCTGTCTAATTAGAATTAGTGTTTCTTTGCTGGCATTATTGAACTTAGAATATCTTTAATTGTTTAAGTACATTTACATAGATAATTTACATAATCTGTTCTTGTTGACAATGGGTTTATGTAGAGTATAGTCATTTGAGGATAACAAGTGTGATGATAACATAGAGACTGGTGGAGAAAAAAGAAAAAATTAAAAGCGTCCGGTGATTATGAAGTTCGAATGAATGCAACTCAGATTTTGGGCCTTTGGTCATTCTAGTTCATTTATTCCAGTGCATCAAAAGACCTATAAATGCTTTAAATTTATGGATTAAATAAAACTGATTGTTATTTTCCTGATTGTTATTTTCCTGATATTCCACCAATAAATCTTTAATAATTTTGTTCTCTTGAGGGAAAAATAGCCAAGTAAGGCATGGACAGTAACTTGGAACTCAACTAAATGTTAGGAATCTATTTTTTTATGATGAAGAATTGTATTTGTACTATTTTTGTAATCAAATGCTAGGCTAAGCTCACAGTATTGATTTTGTATATATATATATATATATATATATATATATATATATATATATATATATATGATATTAAGGAAAATCCACAGATGTTAAAATAATTTTCTTGTATTTAATAATAAAGAACGAATAAACAATGCTCTACTTCTAACAAAATGTTTTCACCTACCTCCACAAATCTCCAAAACAACCCTAAAAATAGGCTTAAAGAAAAAATAATGTGCCTAAGGTCACAGTGATAGAGTGTGGCCCAGCCTGATTTCAACATATTTTCTGACTCTAAGCCCACGTCTTTCCACTATGCCACACTGCCTCTAGATTTTGGATACTGTTTCATTGAAAACTGTATTTACCTTGCAAAAGTACGGCCAATCTTGTAAAGAAACCAGGATTTATTTGTCAGGCCCTCTAGAGACTTGTTTTCTGGAATTTAGCATTTAGAACCTCTTGAAGTTTGAAAATGACTTATTTAGAAATACTAAAGAAGGAGGAATGGAAATTCACTTTTTCCATTTAGAATTCTCATGGCTAATCTCATCTTCATTCAGAGTGGCACATCTCTGAATATTTTATCAGAGTTCTTTTGCAGCTGAGTTAAAGCTGTGCCTATGCCACTGCCCTGAGCCAGTCCATAGGATAGGCCCCATAATTTTTCGTTGGCTGGCTGGCTGACCTAAGGCTTTCAGGGCAGATGTGAGGAGTGCTAAGGCGGCTGAGAGAAGGTACAGAATATCCTAGGGGCCAAGAAATGAACCAGAAATTAAAAGGATATGCAATCTAATCTTTGAAGAAAATACAAGCTACAAAAAAATCTTTGAATTATCTGTGTTAGTGTTTGATTGCGTTGGCATGGACAATGGAGTATTGAGTGCATTTTTTTTTGTCTTTGCTGGTAATGCAATACATTATAAATCAATAATCCTATGAGTTTATTTTGCACTCTAAAATCATCATTAGGCTTACTAGAGTTCCTGAACCTTAGTAATTGATTTCACCCTTCAGCATACTGAGCTGAGAAATTCGAGGCATTTGGGCATCAGATTTTTTTTAAATCAAATGTTTTGCAAGTCATGTGGCCTCTCATATCCATGTACCTCAGATGAGTGCAAATCCCTATATAAAATGGAAGTCACAGAAGAAGATGACTACAGTTTTTCTGTTGTAATTCATTTCATCAACATTCTTCCCCTCCGCACTTCTCCCTCCCACCACATGCAAACATTCATGGACATCTTGATACCATTACCTGTTACTCTTCCGAGGAACCTGGGGAACCGTAATCTTAGTGATATCCAAACACCAGTTTTATCAGTCTTTTTGATTCATCTTTTTACTTTCAATTTTTATCATCTTCTAGTTATGTTTGACTCCTGGATTCACAATACAGCCCTGAGGTATCTTTTGTGGACTATTTTTGCATCATTATTTTATTCTGAGCTTGCTGTGCTTAACTTTGCCACTTCTTGATCTATGCTCTTTATATTATGGCAAACTTTTCCCTAGGCTTTGGTAGTTTTGTATAACAGATAATTTTTGAATGTAGTCTAAGATATTTCCACCTAATCAAACAACTGATGAGCACCTTAAAGTTCCTTTGACCACTTGAATAATAACATTTGCTGAGTATTTACTATGTGCAAATGCCATACTGTGTTCAATACTCATCTAGTGATTACAATAGCCATAAGAGTTAAGTATGCATATTATCACTTACAGATGAGGGGAGTAAACTTTTTGTAGACACAAAATGACTTGCCCAAAGTCAACAGAAAGGTACAAGGTAGAGAAGGATTTGATTCCATGACCCTGGATTCAAAGATCATGATCTCTACTGCTGCATTTCAGCACCTGTTCTTTGTCATATTGTCTCTTACTGAGTTTTGAATTCCTATTCAGGTAGTGTATTAGTCCCTTTTCATGCTACTGATAAAGACATAGCCAAGACTGGGAAATTTACAAAAGAAAGAGGTTTAATGGACTTACAGTTCCACATGGTTGGGGAGGCCTCACAATCACGGTGGAAAGCAGGGAGGAGCAAGTCATGTCTTACATGGATGGCAGCAGGCAAAGAAAGAGCTTGTGCAGGTAAACTCTGGTTTTTTAAAACCATCATATCTTGTGAGACTTATTCACTGTCATGAGAACAGCATGGGAAAGACCCACCCCATGATTCAATTATTTCCCATGGGGTACCTCCCACAACACGTGGGAATTATGGGAGCTACAAGATGAGATTTGGGTGGGAACACAGAGCCAAACCATATCAGCTAGGGGCTTTGCCTTCAAACAATACAAAGAATATATCCTTTGTATAATTCAAAATGGCACTCTAGTTATATGTAAAAGACAGTAATTTCAATCTATATTTTTCTGTGTGAGTGTGCATGCAGAAAGAGCGCATATTAATCTGTTTTCATGCTGCTGATAAAGACATACCCAAGTCTGGGCAATTTACAAAAGGAAGAGGTTTAATTGGACTTACAGTGCCACGTGGCTGTGGAAGCCTCACAATCATGGTGGAAGGTAAGGAGGAACTCTTACATGGATGGCAGCAAGCAAAGAGAGAGCTTGTGCAAGAAAACTTCCCCTTATAATAACCATCAGATCTCATGAGATTTACTCACTATCATGAGAACAGCATGGGAAAGACCTGCCCCCATGATTTAATTGCCTGCCACCAGGTCCCTCCCACAACATGTGGGAATTCAAGATGAGATTTGGGTTGGAACAGAGCCAAACCATATCAGATAGTGTCCATAGGAATTTTTTAGATAAGAGTATGCCCTGAGCACACATGTTGGGAATCCACGAATACTGGCTTTGATTCCTTCTGGACACTGTTTAGCCTGCATAGTCATTTCTTGCATCTTCAGCTTACCGGGGTACAGGCTAAATTTTCAAATAGCAGTTCTACTTATATGTATGTATAGGAAATGCAATCTGGTCTTGCTCGAGGGTTTCATTTGAGGAAGAAAGACTACAAAAGGCTAATCAAAGTCCTTCTACTCAAAATTTTCTAGTAGCCCTTGTGCAAGGTGCTTAGGTGCTTTCTCTGGCAAAACCAAAAGTCCCAACCCAAGGCAAGCTAGATGATTTCTAGAAACAATTCATTACTTTTTACAGATTCAGGCCTGAAATGCTTACCAGTAGGCAAAAGGAGGTCAATCAGATTGGAGGTAAGGTAGAGAATAACCGTTTAATAAGAACCAATTAGGCTGGGCGCAGTGGCTTACACCTGTAATCCCAGCACTTTGGGAGGCCGAGGTGAGCAGATCACGAGGTCAAGAGATGGAGACCATTCTGGCTAACATAGTGAAACCCTGTCTGTACTAAAAATACAAAAATTAGCTGAGCATGATGGCATGCATCTGTAGTCCCAGCTACTCAGGGGGCTGAGGCAGAATTGCTTGAACTAGGGAGGTGGAGGTTGCAGTGAGCCAAGATCGTGCCACTGCACTCCAGCCTGGTGACAGAGTGAGACTCTGTCTCAAAAAAAAAAAGGAACCAATTGGCAGTAAGTTTGAATAGCAACTAAAAACATATCCCTTCAAAGTAGAAACTCTAGGTCTGCTATTCTTAGGACTTGCTCTATAGAATAAAGCAACACATACAATTAGGATTAGAATAAGTCTTTATGACGTTTAAAAGACACTGCTCTTTAAAATGTGCAGAGAGGAAAGAGGCATCAAAAGGCGGCTGTGAGGATGACAGGCCTTTCCAGATCTGTCTGAGGAAAGCACGTACTTGGGCCCACAGCCTTTGAGTCCTCCTTAACATCTGTTTTCCTCCCCTACCTAATACCAAGTGCATCAGCGAATCCTGCTAACTCTCTCTTCAAGTATGCCCAGAATCTAACAACTTTTCCCACCATCACAGCTCCTGCCCTGGACAAGGCATCATCATCTCTTGTTACAGATTCTGCCCTTCACATTCTATTCTATTCTTAACACAGTAGCAGCCACAGGGACCCTTGAAAACCTAGGCAAGATCAGCCACTCCTCTCCTCAAAACCCCTGTTTGAGTGGTTTCCCATTTCACTCAAAGTCAGAGTCAAGTTACCTATGAGAGAGTCTCCATCCTGGCTCCCATTAGGTACAATCTCGTGAGCTTTAAAGAAGTATTGATGTAGGGGCCTGGTCCCAGAAACATCAACTTCTTTGGTTTTATAGTTAAGCTCATTGCTATTTGCTGAAAACTCTCTAAGTGATCTGAATGGGAATCCAGGGTTGAGAATCACCACCCATCACAATCTGCTTGCCTTCCCCCTTCTTATCCTTTTATCCATCTTCCCATCCTTCAATACACCCCAGACACACAGGCCACCTGGCACCCCAGCTACTCTCCCACCTCAGTCTTTGCGCTGGCTGATGCTCTCTCTAGTATTCACATGGAGCATGGTGAGCCTCCTTCTGGTCTTTAAAGTGTCGAATACCCTACACAAAGATCCCTAGAAAATTATGAGCAGAAGAATCTTGATTAGCCTCTTGTAATGTTTCCTTCTGAATCAAACTCCCCAAGCTAGATTAGATTGCATTTCCTTCACAAATGAGTAGATCTGTGATATGATAATTTAGCCTTCACCCTGGTGAGCTGAGGCTGCAAAATAAATAGTTGTACAGTCCAAACTACTGTCGAGAGGAATTGGAGCTAGCATTGATGGATTTTCCGCATACATGCTCAGAGCACCTTCTTATCTAACAAGTCTTCCACAAACATATGCCTGTAACCTTACATACACAGGAGAGATATGTACTGGGAGATCCTGACCAGATAACTTCTAAAGTCTCTTATGGTACAGGTATTCTATAATTCTATTGTTAAATATTAATAGTAACACAGAATTATAAATATTAATGATGTGAAAAAAGACACCAGGACTAGATTGGGGGTTTTAGTCCCTCCCTTTTCCACAATTCATCAGCTACCTCCAAATTATCATAAATAACTACACAGTTTAAGTAGGCCCCTTGGAAAAGTACCCTTTGGACAAGATACATTTTAAGCCTGATTACTCATTTATATTTTAGTATATATCAGTTTTCAAGCATGTTTGGTACCTAACGGAAGCTCAACAAGCATTTGGATTATGAGTAAATTGATGGGTGACTTCATGAGTATTTTCTATGGGGAAGATGTTGGCTCCACACTCTGAGAGTGAGTTAAGTTATATTCAAGAAGACATCTAGAAGAGTGACCTGACTGTAAGAGAGTAAACTGGAGGATGGCCACGTGCCCAAAGATGAGGCTAGTGTTCCTGCACATTGAGGACTCAAAGTCTCCTGGCCTCACCCTCCAGAATATATCCCATGGGTGGAGCACCACCCATATCCCAGGTCTGCACCTTCTAGGTAAGCTCTTGGGAATGGCTGTACTGAATAAATCCATCTGTTAGCTTAGGGTCACATGGTGTATTCATGTTTTTAAAAACATTCTTTTAAAAGTGCAAATACACCTGGGAAAAGATATACTTTAAGCCTGATTACTCATTTGTATTTTAGTATATGTAAGTTTTCAAGCATGTTTGGTACCTAATGGAAGCTCAACAAGCATTTGGAGTATGAGTAAATTGATGAGTGACTTCATGAGTATTTTCTATGGGAAAGATGTTGGCCCCACACTCTGAGAGTGAGTTAAGTTATATTCAAGAAGACATCTAGAAGAGTGACCTTACTGTAGAGAGTAACCTGGACGATGGCCACATGCTGAAAGGTGAGGAAGGAGCCTTAGTCAATGATACAGAGACTTCATCATCTCCTGTGTCAAGGACACAGCAGCTGAGACTGCCAGCTTTGTGTATGTGGATGAATTCATGTATAGGTGATTTCAGAAGAACCCACAAAAGAAATTGCCTTTAAATATCTGGCAAACCTGGAGAGGACCAATACCAGCTCAGAAGAGTATCAGTCAAACATGGTCTTTTTGCAACCTCCTATTTTCTTTCTAGGTTTTCCAATTTAAGCTGGTGGGGGAGAAATAGAAGCACAAAGAGCAAGAGAAAAACCCAGTTGCTCTTCTCTGACTGTATGTTCCCCTCCTACTCCAGGTCTCAGCTGTGGGGAGGGAGAAGCTTTAATTCAAGTTTGAACTTTTGATTTATTATGGATATAAAATGTTTTGTGATTTAAAGTGACCCTAGGACTTTTTATTACCTAAGAGTATGCAGAAAAAGTAATAGAGACTACCCATGTTTTCATTTGGAGGCAATGGAAATACTAGCCCAACAGAATAAATTTCAAGAGATAGTGGGAGAGAAAATGAAGTTGTTTATGAGTCTATCCCGTGAGTCATGCTTGTTACGTATGTCTACTTCACAATTCTGCTCTGATTAGTATATCGATTCTCATGTCAGCCTGAAAATATTTCTGTAGCAAGCCAAGCACATTTTTAGTTGGTGAAGACATTTCTCACAATGTTATATTTTAATCAGCATGGAATTATTAAACTGAGTTAATTTTTTTAAGACAAGTTCTCACTCTGTCACCCAGGCTGGAGTGCAGTGGTGTGAACATGGCTTACTGTAGCTTCAACCTCCCCAGGCTCATGTGATTCTCCTACCTCAGCCTCCCTAGTAGCAGGGACTATAGGTACATACCACCATACTCAGCTATGTTTTTGGTATTTTTTGTAGAGACAGGATTTCGCCATGTTACCCAGGCTGGTCTTGAACTCCTGGATTCAAGGGATCTACCTGCCGTGGCCTCCCAAAGTGCTGGGATTACGGGCATGGGCCACTGTGCCAGGCCTAAACTGTGTTAATTTTTTTTTTTTTTTTTTTTGGTTTTTGAAACGAGAGCGTGTTAAGGAAGTCTTTGTTTGGAATCACTGAAGGATTGGAGTAAATCCACTTCCTGCTGTAAGACAGTTCCATCAGTACCAGACTCAAAGCTCCCTTTCTGAAATCTCAGTCACACAACGAATACTTCATGCTGATTTGACCGTGGAGATTACCAGTTGTAAAGGGACTAACGAGCTGTTTTTAATGGAACATGTTTTTTCTTGACAGTGCTATGAGACAGCCAAGTAAAAAGGGATCCCCAGAGAACCTCCAAGGGGCCTATGCACTGGGAGGATGGGGTGGGCTTCAGGAAGTTCACACCCTTTGCAGGGGGTAGGAGCCTGACCTCTCCTGTTCCTGAGTGGTATCTGGAATTCAATCAGTGAGAAGGGGACCTGTTAACAGGAATCCTTCTTGCTTTGCTGTTTTTTTTCTTTTTCATCCAATAAATTCAATTTTTCTCACCCATTTATGTGTCTCCAAGCCTAATCTTTCCTGGTTGTGTGACAAGAACCCGGTTTTTAGCTGAACTGAGGAGAAAGTCCTATAACAGCTCTACCATGTAATAGACAAAATTGAGACTATCTAATGAAAAGTGAGAGTTGCATTGTTCTGAAGTTAATTGTTCTCTATAATTTAGGGCAACACAACTTTCCATTTGTCTATAACAGAGACACAATTTCAGTCCCTAATAAATGTCATCAAGTCTGACAAAATGGCCTCTTCTCGATGACATGGCTTCCGTCTTCCCAAAGAATCTTGGTGTATTGAGACCTGCAGCCTTGTAACTGGAAGATAAGAGCTGTTTTGTGTTTCTTTTCTTTCTTCAGACAGCAGCCAGACATGGCGCTCTGCACACAATAGGTGTCAAAGAATGCTATTGACAGAATGTCTGGGTGTTTCAGTCATTTGGAATGCATATCACTACCTATTGTTCATATTTGAAGCACAAACAGCATTAATACTGATGGCCTGTGGCTTCTGAATTCTTTTCACAGCTCTCTCTTCATTTAGTCTAATTACTGTAATGGGCAGAGCACCCCTTCCGTTTTGACAGTTAAGATGAAGGAAATTGAAAATTCGAAAAGACCATAAAGGACAGACTCTCAAGAAAAGAATCCATTAAAGTCAGTTAAAAGTTATCTCAAATCCTCAGCATCCAATGTCTCTTACTTAAAATTTCCCATTTTGTTAAAGCATAAATGAAGTGGCTCCTTTTTTTCCCCTGCCTGAAGATCACAAAAACCATTTCGCTTTGGAAATGAGTCCTCTACTTTTGTGTGTAAGTGTACTTAAAATTTTATATAGGTATGAATAAGAACAGCCAATCTTACCCTTTGTCATTTCCGGAAGTGAATTTTCTCCTTGCATCCTCTGAAAGGGTTAATAGAGAAAGGGCATATGAAGAGCTGGTAAGTGGGGCTGTTTATCCGTCTGCTGTAAGATTAATAACACGCTACACAATTCTCAGTTATTGTATTTATGAGCAAAAATAGCCTTGGGCAAAACTGAGAAAGTTGTCTTTGCTATCAACAAACTTTTATTTTCTTTATCTCCTTTGCCAATCTCCTTCTCAAACTTCTAGAACTTAGTGCCCAATCTTTCTGCTGCCCCTTAGACGCCCAAGCCCAAACCCACACCTAGGCCTATGCTTCAATATTCCCTCCAGGGAAGCTTTGTGCCAGACTCTTCTTGACTCCTTTCTCTTTTTTCTAACTTGCTCTCCTCCCAGGCTTTGCTTGATATTTGGCTAACAAATGTGATCAGCTCCTCCGTTTAAGGTAGCAATGACCAGTTATTATTTAATGTGTTACAGAAGTGTTGCATCATATGCACATTTAACTTAAATAAATCAAGCATGAGCACAGGGTTTGGGGGCTGAGAAAGATGACAGAAAGAAGAGGAATTAAATAGTGAGAGAGTCACAGGTTTTCCATTGCATTAGTCAACCCAGGCTGTAACAAAATACCATAGACTGTGTGGCTTAAGCAACAGAAATTCATTCTCCTGCTGTTCTGGAGACTGAAGGTCTGAGATCAGGTTGGCACCATGGTTGGGTTCTGGTGAGGGCTCCCTTGGTAGCTTGCAGACAGCTACCTTCTCACTGTCTCCTCACATGGCAGAAAGATAGAGCTGTATCTCTTCTTCTTTCATATAAGGCTACCAATCTTATTGTATTAGGGCTCTACCCTTATGACCTCATTTAACTGTAATTTCCTCCTAAGAACCTGTCTCCAAAAACAGAGCTTCAACATGAATCTGGGTGTCGGGGTGGCACAATTCAGTCCATAGCACTTATTCACTCCATCTGCGAATGACCAGGAATAACCAAGATGGCAGATGGAAGTCTGCTTTTCCTTGGTCTGTCTTAGTTTCTGCTTTCATTGTGTAAGTGTTTTGTTGAGCTGAGTTTGATAAAATGTAAACCCATGTAAATTTTCTACAGTATGGCTAACTACTTTATCTGATGATCAGATAAGAAATAATTCTCTGTTCCAATAATGCTAGGGAAGAAAAAATCCTGATTTGTTGAGAAATGGCATTTGTGGGTGTTTTTCTTCATGGGTAATTTAAGGAACTTTCAAAGGTAATTTTATGTGTGTGTGATTTTTTCACCTAAGGAATTACTTTTAGGACTTCATTATACTTTTGGATTTTAATAGGTTCAAATATTATAACCCAAGGTCATGAGTAGCTTAGGGATTAGGGGGCACTTATTAGGGTATATTTGGGGTAAGGAGACCAAGGGAAACTTTAAAAGTATGCATAGGTGATGTTCTACTCTGACTATATGTAATAATAAAAAAGAATTAATTTTTATATATGATTCTGTGATGGTAATAAAATAACCCTCACAAAAAAATAACATGAAGTACGAAACTCCAGATGGCTTGTTTAATTCAGGGGAATATTTATCAGTATGATGCAGGAATGGTTGGTCAATGAGTTCTATACAGGGGGAGAGACATTTTCAGATGTGCTTCCCTAGAAACTTCTCTCTTATTGAAAGCTGAATTTACAAAGAGATAATTGCCTGATAGGGAGCAGTTGCAGAACAACTTATTTAACATTTACTTTTTCAGGAGATATTTGAGTGCTGACTATGTGCCAACAACAAAAAGCCCATTGCATTCATACAATTACCTTGCTTTAGAGATAACACCCCTTTACTCTTTTACAAACATCATTTCACACAGGCAGGAATCATAAGCCTCATTTTGAATTTGGGGACTTGGAGGTGCAAAAGGGCTTATTTTCAAAGATGAAAATACCAACAGAGTATCCTCTGCATGTCTCGTTTTAAAATCCTGAGATAATCTGCTTGGCCAATGAAGATACTGCCTTGTGTCTGATCATACTCCAGATTTGGTCAGCTATGACTGGGAGGCAGGAGAGGAGTAGAAATATGATTGCGGATGTGGACTGCAGCTATTCCTAGAAGGAGGAATGCACAGTTAGTACAAAACATAACCAGTACACTCACCAGCAAGGCAAAGTAGAGAAATATTTTTCAGCCACTCAGCTAAAAGAAATAAAACCTGTACTTCAAAAAGTAGGTTTCTGACAGTGGCAGGAAAATTTTTAATTAACATCAGAGTTATTTAACATTTTCATAACTAAAACTACCCTTGACCATTTTTTGTCCTCTTTTGCATGGAAAGACAGAGACGTTACTACATGTATTTTTGGCTGTTTCAAATCCATTAAGTA
This sequence comes from Homo sapiens, assembly GCF_000001405.40. NCBI lineage: Eukaryota > Metazoa > Chordata > Mammalia > Primates > Hominidae > Homo > Homo sapiens. Next base: position 153,136,766 of record NC_000002.12, read on the forward strand.
CAGGTCTCCAAAATAGGGAGGATGTGTGGGTTATTTTATTGTTGTTATTGTTTTACCCCTTATTTACACTATGGTGTTTGCACCACACACACACACACACACACACACTTACATCTGTGTTCTAGAACAGTGAGGAATGAGCAGTGGGCTCCCCAAACACAGCTCCATCTGCCTGTCCTGAGGATGTTGCTGTCAGGTAAGGCCCTCTCCCGAGGTGAATAATTATCTCACTGCTAATGTGTTAGGAGAAGGAAAAGTCCTAAAAAAACTACTGGGCAAGGAAATTTCCAAGAAAAGAATCTAAAATGGATCTGGATGTGTTTATTTTATTCCCAGTCATACAAGCAAAATAATTGCAGGGATGGAAGAAAAAGATGAAAAAGGTAAATAAAGTTCAAAATTTTAGGCTAAAAATTGGGCCACGTTTTTGAAAAGGAATTATTGGTAAAGAACAAAGAGAAAGTAGGGAGCAATAGAATAACTCACTTTGATCTTAAGTTTCAAAAAAGCAACTTGATATTTCTTATATGCCCAGCTATGGGTTTGACAGATAGCTTTATGAAAGCGCCCCAGGAAGGCAAGTATATCTGGAAAGCTAATGGCAATGTGGTCGGACCTTTGAGCTTAAGGATCTATCTTGATTAATTCATTACTCCAGGTCTGTCCTCAAGTGAACCTGAACCTGAACCTGGTACACGAAACCACTCCTTTCTAGAGGAACTATGTTATAATTACTTGTCAAAACAAAACATTCAAAACTATAGACTTGGAATTCAATTGGGTTTGGGATCCATCTCTGATCATACCTCCTAAAGCCTATTGTACCTGGATAAATTATTTTTCTAGTCCTGAAACTCATTTTCCAAACAGTGAAAATTACTTTATTCGATAAGTATTGTTGAGATGATTAAATGAGATAATACATGTTATGTACTGACTAGTATATGATGGAGCCTCAAAAAAAAAAAAAAAAGAGTTTCTATTACTGTAACCTACTTGTCTTTTTCTAGGGTAACCAACCATCTGGGTTTGCACTAAAAGCCCTGGACTCTGTAGGTTGTAACACTGAAAGTCCCATGTCCTGGGAACCTCTCAGTTCTGGGCAAACTGGGATGGTGGTTGCCCTAATCATTCATCTTTTGGGAAACTGCCTCTTCAACCAAACCTCCTTGATTCCAATGCGTACTTCATGTACTCCTTATTCTCTGTGGTGCTTCCTACCATGTTAATTTAAGAGACCCTCACACAGTGCTTAGTATGTGCCAGACTCTGTTTTCAGCTTTTTCAAATATTTGCTTATTTAATCTTCATAAAAACTCTCTAAGGAGGTACTTTTATCATCCCTATTTACAGATGAGGAAACTGAGGGAGAAATTGCAGAAGGTCCCACAGCTATAGAGGGGAGGAGCTGGAATTCAAACTTTCAGATTCTGATTCTGGAGTCCATGCTGTTAACCACTAGCCTTATGCTGACTGTGAAGAGTATGTCTATTCTAATCTGTAGTATCTGGAATCAACATGAGAATTCCATTTTTAGCTCTTTCACTGATTTAAAACTTCACTTTATACCTCCGAGTTTGCAGAGACATAACCTGAGGCAAATACTTAAACAGGATATTCAGGGCTTGCAGAATTGTGGGGGAAACGACCCTATAAAAGGCAGGACAGTAATATTGTCAGATGATATGCAAGACCAAGTTTTCCATTGTCTTTCAGATCCCTGGTTTTTACTTTTATTCTCTTAAACAATATCATCGATGTTTTTATTTAGAATGAGCTGGCTCCTTTGAAAGAGGGTAAAAGAGAGATTTGATAGAAGAAAACACCAAAAGCATCTAATCAAGTCAACTATTTTGACTGTGGATTTGGGTAGCCATATAAAAATAGTTAGCATCATCTAGATTTTAAATGTTATCTATGTTGTATTTTGAATTAAGTACTCATTTTTACTTGAAATATCTTCTTCTCCCTTGCACCCTGACACTTCTCACCCCAAGCACACATTCACACAGCTTTCGCAATCTCTTGACTACTGGCAAGTGGTTCTGCTAAAACCTTGATTAACAGTTACATGATTTTGCCACAATAGCCTGAGGCTCTTTAATATGAATAGTGGTGCAGGTGGGTTGAGTATGTGCTCAAAGATCCCTCAATCTTCTCTTTGCATATCCAATTTACCACTTTTCCTGGAAATATTTGAGGATATGGAAATTTTCTGCCTGTCCCCTTTCACTGATGCATTTAGAATTCATAAATGCTTTATTCCAAGACTTTTTTCTTTAAGTCACAAATTTAAATTCAACAGAAGGCATGTGACATCATTTCATGTTATTTCATATGTTTTGATAGCAGTCAACATGAGATTTCTGAAGGGTAAGGTACTATTTTGGGTACTTTCTGAAATAAAATGGTGGTACTCAAGATTATTCTAGAGCCGTTTCACACAGCACATTCTGTTAGCCCCTAGAATATAAACCAGAACTTGCCTCTCACAGACATGCTACCTAAGAATATCTTCATGATTGGCTTTTAAATCCATTTTAGGAGTCTTTGAGCTCCTGATTTATGCAAGACATAGTGCTCAAATGTCCTTTTTTGAATGTTAAGTTTCAGAAGATGAGGTCCCTGACTTTAAGTTGTGTCCAGAGGGATACAAAGTAGAGCATGATAAGATTTATAATGGAAGTGCACAGAGCTCTGGAAAGGCAGAAAAAGAAGAGATTGCCTACGATGGGGCGAGGGAGAGGGAAAAGATTGGCTGGGGCATCTTAGAAGAGATGGCATCTGAGCACACCCTTGAGGGATAACTAAGATATGAACAGATGGAGATGGGTAAGAAGGACAGTTCAAGCTCAGAGGACAACAAAAGCAAAGGCATATTAGGCAAAAGACAAAGTAGGAAATGGCAAGGCTTCTCAGGAGGAGGACAGGTCATGCCACGTGTCTGGCACAGAGGGATATCAATGCTGTACTGCCAGGGAGAGGGGGGATAATCAGGTATAATGCCAGGAGGTCTTGGCATGCTTTTAGTGTGGATTTGTTTTATGCGTGAAGGGAGTAATTGCTTGAGTAATGTATTTGAGATTATTGAATATAATAAAGGATACAGAATGTTGCTCCATAGTTAACTATAATGACTATCATCTTTAGTTTGGGAAGCTCTCATAAATAGGAGTGACCAGATCATGTTTAGAAGAGGTTCTTAGCTATTTATTTTCCTCCACTTACAAACTTCTTTATTCTCCCACCAGCCCTTAAAAGCAATAGGGTGGAAAAGTGAGCAGAGAGGACATCAGGTCTGGCATTTGATGATGTGGTAATCTTACCATCCATTCCTTAAGATTTGTTACGCCAGATTTGAAGTAAACAATACAACCAAAAACTATTTATCACGGAAGGAAATGATAATAGTCATTAACATTACAGCTAATATTTTTTGAGCACATAATGTATGCCAAGCACTATTCCAGGTCCTTCACAATGTTATTTCATTTCCCATTCCCACGAGAACCCGATAAGTTAACTGGCCTGGAAGGTGGAATTGGCAGAGACTTCACAGAGGAGTCAGGTCTTGAGATGACCTTGGAGAAAGGAAGGATTCCAAAGGTTGTATACAACAAAGGACAGGTTGTCTTTATAGAGAAAATGTGAGCAAATGAATGCATATAAATGTATTTTCATAAAAGGTGAAGAAACTGAAACAGGGAAAGGTTAATAATTTAACTAAAGTCCAGGATTCAAATTGAGCAGGACTAACTCTGAGATTTGAATCTTTAATCTTATGGCTTGAGTCTAGGTTGTAGGACCCCAGAATCTATGTCTGTTAATCCCTGTTTTACAGTGCTCTCCAAGTTGAAAAACTCAGAGTTTTACAAATGTTAATATAATGAGTGCCTTTTATGTAAAACATATGTTAACCACCACAAGGAACTTTGCCCTCAAGTAACTTTTCTCTTACCAAGGGAAGCTGAATACCCAACTAAGATGCACTTCTTCATTTTTGCATTTTCATTGAATTCACCGAAAGAAAACAGAAAGGGAATAGCATTCATTGAATACCTAAGGTGGATATGAATTAATGCTTCATATACATAATTGTTTAAAATGGCCTGAAATATAATTTACCAATTTAAAGTGTTTAATTCAACACCTTTCAGTATTTTTACAGAGTTGTGCAATCATCCCCATGATCTGATTTTGGAAAATTTCATCAGCTCCCCCAAAAATCCATACTCATAAGCAGTTGCTGTCCATTCTACCACTCTGTCCATCCCCTGTCAAAGAGAACCATTAATCTTTCTGTATCTGTAGATTTGTTTATTCTTGACATTTCATATGTAAAATCAGGAAATATGTGGTCTTTTGTGACTGGCTTTTTCCACCTGGAAGAGCATAATGTTTTCTAGATTCATCCCTGTTGTAGCAGATAGCAGTTTTTTATTTTCTTTTTAAATTGCTGAATAATATTCCATAGTATGGATATATGGCCACTTGTGTTGGAGTGACATCTGGGTTCCACAAGCAGGATGCTGGGCTGGGGCAGCCACCACTGGCCTTCTCAACTTGTCTGTCCTTGTGTGGAACCTCTGCCCTATGAATGAGCAGAGATAAGGGTGGGCTAGGCCTAAGATTAAAGGCCTATAAGCTTAGGTAGAGCTTCCACCCCGTGAGTTGGGGCAGGGTAGAGGAAGAGGCCTCCAGACTTCTCAGCTGTTTTTGTCTAGTATTAAAACCTCTGCAATACAGATGGTGGATAGTGAGGTGGGGAGATGCTGCAGTTCTCAACTGGGAGCTGGGAGAAGACAGAGCCCTGTGTTCTTGGTTCTACCTACCTGGAGTGGAGCTTCATCATGCAGAGCTGGGTGTGGTGAGGAAGAGACTTTTGCTGCCACAGTCTCTTGCTGTTTGGTAGGTTGAAGGTGTGTTTTCTTTTTCTTCCCACTAGTTACGACTGTTTTGCTGGGAGAGGGTCTCAGAGCTCCCCATACCATCATTATAGAAGTCATCTAGCTATGCATTTAATCTTTACAATTTTTAAGCCTATTTTCTCTGTTAATCATTAGAACAACCTAAGAGTAAGGTAGTAAACATCAGAGCCAGGGTTTGAATCAGACATTTGAATAGTATCTTATTGTGGTACATGCTTAGTAACATGTCCTCAATAAATTAATGAACCAAAAATATCAAGCAATACAATTTAGGAACGAATAAGCTTCCAGATGATGGATAGTAATAATAAAGGCTACTGTGGTTGGGTTGAGAGAGACATCATGAAGCGTTATTTTTGCTATGATGGGAAAAATGTAATTTCTCACGAACTGCTGAATTCTTTGTACCTAAACTATCGGTCTTTATGACCAAAATACACTGTACAGCCAGTTCATCAATTCTGCCATAGTAGTGGTGCTTAATTCATTGTGAGAGATTATGCATTTGGTGACTTCACATACAGAGCAAAACCCCTGGAGGGGAAGTGGCTACTTAATGTTAACACTGCTGGAATTCTGGCACCTTGGGGCATGTTTGGGAAAGCCGCAGGGAGTTTTATTTGCCCAGTGCCCAGTGGGATTGCTGGAAGTAATTGAAGATGATAAACACATGGAGGAAGGTAGAGAAAAAGAGCAATTTCTAAACATATCAAGTAATGTCCTAATGAGCAGAGAGCTTACCTTGGAATGATAAAAGGTTTAAATGGTCAGGCTCAGTTCAGGAAAACAGGCTGATGATTTAGGATGTTCTACTGTGGTATAACGTATATTATCTTTTAGCCCAATACCTGGGAATAATATGTCCCAATTTTAGAAAAATGAGAGAATGAGCGTGAGAGAGAGAAAGTGAGACCGAGAGCAAGAGCAAGAGAGAGAGAGAGATCGATAAATGAAATGGAGGTTTGTAGGCCTAGGGATATTGTAAGCTTTCTTTGCCTTTATTGTGGTGTTATGTATGGAAATGGGAAGATTGACAAGAAGTCCTATGAAAAATTAGTGAAGTTAGCCTGACAAGGGCCAATTCCCAAAGCTTTGTCTTGTTGAGCTCATGTTAGGAGATATGAAATCAAAAGCAGAAAACGGTAGGTGGGAGGTATTCTAGAGGCCCACTTAGAACTGGAAGGAATGATGTTAACATGGTGGGTCCTTGTAATTATGCAGTTTTGCAGGCTGTGGAGCAGTAGCTCAGACAGGGGTTCAACTTCCCAAGGAGAATATACTGCCAGTTGGTGAAAAGGAGAAGAGATAATGGGCAATGAAGAGAAGCTTCAAAGGTGTGAATGGAGAGGTAATCCCAGCAATGATAAAGGAAATCATTGGTGCCTGAAAAAGTGTGCAAGTGATCCCAGAACCACACCAACAAGGAAGGTACCTGGACAGCTGGCATTTTTAGGCTACTTCTGGTGCAGGCTCCCAGCCCAAGACTCTTGTTATCATCGCTCCACTCATTAACGATATGTCAAGCATAAGGCAGGTCGAATGTACATGTCTCTAATGGTAATTTCTCTTTTGCAAAATGACTAAAATTGGGAAACTTTTTTTAAAAAGGAAAAAATATACACCCTAATTTCTGTGCTTTTGTTTATGCCTCCTTCTATCCTTTCTTTTGCAAGAACTCTCTGGCTCATGCCCATTAATACCTGATGCCAGATACTAGGGTCCATGATTGTAATTTCATCCTGCCTGTTTCCTTCCAGAGCAGTTAATCTTTCTCTTTGAGCTATAATAACTGTGGTGCTGTAGTCTCAGAGCAGTGAAACCTAGTTAGACCTGGGCATGAAAATACTGCCTGCATTGAATTGAAACCTTGAAAAGTAGCCATAGTCCTTTCAGCTTCATTCATCTTGCAAAGCAAGTAGCAAAGTCTGCCAGATGGAAATAGTTTAATTTGGTAGATGGAAACATTTTTAAGACTTGTGGACTATATTACAAATGTTACTAGTTGAAGTCTCTTGCACAACTTAGAATTGTTTTCTCCTGTGCTGTATCATTTAGAAAGCCCAAAAGATTACTTTAAAAAACGGAGTGAAACAGAAAATCTGCCCCAGACAACTCTTGCAAAGTTTGCTGATATTATTTAGACATCAAACACTTTGTTATCAACTCTACTGGCTTAAAAGCTTTTCAAGTATTTTTTTCTGCCCTCAGCGTATCTTTAAATGACAGGCATAGATGTTTGCCTTCATTTCTTAGCATCCTCACCCTAGGCATTCATTGTCTAAGCACTGGAGTTTCGGTCATCACATGAATGCGTACGAAATACGCAGCCAAGTCCACTGTCCTTTGCCACCTCTAGCTCTCATGGGTCATTGGATAATTGGATATTTGAAAAGCACCTTGAAATAAGGGCTATAAATAATTCTTTTCTCCATTTTTAGAAAGCTCCATGGAAAGAAGGGTCATTGGAAAAATCCTTGGATCACCCTGCATGAAAGACTGGTGTTTATTTGCCTTGAAGTAATTCAGAGAGAAGGGAATATGGTGCAATGGAAGCAGGTCCTGAAGGAAAGGAGAATGGAGATCTAGTATTGGTTCTGCTACTAATTAGCTGTGTAAGCTCAGGAAATTCCCTTCACCTCAGGAGCCTGGATATGTAGAACAAGAAAGTTGAACTTGATAATCTCTAAGATGCTTTTTGAATATTCTGCAAACACTTTACTCCTATGCAACCTTCTTAAGTCTTCTTGGGCTCTAAATAATGTGTCCTAATTTGTCATTAGGTAAGTGGCTCCTCTGATTCTGTAGAGAACTCCAGAAGTGTATTTGAGCACTGGAACACTCAAGTTATCCATAATAGAAGAGAAGTAAGTCTGGTATGCCAAGATAGGAGGAAGAAAGAATAATTGGTTCTCAGGAAGTGACTGGCATAATCATCATACACAATTTAAGATACAAACTCATGGTCTGCTCTTGGATACGAAACAATCCTCTCCTACAAAGCCTACTGATAATAGAAGACTAGAAGAGGAAAATGTTCATGTCTGGGGAAAAGCAGTAATTAAGGCAATGGGCTCTGAAGTCTGACAGATCTGAGTGTGGGACTCAAAGTTACCAGTTTCTTGCCGAGTTAAGAAAACTCGGGAAGTTTTCTTAACCTCTCTGATCTTCACTTGCTTATAAGAGGGGTTATATTAGAAATTATATGCATGATTTTTCTAATACAATTATCAAAAAATGATATAAAGTATGCTTATCATAATGTCTGACAAATAGTGCATAATATGTACTAGCCATTATTCTTATAATTAATGATAGTCACTAGATGATAAAACTAATGTTTACTTTATAAATTACTCAATAAATACTTGCTATATATTTAGCACACTGTAGATATGAAGAAGTGAAAGGCATGGTTTTATTCCTCAAAACTTAAAATCCTATCTATGAAAAAATTTGTCATCTATTATGGTGCTGAGCATATATATAAGTGTATGGATTGGTGACTTTCAGTTTCTTACATAGCAATTTGAAAGGTAGGATGCAATAGTTCATATATTTGGTCGTTAGAACAAAATAGAACAAAGCAAAATTTCCCAATTACCTACTAATTTTAGCCAAACATCTATGAATACTATAATGCCGAAAAAGAAGTTTAAAAATTGTATTAATTCTGAAAACATGTATAGCCATGTACATTTTAATCACATTAACAAACTTACCAGAAATGGTCTAGTTTAAAAAATATACCTAGTTGGATTTCATTTCAAAGGTTGCTGATTATATAATAATAATCCTGAAAGTTGAAGCCTTGAAAAATTAAGCCAAATTCTAAAAATACTTCTTAATTGGATCATTTTGGAACCCCAGGTCTTTGATTCACATATAATTTTGGCATTGGGTTTTCAGAGTGTGTGACTATCAGGCACCTGGCAGAGATGGATTAGGTCCAAGTCCAACCAGATGCTTGGTGGCAGATGGCTCCCAGTGCAGTTACTCTAAACTTGGAATGTGTAAAAAGTTAAATGCTCAGAGGCTGAAACCTAATCCATTATGGGCATATGTGCTCTGAGTTTGGGGAAATCTGTGGCCATGAAGGATAGTATTGTATACATAATAGTGAATGAGGATCCATGGACTAGCATGACCTCGAACTATTAAAATCTATCTCTCTAGGTGATTCCCAGGATCAGATTTCTGGAACTCAACATAATAAACATAGCAGGAAGGAGCCACACTCATCATGTTCCAACTATTTTTTATGGCCCAGAGGAGAATGTGAGGTGTATTTAGCTTCATGTCTTGGGAAACTCACTGGGTTTCTGAGATGAAGGGAATTTCCTGAGCTTACAGAGTGAATTAGTAGCAGAGCCAATATTAGATCTTCCTTCTTTTCTCCATCAGGACCTATGTCCATTGCACCATGCTTCCTCTCCCTGAATTTACTCCAAGGCAAACAAACACCAGTCTTTTATGGAGGGTTTTTTTTTTTTTTCCAATGACCCTTCTTCCCATGAAGTTTTCTAAAAATGGAGAGTAGGATCAGATCCTGGGACCCAAGCCTGTAGGTGATTTCCCAGAACAACACAGCATTATTCTTGGGTTCTCTGAAGACATAATTCAGTCAATTCCTATTCAGTTTATTTGCCAAGTTCCTTACATCCAGCTTTAATCTAACTATTTCTTCCCAGCCCAATGAGCCAGATTTCCCATTTATTCTGGGTTGGAGAAAACCTTGTCCTAAGAGCCCCGAAAGTCATGGAGGAAAACACTATCTCCCAAAATAAAGAAACTCTAACTGACTGTAATTATAGCTGCCATTGCACTCAATGATAGGCACAGGTTCCCAGACATTCCTCATGACTGCAGGGTACATTACAGAAATGTGCTCACTGACCAGGATGCTTGACTCAGGCATCTGTTCTTTCTGTCCCCTGAGATTCAAGTCAGCCAGTCTTCTTGAATCAGAGAGGCTTGTATCAGGGTTTCCTTCAGCTAGATGTTTCAAATACACAAAGATTCTGGTAGAAAAGACACTACTAAAGCTAGAGAAAGATACTTGAGCCTAGATGGCCAGTCCACAGATATTCATAGAATATTTATTGTGTAGTAAGCATAGTGCCATGTGCTGGTCATATAACTATTTGCTCATGGGATTTATACTTCAGCGGACAGGTCCTCTCCCAGGGTTTTTCCTGTGCACTTTTATCTAATTGTCTCCATCTGATATCTGCAATGAACTTGATCAACTCTCCTTTCTTATTTATATTCCTTACTATTTTCACTTTATTCCAGAAGCCAGGTAGCAGAATATAGTAGAAAACCATTAATTCATGGCTGAGCTACTCTGAAGAATAGGTTAGTAGTATCTCATTTTATAGGTGAGGAACTGAGTTTCGCGGAGGAGAAATGAGTTTCCCAGCACGTGCAGCTAAATAGACCCCCATTCCCATTTGGGCAAAAAAGAAAAAAAAAGAGTTGATACATTATATGGGTAGCTTCTTCCTGCTGTGCTTATTTTCTTAGGTTCACGCTCTGATCCTGCTGGAGCCCTATGTACAGGTAAATGACAAGTGCGGTGAGAATGTGGCTAGAATTGTCTAGAAACTTTTGTGCTCAGAGTGGTCAGGGGCAGCCGGGACAAAAATCTGTTCAAGATTCAAATTCAAAGTTTCTTCTTAGCAACTAAAACAGCAAAGTTAAGGATTCCTGCTTTACCTTGTTTCTCTCTTCTTGTTTGGATGAGTATAAGGATGCTCTAAAGGAGGCAAACAGTAGTGAGGAGGAGTATCGACAATTTCTGGTGATTTGTCACCTCGCATTCTCTTCAGGAGTTCAGGAAGCATTAGACTTTTTTTTTTTTTTTTTGCCACTTCCCTAGAAGTTTTGAAATCGGTTACAGTAATTAGAACCAACTCCTAGAGATGGTTACAGTGATCCAGCAAAGTCACCTTATATAAGGCAACATTTAAGTGTGGGGTGGTTTTAGAAATTTGGGAAACTAAAGACAATGGATTTATAGGGAAATTTGGATACAATTTGATTGCCCTTGTTTGGTTGAAAACTGGGTCCTTGAGTCATCTTATAATGGCTCAGCTACCCTGGAGCATTGGGCATTCATTAGTTGGTCTGCAAAATGTTTTGGAGTTTTCTTCCTAGTTGAGGATATAAAAGGGAGAAGGATGATCACAGTAACAGTAGCTGGGAGCTCAATGCTGTAAGTACTGGAGGACCCAAGATCCATTGTAGAACCTAGACATGCTTGAGTCGGAATTGTCTCTGAGTTACGGCAAAACAAGAGTAAACGTATAAGAACTACATCTAGTGGATAGATTCCTATTTTCTAAGATAATATTTCAACAGTTTTGTCTTGACTAAGGTTGATATATGCACAAGCACATTTGGGGGAACTCTAATAAAAGAAAAGCCGCTACTTCCTTTTAAAAATTCATTAAGAAATACAATAGACATAATCCAGAAACAGTCCGAATGCTTCATATTTCATCTTTAAATTACTCCTTTGTGGGTGTTGAATGCTTCTTTGCAATACCTTTGGTACCACCAGAAGTGATTTGTAACAAAGCACCTGAGAGAAAGCATCCATCTTGAGTTAGTCCAAGCTTGCAGGAGGACATACACTCCAGGAATAATATCAGTTTCCTAGTTAGGCAGCAGCTGCTGTCTCTCTTGCTTCCTGAATGATTGTGTTCCTGGTTCTTTGTAGTGTGAATCAAATCGTAGAGGCATAATGAGAAAAAAACAACAACATGGCTGTCATCCATTTTTTCTTTTTTTTTTTTTTGCTAAGACTCTTATTTAGTTGTTTTAAATAGGGATTTGGAAGATAGAACGCAAGACTTTTCTGCATCTGGATCCACCAGTGCTTAGTGTGTAAGGTGTATTCATTTACTTCTGTTAAATTGAGCTCTTTAGTAAGGAAAGGCAAAATTAGAAAGGGAAAAAATATAAGTGCTATCACTTAGATTCCATTGCTTGTTAAGACAGGGGGTTCTGGTTTCTGAAAATGCAGTTAATCATTAGAAAGGAAAAAGTATTTGATCAACAGAATGTTATTTCTAATGGCTTTCAATCAATTCTTTCAAAACACAAAGAGAAAAAGACATCAACAAAATAATATAAAAGCAAACATCAAAACTTAGGAGGTTAACAATCAATTTAAAAGCCTCAGGAATTTTGTTACTGAAACAGTCATTAGAAAGCAGAGAAGACAGGACTGTGGTAAGTTAAAGATGATGTTTGTGTTTGAAGAATTTGATCTGGGGAAGGAAGCTTGAACACACACAAGCTCTGATTCATACAGGATGATTTTAAAGGCCAGGACAGTCTTATGATCTAATGATGTGGGACATGAAATCTTCATTAGTCTTAGGACCAGTTAAAAAATAACACCACCACCCTGCACTCTTTAAATAGTATTTATAATAAGTTAGTGTATGTTGAACATTAAATTTGGTCCAGATAATCTAGGCAGATAATTGATTTAATCATCACATCAGCCCAGCAAGGTGTTTTGTTCTCATTTTACAGATGAAGGGGCTCAGGTTAGAAGACGTTACACAACTTTTCCAAGGTCCCACAGAAATCAGCGCCTCATCTATTTGACTCCAAAGCCCATACCTCTTGTGGCAGAGACAATGCTTTGTGTCTGCTTTCTTTTTTTCTGAGCATCAGGAAGACTGCATTTCTTATTATCACTACCAACAGAATGAGTTCTGGACAATGCAATGGGAGCAGAAGTCACTTGTGTGATTTCCTGGCTGAAGAAATTAAGAGCTAACATTCCTTGTCCTGGTTCTTACTTCTCCTTCTGTTGGGACTGCAGATTTTGCTCATTTTAAAGATGTCAATGTTTCAAGATAGAAGAACTCTGGGTCACAATTTAGGAATGTCACCATGGAGATCCTTTCAACACTCATTTTTTTGCAGTGTGGGTTACAAATAAACCTTTACTCTTTTAAGTCACTCAGATTTTAGGGTGTATTTATTACCACAGCATAGCCTACTGTGTCCTGACAAACACATTTTATGCCCTGCACTTTACCTTATATCCTTTAAATTTTAGCTGTTAATACGGTATATCTCATGTTTTGTTTTCATACACAAAGAGTTGGTAGATAATAAAATAATTAAATTGTACCTGAAGAAAACATTCTCTCTAGCAGTGTCATCTAAAATAAGAGGAACATTTATTTTAAAATTAAGAATGGCAGGGGTTTTTTTTGCCTGAAAATAATGTCTTTGAGGCTATAGACAACTTTCAGTGGTTCAGGGGCCTGCCTGCTCATCTAATTTATGAAGGATTCATGGAGTAATATCTCCTCTGTCTCTGTGTCATCCATGATCTCTTGTCGGCTTCACTCTAATCAGCATGTCTATGGAAGAAAAACCAAACTGTATTGAATTAGTTCTCTTTTTCTTCAAATAACTTGAAAGGAAAGTCCTGATGTACTATATTATTTGACTTATATGATTCAACACCTTTGATGTCAGGGATAGGCTTAATGGAAGAAGAAATTTATGATACATTAGTTCCATTAAAATGCACCTATAAATGTCCTCTTTTGAGAAGTGTCTGTTCATATCCTTCACCCACTTTTTGATGGGGTTGTTTGTTTTTTTTCTTGTAAATTTGTTGGAGTTCATTGTAGATTCTGGGTATTAGCCCTTTGTCAGTTGAGTAGATTGCAACAATTTTCTCCCATTCTGTAGGTTGCCTGTTCACTCTGATGGTAGTTTCTTTTGCTGTGCAGAAGCTCTTTAGTTTAATTAGATCCCATTTGTCAATTTTGGCTTTTGTTGCCATTGCTTTGGTGTTTTAGACATGAAGTCCTTGCCCATGCCTGTGTCCTGAATGGCATTGCCTAGGTTTTCTTCTAGGGTTTTTATGGTTTTAGGTCTAATGTTTAAGTCTTTAATCCATCCTGAATTAATTTTTGTATAATGTGTAAGGAAGGGATCCAGTTTCAGCTTTCTACATATGGCTAGCCAGTTTTCCCAGCACCATTTATTAAATAGGGAATTGCTTCCCCATTTCTTGTTTTTGTCAGGTTTGTCAAAGATCAGATGGTTGTAGATATGCGGCATTATTTCTGAGGGCTCTGTTCTGTTCCATTGGTTTATATCTCTGTTTTGGTATCAGTACCATGCTATTTTAGTTACTGTAGCCTTGTAGTGTAGTTTGAAGTCAGGTAGCATGATGCCTCCAGCTTTGTTCTTTTGGCTTAGGATTGACTTGGCAATGCGGGCTCTTTTTTGGTTCCATATGAACTTTAGTTTTTTCCAATTCTGTGAAGAAAGTCATTGGTAGCTTGATGGGGATGGCATTGAATCTCTAAATTACCTTGGGCAGTATGGCCATTTTCATGATATTGATTCTTCCTACCCAAGAGCATGGAATGTTCTTCCATTTGTTTGTATCCCCTTTTATTTCCTTGAGCAGTGGTTTGTAGTTCTCCTTGAGGAGGTCCTTCATGTCCCTTGTAAGTTGGATTTTTTGCAGCCAAAAGACACATGAAAAAATGCTAATCATCACTGGCCATCAGAGAAATGCAAATCAAAACCACAATGAGATACCATCTTACACCAGTTAGAATGGCAATCATTGAAAATCAGGAAACAACAGGTGCTGGAGAGGATGTGGAGAAATAGGAACACTTTTACACTGTTGGTGGGACTGTAAACTAGTTCAGCCATTGTGGAAGTCAGTGTGGCGATTCCTCAGGGATCTAGAACTAGACATACCATTTGACCCAGCAATCCCATTACTGGGTATATACCCAAAGGATTATAAATCATGCTGCTATAAAGACACATGCACATGTATGTTTATTAGAGCACTATTCACAATAGCAAAGACTTGGAATCAACCCAAATGTCCAACAATGATAGACTGGATTAAGAAAATGTGGCACATATACACCATGAAATACTATGCAGCCATAAGAAATGATGAGTTCATGTCCTCTGTAGGGATGTGGATGAAGCTGGAAACCATCATTCTCAGCAAACTATCGCAAGGACAAAAAACCAAACACCACATGTTCTCACTCATAGGTGGGAATTGAAAAATGAGAACACATAGACACAGGAAGGGGAACATCACACACTGGGGCCTGTTGTGGGGTGGGGGGAGGTGGGAGGGATAACATTTGGAGATACACCTAATGTTAAATGACGAGTTACTGGGTGCAGCACACCAACATGGCACATGTATACATATGTAACTAACCTGCACATTGTGCACATGTACCCTAAAACTTAAAGTATAATAATAATAAAAAATTTACCTATAAAATGTTGGCCAACTCTGGTAGTCTGAATGGAGCGGGTCTAGCTTATTTCTATTCAGGAGATCAAATCTGCTTTCTGGGGAGAGCTAGTACTAAACCCTGATATTTGACACCTTGCCCTTTGCTACATATTCTGAAGTCTGTAACATGGAGCTCTCCATTATTTTCCTTATTAGAAATGACTTTTGATATCCCTGTAATTGGACCATTATCCTCTTGATTAAAAATGCTGATTTAGCAAATCTCATGAAGGAAAACAACTTTGTCCCAGGGAAATATCATAAATGGGAGATGGCCGTGGTAGTGGTAGTGCACTTGGATATGGCCAGGTAAAATATTGAACTCAACTGATAATATCAGGGTTCTTTTGGGAAATCTTAATTAAGGAAGATCTTTATTCCACACACTTTCTTTTTTTTTCATTTCTTTCTTTTTAAGTTCAGGGTACATGTGTAGATTTGTGACATAGGTAAACTTGTATCATGGGTGTTTGTTGTACAGATTATTTCATTGCTGAGGTGATAAACCTAGTACCCATTAGTATCCTGATCCTCTCTCTTTTCCCATCCTCCACCCTCCAAAAGGTCCTAGTGTGTGCCTCTATGTGTCCATGTGTTCTCATCATTTAGCTCTCCCTGATAAGTGAGGACATGTAGTATTAGGTTTTCTGTTCCTTTGTTAGTTTGCTAAGGATAATGGCCTCCAGCTCCGTCCATGTTCCTGCAAAGGATATGATCTCCTTCCTTTTTATGGCTGCATAGTATTCCTTGGTGTATATGTACCACATTTTCTTTATCCAGTCTATCACTGATGGACATTTAGGTTGATACCCTGTCTTTGCTATTGTGAATAGAGCTGCAATGAACATACACGTGCATGTGTCTTTATAATAAAAAGATTTATATTCCTTTAGGTATATACCCAGTAATGGGATTGCTGAGTCAAATGGCATTTCTATCTTCAGGTTTTTGAGGAATCACCACACTGCCTTCCACAATGGTTGAACTAATTTACACTCCTACCAACGGTGTATAAGAGTTCATTTTTCTCTATAACCTTGCTAGCATCTGTTGTTGACTTTCTTATAATAGCCATTCAGACTGGTATGAGATGATATCTCATTGTGGTTTTGATTTGCATTTCTCTAATGATCAGTGATGTTGAGCTTTTTTCATATGATTTTTGGCCACATGCATATCTCCTTTTGAAAAGTGTTCATGTCCTTTGCCTGCTTTTTAATGAGGTTGTTTGTTTTGTTCCTGTAAATTTGTTTAAGTTCCTTATAGATGCTGTATATTAGACTTTGTTGGGTGCCATAGTTTGCAAAAATATTTTCCCATTTTATAGGTTGTTTTTTCCATTGATAGCTTATTTTTCTGTACAGAAGTCTTTAATTAGATCCCATTTGTCAATTTTTACTTTTGTTGCAATTGCTTTTGGCATCCTATTCGTGAAATCTTTGCCTGTGCCTATGTCCTGAATAGTATTGCCTAGATTGTCTTCCAGAGTTTTTATAGTTTTGGGTTTTACATTTAAGTCTTTAATCCATCTTGAGTTAATTTTCATATATGGTATAAGGAAGGGGTCCAGTATCAATCTTCTCCATATGGCTAGCCAATTATCCCAGCAGAATTTTTTGAGTAGGAAGTCCTTTCCCCATTGCTTTTTTTTTTTTTTTTGTCAGGTTTGTCAAAGATCAGATACCTGTAGGTATGTGGTCTTATTTCTGGTTTCTCCATTCTGTTCCATTGGCTTTTATGTCTGTTTTTGTACCTGTACCATGCTGTTTTGGTTACTGTAGCCCTGTAGTATAATTTGAAATTGGGTAGCATGATGCCTCCAGCTTTGTTCTTTTGCTTAGGATTATCTTGGTTATTCTGGCTTTTTTTGGTTCCTTATGAATCTTAAAATAATCTTTTCCAATTCTGTGAAGAATATCAATGTTAGTTTAATAGGAATGGCATTGAATCTATAAATTGCTTTGAGCAGTATGGCCATTTCATGATATTGATTATTCCTATCCAAGAGCATGGAATGTTTTCCCATTTGTCTCTGTTCCCTCTGATTTCTTTAAGCAGTATTTTGTGGTTCTCCCTGTAGAGATCTTTTACCTCCTGATATGGTTTGGCTGTGTCCTCACCCAAATCTCATTTGAATTGTAGCTCCCATAATTCCCATGGACCTGGTGGGAGGTGACTGATGTGGGCAGGTTTCTCCCATGCTGTTCTTGTGATAGTGAATAAGTCTTATGATATCTGATGGTTTTATAAAGGGCAGTTCCCCTGCACATGCTGTCTTGCCTGCCACCACGTAAGACGTGCCTTTGCTCTCCTTTGCCTTCCACCATGATTATAAGTCCTCCCCAGTGATGTGGAACTGTGAGTCCATTAAGTCTCTTTTTCTTTATAAATTACTCAGTCTCAGGTATTTCTTCATAGCAGTAAGAAAATGTACGAATACACCTCCCTAGTTAGCTATATTCCTAGGTATTTTTTTCTTTTTGTGGCAGTTGTGAATGGAAGTTTGTTCCTGATTTGGCTCTTGGCTTCACTATTGTTGGTATGTATGAATGCTAGTGATTTTTGCACATTGACTTTGTACCGTGAGACTTTGCTGAATCAGTTTAAGAAGCTTTGGGCCGAGAATGGGGTTTTCTAGATATAGGATCACGCTATCTGCAAACAGTTTGGCATCCTGTCTTTCCATTTGGATGTCCTTTATTTCTCTCTCTTGCCTGATTGCCCTGGCCAGAACTTCCAATTCTATGTTGAATAGGAATGGTGAGAGAGGGCATCCTTGTGCCAGTTTTCAAAGGGGAATGCTTCCAGCTTTTGCCCATTCAGTATGATGTTGGTTGTGGGTTTGTCGTATATGGCTCTTATTGTTTTGAGGTATGTTCCTTCAGTACCTAGCTTATTGAGAGTTTTTAACATAAATGGATGTTGAATTTTATTGAAAGCCTTTTCTGCATCTATTGAGAAAATCATGTGGTTTTTGTCTTGAGTTCTGTTTATGTGATGAATCACATTTATTGATTTGCATATGTTGAACCAACCTTGCATCCTGTGGATGAAGCCAACTTGACTGTGGTGGATAAGCTTTTTGATGCATTACTGGGTTCAGTTTGTGAGTATTTTGTTGAAGAGTTTTGCATCAGTGTTCATCAAGGATATTGGCCTGAAGTTTTCTGTTTCTGTGTGTCTGCAAGGTTTTTGTATCAGGATGATGCTGGCCTCATAGAATGTGTTAGGGAGGAGTCCCTCCTCAATTCTTTGGAATAGTTTCAGTAGGAATGGTACCAGTTCTTCTTTGTACTTCTGGTAGAATTCAGCTGTGAATCTTTTTTGGTCCTGGGCTTTTTCCACTTGGCAGGCTATTCATTACTGCCTCAATTTCAGAACTTGTTATTGTTCTGTTCAGGGATTCAATTTCTTCCTGGTTCTTCCTTGGGAGGGTGTTTGTATCCAGGAATTTATCTATTTCTTCCAGATTTTCTAGTTTATGTACATAGAAGTGTTCATAATATTATCTGATGGTTATTTGTATTTCTGTGGGGTCAGTGGTAATATCCCTCTTGTCATTTCTAATTCTGTTTATTTGAATCTTCTCTCTTTTATTCATTAGTCTAGCAAGTGGTCTATCTATGTTATTAATTTTTTCAAATAACAGACTCCTAGATTCTTTGATTTTTTGAATGGTTTTTGTGTTGCTATCTCCTTCAGTTCAAGTCTGATTCTGGTTATTTCTTGTCTTCTGCTAGCTTTGGGATTTGTTTGCTCTTTGTTCTCTAGTTCTTCTAGTGGTGAAACATCATAATTAAAAGAGGTTGAAAAATTTGACATTTTTCTAACTTTTTGATGTGGGCATTTAATGCTATAAATTTCCCCCTTAACACTGCATTAGCTATGTCCCAGAGATTCTGGTATGTTGTCTCTTTGTTCTCATTGCTTTTCAAAAACTTCTTGATTTCTGCCTTAATTTTATTATTTACCCAAAAGTCATTCAGGAGTAGGCTATTCAATTTCCATGTAATTTTATGGTTTTGAGTGAATTCCTTAGTATTGATTTCTAATTTGATTGCTCTGTGGACCAAGAGGCTGTTTGTTGTGATCTCAGTTCTTTTGCATTTGCCAAGGAGTGTTTTACTTCTGATTATATGATTGATTTTACAGTAAGGGCCATGTGGCCATGAGAAGAATGTATATTTTGTTGTTTTGGGATGGAGAGTTCTATAGATATTCATAAGGTTCAGTTGATGCGGCCACAGCACTTTCTTCTAACAATTCTGTCATTTAATCACCTCAAATCAGAAACACATAGTTCGAACTTTGTTTTGACACACTTTCTATTACAGGTTTTTCTCTAATACAGTCATTTATATATTTTAAATACATCTATCCTCAGTACATATGTCTCTGACAATGGTAATCTTTGATTACATCTTCCTGGGGGAAGTTGGATAAAGACATATTCAGGACTGAGTTAGGAGAAAGAGAAACTGGTGTTTCTGGGTGGACGATGAAAGTGCTTGATCGTTTTCACTATTCCCCTAACTGATTATTGCCATCAGACACTTCTAGTAGATTTGATATATGTCATGTTTTCTTTCTTTTAGATTTATACTGATAACTCAATGTTAAAATATCAATGCAAACCTAGCATCATTGTGCAATTCCCTGCTCAAACATTTATTTATTTAAAAATTCCCAGTCCTGATGGTATTACTGTTTTAGAAACAAACCCTGGACTAGGTGTTTAGGGCATGATGCAGCTCTACTGCAGAATGAGGATTTAAAGAGCTTTTTGTTTTCTTTCTCATTGCATGGAGGTAAAGACTTTTCTGGTATTGATAGAAAGTAAAAGTTGTGCCACGCTGACAGTACAGATGAGACAAGGCACGGCATTAACTGTTCCATCTGGTGTTTCTTAAATAGGACAAACTATTCTTAGAGCTCTGTGAAGTGTCTGCTTCATCTCAAAAGAGTTGGAAATGACTGGGCCTCTTAGTGAACTCAATAGGTAGAAGATGTGACTTTTAAAGCTAGATGAGAAAAAAGTGGAGACATAAGGCATATGGAGAAGAAATGTCTAGCAAGGGATTCTGTTTCTATGAAAACTCAACAAATAGGAGTTTTTGTTTTGTTTTTTAACAATAATCACAATTCTGTTCCCAATCCCAAACCTTATTTTTAATAAAAAGCCATGTTTGTGCTCTTAAATAATCCTTTTGAGATTATTATTACAATTTATTATTTGCAATGATAAACTCAGCAGTCCACAGGTGTTTAGCTGAAATATCAAAGCCACTGTCTCTGCATGTGGCTCATAACATTTTTGGCAGCTATTGCTGCAATAAAGCTTCCTTTCTATCCTCTAGTCTGGGCACTGAAAGAGCTGGTACATTGCAATGGGCTCTGTGTAATTGGATGGCTGCGAAGTTATCTCAGATTATTCTCGTTTTTCTGTTTTACAACATTTTTTGTCTTATTAATTGCTTTTTTCAAGCTAAACGTTACACAGCACAGGTTTTTGATCAGAAAGTCATTGGAAATTTTCTTGGGACTCACCATCTTATAACATAAAGTTTAAAAAGCAATCTTCAGAAGACCAATCCTGGATTGTGATTAACCTGATGAGTCATATTGGCAATCAGATCCAAGAACAGTAGAGTTCAAGTGTAATTTACTTGGTTTCTTATGTCTCTGTGTATTTATGGAAAGGGCTCATTCACTATAGTACCAAAACTTTAAAATAACTAGGAATTACATATTTTCAAAAGAATATAAACCTATACTAGAAGATAGAGAAAATATTGAAAAACACAAGTATAACAAGGTTCTGGTATAGAAGATTCATGTGGTAAATATATCTTTTCCTGAGTGAATCTATAAATTCAATGTAATAATTACAATAAAAACCCCAGAGGGACTTTAATGTAACTTGACTCTAGAGTTCCCCTGGAACAGAAAGTTCATAAAATAGTTAAGAAAGTATTGAGAAAAAAAAATAAGAAAAATACCAATTGTTCTTTTTACATGATTGGTGATTATTTCCTGGACAGCTCAGTTTGCTTTATGAACAAGCCATAGGTCTTTTTAAAATTAGTCCAAAAGTTAGAATTTTTTCTAGTTCAACAGATTTATGTCACATTTCACCAGTGCCTTTCTGGTTGAATTAATTTTGTACAAGTCAACTCCCCTTAAGGTTTTATTAGTATGATTTTATAAGAACAAGACTGTAGTATGTTTGCCACAAAATAATGCTTTAAAGATTTTATTATTTTTCATTATTTTACACAAAAATCTCTAAGGCTATGAAGTAATATCAGTTTTAATAGTAAATTAAATAGTGAAATTTAAGTTAAAATTATTTTTCTAATTTTAAGTAGTCTCTGAATTAACCCATGACCAGGATAAATATTTTGTCATTACAAAAAATAATAAATCAATTTAAAAATGATCATCTGTATATGGTCATGCTTCACTGTAAAACAAATTAGTCTATTCCTGGACTCTTAACTCTGTGTCAATAACATCTTACGAGAGGATTCAAGCAGAGAAACAGATGCAAATTTATTGTCTAATTTACACTTAATGAGATGATGGGAGTTGAATCTGTGGACTACTTTTCTTCTTTCATGACCCATGAAAGGTATTCTAAGGAAAGCTGGTGGTTTCAGAACATGATGTATTTTGAAAATATTCTATTGTATGGGATCTTTAATTTTATCCTAGACTGCTCCAATGAACTATCTACAAACAGGCCAAGGTAGCATTTGAAATGGATGTTTTACTAAAGATTCTATGTCAAAATAAAGTTAAATTGAGCTGAGACAGAATGATGTTCTTCTACATTAACTGAGTTTCTGGTGATCACTATTTTGCATTTAGTAGTCTTGGGCTTCTAACAGATTCTTTGGCCTGGGCCCTCACTGAGCATGTTGTCCCGGGGGCACTTTCTTCTGCTTCCACAGAAGCCCTCTCCCTGAAGAAGGCAGCCCTCCCCAGTCCAGGGGTATTGCAGGCAACAAGGAGCTTTCACACAGGGCAGCCATGTCTTGCTCCTCTACCACCTCTTCCTGAATATGGAGGAGAAGTTCATCTTGGGCTGATCCCTGAGGAATTCTTCCATTTTCTTTATACTAAAACTGGTATAACAGGACCTTATGTGTTTGGAACTGGACTTACGTTGTATGCTCTTTCCAAAGAAATATATGTAATTACCCCAGAGATCTTCTCTACCATACCAGTAGTAGAGTTACTTATCTTTGTAATTAAAAAATATGGTGCCTCTGTTGGAGAATTTGCTGATAAACTGAATGAGCAAAAAAAGAAATTGCCCAACTAGAAGAGGTGAAGTACGCTTCCATCAAACAAATCCAGGATACCATTGATTTGGAGAAGTCACAGCAGGCTGTGGGTCACAAGTGCCATTACCTTTTTGATGCCAAGAGGAATAACATTGCTATGACTTTGGAGAATACTCTTCAGGAATGGCTGCATCGAGTATATAAGGAGGTAAAGAATCACCTGTACTATCATATCTCTGTGCAGGTTATGATGTGTTGAAAGGAACAAGAGCACATGATAAACTGGGTGGAAAAGCATGTGGTAGCGAAGCAAATGGTGCAGAGCACAGCTAGAAAAGAAAATTGCCAAGTGCATTGCTGATCAAAAGTTGTTGGTGATCAAAAGTGCATTGTTGATCAAAGAAGGCTCAAGCATGAGCAGTCCTGTAAATTTATCTATCCCAATTGAGACAGCTAAAAACCCTTGACCTGCTAAATGGAAACTAGTCTATGTGATGAAATCTTTCTGTATTGCTGTCTACTGAAGTTACGGTTTACCTTGCCTAAACATGAAAAGTTTGAGTTTCCTATACTGAGAGAACTAAATCTATTGGCCAGTCAGATGTTTCTCATCCTCCTTACTCCACATTTTGAGTTGTTCTATGACCACTTTTAAATAAGTAGTTTGCCTTTATTAAAACTGTCTGGTTAAAGATTATCAAGCTATAGTTTAAATTTGTAATGAACTCCACCATATTGTAATAAAGTAACAATTGGGAAAAAAAGGAAGCAATCTTGGGATGTAGAAAGAATGTTCCAACCATCTTGTGAGGCTCAGTTTTATGAGTAAAATACAGCTGATGAGGCTGGATATAGAATTGGGATTTGGGCCAGATTTACAGATAAGAGGAACTGCAATGACTGTATTTAATAATTTATTCAAAACTATTTATTGAGTGCCTCTGATGGGCCATGCATCTTGTTGGATGTAAGGATACAGTGATGAACAAGATCAGCAGGGTCGCATATTCCAGGAGCTTATTATTCAGTTGATGGGGAAAGGCATACTCTATTTCATGTGAAAATTCCTTGTAATGTTGAAATAGGGTAATATCTGTAAAGAGTATAACAAGCTGTATTTGCTCAACAAACATTTTTTTTTCCTTTCTGCTTTGCATCTTTGTGTACTGGATATCTATTTGTGATCAGTTGCCAAGAAGATTTAGCATTCATGCAACTTTCTTTTTGACTGCTGATTGAATGTAGGTCATGAACTTATCAGTGATGTAGAGAAAAAGATGACTACACAAGTGTACTCTGTAACTCATGAGAAATAAAAGAGAGAAGCATGTGTCCATAGTGGGAAAGCAGCCATTTCAAAGGTAGACATCCAGATAAGTCATGGGATAATTCAGAGAGATTAGAAGAAAGTGGTTCAGAATCTCCCCCCACTCAATCAATTGATTATAAGTAATATAGATCCCCTTGCTAATATCATAGTGGTATCCTTGGAAACTCATAGTTCTGATGGGAATGATAGGAGCCAAATTTCAAGTTATTAGGTTATTTAGATTCACCTCCAGGGTCTTCCATCCTTTCTGAGAAAGCATCACTTTAAGGAGAAATGGAAAATGAGAGATTACTGTCAGAGAATGACTGCAGGCTCTTTAAGCCAGTGACGATGTCTATGCAAGGTAGGGTTGGCTAGGCTAGCAGATAGATTTAAAATATACTAGATTAAAAGGCAGTAAAATCTTTCAAGCTGCCATTTGAACCACATTGTTCTAGACTTATTCCAACAATTACTGTTAAAGACTTAGCAAGTTCTGCTACATTAACTCTTTGACTTGGTTCACTTCTGCTATGCAATACACCGCTTATGAACTGCTTGATAGCTCTGGACCAAAGGCTGTGCCTCCTTGACCTGGGCTTATCCTTATGTTGCACAGTGAAAGAACTGATTTGTCTTACAGTGTCAGTGTCTTCATTCCTTATTCACTTAACAACATTGGCTTTACCGAGTATTAACCGCATGTCAGATACTCTTCTAGACACCAAGGATACAGCAGTGAAAGAAACAGACAAAAACACCTGCCTTTGTGGATATGATTTTGTATTGTGTGTGGTTTGGGATAGGGAGAAATACATAAACATAAAAGTTAAATTTTATAATATTTAAAATGTGTAAAACATAGATCAAAGTAAGGGGATCAGGAGGGATGAGGGAGAAGAAATCTTAAATGGGATGGTGATATTAAGGTAAGAGTTCAGCCAGACTTAAGAGAGAGTGTGTCAGGAAGATATCTAGAAAGAGTATTCCAAGCAGAAAAAAACAAGTGAAGATGCCTGAGGCAGGAATGCGTCTGGTGTGAGAGAAAATCATGAAGAAAGTGACTGTGGCTGGAACAGAGCAAGAGGGGAGAAATGAAGGAAGGAGGTTAGAGAAGGACTGGGCTCAGGTTTTGTAGAGTCTTGTAAGCCATAATAAGACCTGTCAGTTTCCACTTTTGCCTTGCCATGTATAATGCCTCTGTTACTTGGCAACCATCAATCTTTTGCACTTGTTTCAACACCTAACAAGGGTCAGTTTATGATACTTGATTATCTAAGCATATGGAAAGAATGGCGGGAAGGCAGAAAGAGAAGGGTTCATGGTCTCCACAAAGTTGCTGATTGGTTAGACAAATTGCTAAGATTGATTGTTGGCAATTGATGAGTGGTTTGTAGTTGGTTTTTGCTATCTGAAGGCGTGAATGCACCCCACTGGCTGTAGGCATGAATCTTTGACATGAGATAAGGAGGATGACTGGAGAATTTCCTAACTCAGGAGCTGCCAGAGAGACTCCAGCTTCTGTCAATTGAGGTATTCTACATCCACAATGCTGACAGGTATCAGTCACTTTTTAGCCATTTGAACATGTTCAAAGAGCCATTTCTTGGTACAGGGTTATTTTTTTACTTGTTTGACCATATGTAGTTTTAATTTTAGCAGTTAATTTTCACATTTTTCATCCATTTTTTGGAATGTTACCTTTTGGTCTTTTATTTTAAAAAATCATAACGACATTTTAATCCTTTGCTTTTAAAATGAGGAACAGGAAGCACTAGCATAAAGGGAGAGTTCTAAGGATCCTATTCAAACCCTGAAAATATGGGACACCCCTTTTTCTCCTCCCCGAAACTCTGTAGGGCTTTTGATGATTGGAAAAACATTTCGAATCCCAGCCTCAGATAAGGAAAGGCAATTTCAAGAAGTCAGCCCCCCTGGGAAGAGTCACACTTCCACTACAACTAAATGAAACAGAGAAAATAGCTGAACACTTGGAAGAATCAGCAGCTCTTCATTTTTCTAGTAACATATGCTACCTAGATACCCATAGATGTTTTTGTATTTATATGACGATGCCATTGTTCCAGGAACAATGTTCAGACCCCATAGCTTATACTAACACTAAATTCAGAAAATGTCAAATGTAGTGAGATGAATATAAGTTGATCAGTTCTGACCATGAGATTCAAATTCTACCTAGGGATGTTAGGTAATTCAGAAAATGAGGTAATGTCATGTGTCTTTAGTGACTTAGAGTATGCTGAGGTGACATCAACCCACAGAAACACAAATTAGAGCCAATGAATCAATTACAGCTGAGAGAGGCTGGGGCCTCTCTCAAGTCGATTGAAAGTTGTGGCCTTTGAAAGGACAGTGAGGCCAGAAGAAGAGGCATTTGCAAAGCAGAGAAACATTTAAAAACATTTAATCTAAAACATAAAATGTCTTACCAGTCATTCTCTTCTCCATTTCAGCCTCCACTCATACTGCCATGCTAGATATTTTTTCATGGCCTGATAGCAATTTGGATTATATTTTCCATTTCTGGGAAGTTTGTCTTCATAATAAAATAAGGTCCCACTTGTTTGAAGCCAAGTGCATGGTGAGACAGAAAGGAATGTCTCTTCTAGGCAACCACCAGGGGGTAGTCTGGATCTGATTTTAGAGTAAGTGAGGAGCCCAAACTGAGGTGGGTTTGAGAATTCAGGGTTTTTTTTGGTGTGTGTGCCCATTCTTGGTTTCGGTCTTTAAACCTTGGGAATCCAGTTTCAGGACTGCGTTATACTTTGGGCATAAAGAAACTTTCCAAAAGCAATTTGTCTAATCATATTTTGAGAGGCTTCTTGACTTCTTCCTCAACAAATGGCTTTTTAACATCTGCACTGGTGAATCTAGGCCTGGGGTCCCAACTAAGCTCTCAACCCTCAGAACTTCAAACCTTTCACCTTCAAATGACCCCGAGATTAACAAGCTGATTTCCTTGAGGTCACAATAACCTGGAATAAGTCTCCAAAGCATAGATACCCTTAAAAAGCCAGAGGAAACAAATTAGCATTCTGAGTGGGAACTGTCCTATCAGTCACTTTGCCTCTTAAGGACAATTAAAATGTGGTCAGGCTGGCCGGACGCGGAGGCTCAAGCCTGTAATCCCAGCACTTTGGGAGGCCAAGGCGGGCGGATCACGAGGTCAGGAGATCGAGACCATCCTGGCTAACACGGTGAAACCCCATCTCTACTAAAAATACAAAAATTGGCCGGGCGTGGTGGCGGGCGCCTGTAGTCCCAGCTACTCGGGAGGCTGAGGCAGGAGAATGGCGTGAACCCGGGAGGCAGAACTTGCAGTGAGCCGAGATCGCGCCACTGCACTCCAGCCTGGGCGACCGAGCCAGGCTCCGTCTCAAAAAAAAAAAAAAAAAATGTGATCAGGCTGAGAAGCCAAAATATAATTCCATAATTTTAATTAGAATATGACTTTCACTGTATCTGATTCATCCAGATAAGTCAGTTTTATTTCTTATTTATTTTATTTTTATTGAAAAATTGGAATGGTAAAAATTTCTAATAGTACTGGAGGCTAGAAAATAAAAAGTAAAATACATTTCTACTCCATAGTCCATCTCCCTTTTCCAGAGATAACCACTACCAATAGGGTCTTGTTTATTCTTCTAGAAAAAAATGTATACATAAACATATATATTCCATTTTTTAAACGAGTGAGAACATCTCATGTACACACATCTGTGTTTTGCTTTTTCATTTTATTTTTACTATATGTTTTTTTGGGAGGTTCCTTGAGAAAATGTCTTTATGATTATGGTTGAGTATACATCTTGGCAAAACTGCTAAGTCTGTGTTTACGTGTATTTGAATTTTTGTTTTATTGAGGTATAATTGATATGTGAAAAATTTTCATGTTTAATGTATATATTTTGATGTATCTGGATATATGCATACATCTGTGACCCCATCATCACAATCAAGATACTAAACATATTTTAGTTTTTGTTTTCATCTCCAAAAATTTTCTTGTGTTTTTTTTGTGTTTTGTGTGTGTATGTGTGGCAAGAATACTTAACATGAGATCTCCTCTTAACATATTTTAAAGTGTACAGTAGCATGTTATTAACTATAGGCACTATGATGTATAGCAGATCTATAGAACCTCTTTATCTTGCATAATAGGACTTTGTACTCATTGTGCACCAACTCCCCTTTCCTGTATTTTAATTTTTTGATGGATATTACCAGGTTGCCTGCCAAGGAGACTGCCCCAATTTCTACTCTGATTATCATAATTTGAAAGTATTCATTTCTCCGTACCATGGCCAATACAGTACTTTCAAAACTTTTGATCTGTGACACTATATTGGATAAAAGGTATATCCCACTGTTTGAGTTGGCATATCTTTAGTTATAAGTCAGTTTGAATATCTTCTGACCTGCATATAAGCCTTTTGTAATTCCTTTTCTTAGGTTTCATCTGGATTATCATGTTGCCTTCTGGCACCTTTGAGGACAAGAACAACACACAGTCTTTGAGGTCATATTGTCATTGGTGTTGGCAATGACATTTAGCAGCTGTGTGTAAACACAGTATTGTTTCATTATAAAACTGTGGTGAAAGATAAGGGTACTTTGATTGTTATAGTGGGAGAGAAACATTATACATCCCATCTGACAGGCACTTGATTAGTATTGTGATACCACACAGTCTATGCTCTGTAAAATGTTTGCATTTCCCTTTGAAATGGATTTTACTCCTTTACTCCTTAAATAAAAACATTCCTCATAATTCTTATACCATAAACTGCTACAAACAGCCAGATTTATTTTTGTCAACTTGTATTTGAAAATCTTTTGCAGCATTATTTTAGTCTTACGAAAAAGCAAATTGGTCATGATTAACATTTAGAAATATCTTTTTAGTAAGCAAACATTTTCATTCAGTATATTCTCTGGCAATGCCTTTTTGAGCTGCTTGGCTTATAAACACATAATATACACTAATTGTGGAAACCAGGAAGCTGGTATTCTCTCTTATTTTGGTAGAAGCTGCTTTGCATAGGTTGTATTTATTAGCTATGCTGGTGACACACATCGTCTGTGACTAATGTGGAAATGCTGATAGTTTACAAGCAGCAGATAAAATAGGCCTTAGGATGTGAATAAATTTAGGATCAGTACATATTTTTAAAATCCTGCTAAAAACCAAGATAAAAATAAAGAAGCAAAGATGGTTTTCATTATTATCATGACCAGTACTTTTAAAATGGTTTTCTTAGTGAGGAATAGCAGCCTCAGGGCAGGGGAAATATAATGGGATTAAAATAAAACTAGTGCCATGATCTTAATGTCTAAATAGATTAATTTTACCGACACAGGAAGCTATAATATCATGTCTCTGGTAATAACTGGAACATTCTTGGCCATGTTTTTGGAATTTACACGAGTGGCATACTCTAATCTCTAGGGGAAGCCTAAAGATTCCCAAAGATTCCCCACTCATTTCCTACCCCACCACCTGTGGCAGACAGATTTTAATATGGCTTTTGAGGTCTGTGTCTCCTGGTGTTCATACCTTTGTACAATACCTCCCCTAACTGTGGGTGAAATTGTTGACTTGCTTCTAATCAATACAATAGAGCAAAGATGATGGGATGCCACCTCCACGATTATGTTATGTTATAGAAGGTTCTATCATCCTGGCAGTATTCTATGGACTAATTTCCTGGTTTTGAAGAAGCAAGCTGCCATATTGTGGGCTGCCTGTATGGGTATAATGAGAAAAACCAGGAATTGTATTAAAAAACATTCCTCCCAAACTAGGAGGGAGCTGAGAGACCAAAGAATGACTCAGACAAATCCAGATTGGCAAGTAGAGGAGTTTATTAGGACTTACATGTGAGGCACTCCTGGATGGCAGCAAGACAACTTTAGAGATCCATGCTGCTTCCCATTCTTAAGCTGCTTTTAAGCTAATTTTCTGGCTCTTTGCCTACTGCATGTGTGTGTGTGTGTGTGTGTGTGTGTGTGTGTGTGTGTGTGTGTGTGTGATGGGACTGTTTTCCTTGGTAGGTTCTCAGATACTCTCTGGGATGTTTGGGTTCTCAAGGACACCTGCTCTTGGGCTGGGCACTGTGGCCTTGGCACATTGCCTGGCCTTCAGGGTTCAGGCAGTGGACATATAACCTTGCGTAACCAGGTGGGTGACTCACCATGCTACAGTGGGGAGGCCCATATGGCAAAGCACTGAAGGTGACCTGCAGAAGATGAGGGCCTCAGTCCTATAGCTGCAAGGAACTGAATTCTACCAACAACCATGTGAGTTTGGATAGAAACCCCAGGCTCAGTATCAGCTCTGACTGAGACCTTGATTGCAGCCTTGTGAGACTCTGAAGCAGAGAACCCAGATAAGCTGTGCCTAGGCTCCTGACCCGAAGAAACTATGAGAGAATAAATGTGTGTTGTTTTAAGCTGCTAAATTTGTGGTACACCACAAATAAACCACTAGACAAGAAACACAGTCTGTGGCATGTTGTAGTTTTGTTCATAATAGTCACTGTCCTTCTCTTGGAGCAAATGATACTTCCATTGGCATCACATAATATGTGGTATCCATCCCAACAGAAGGGTCATACATTTTTGCCTTTTAAACTTGGGAGTGACCATCTGATTTTCTTTGGCCCATTGAATCTGGACAGAGGCAGAAACTTTGAGAGCCAGTTTGAGGTTAGGCATATTTTTCTTTTCCCCTCTTCACCAGGCTGTCTGATTTGTGTTGAACGTGTAGTAGCAACCAAAAGTAAACTTTCCCTTTTGTAAGCCGTTGAGATTTTAGGTTACTACAGCATAACCTAGTCTTTCCTCCTGAGAAGAAATAATTCTGTCAATGACACAACTGGGTCAAGTTGCCATGCAGAGTTTTTAAAATTTTG
The DNA here is from genome assembly GCF_000001405.40 of Homo sapiens. Taxonomy (NCBI): domain Eukaryota; kingdom Metazoa; phylum Chordata; class Mammalia; order Primates; family Hominidae; genus Homo; species Homo sapiens. The sequence goes on from NC_000002.12 coordinate 153,167,554, forward strand.
TGGCAGGCTCCTTTAGATGGCTTTCCTCATTGTATTATCTTCCTTTGGTGATTGCTTCACAGATCATTCTTCTGTGTCTTCCAGAAACAATCTGGTGCAATCGGATAGTCTGGAGTTGAATGTTCTTGGGACTCTTATCTGAACAACCTTCTTGAGATTAGGTTACAGAGCAAGGGGAAGGAAAGGTGAAGTGTACTACTCAAGCCTTAGAAAAAGGCTGCTTCTATGGGCTAATTTTTGCATCCTCTTCCTTACTTTTTTAGAAGAAAGATTTCAAAGAGCAAGGTTAGGATGGTGTCCAGGAAAGGAACAAAGAGGCTATTTTGTCTGCTTCTTGTTGGGAGAAAGGATTCCTAAGACCGTAAGTGGTACAGCTAAGTTCTCAGGGCGAGAAACCAAGTCCTAACTGGTATAAACAGTGTTTCTTCTCTCAAAATGTCCACCATGCTATGACTCCTCAAGATTTAGCCATGTTAAGTAGCTAGTAAAGGACAGAGGGATTTTTAGGTTCCTAGCATTTCTCTCTTTGGAGATCCAATGAGCACTGCTGATGGTACTTAAATATTGAAGGATAGTAGAGGAAGGCAAGATGATATGTTTCCCTCAAATGCTACCTTAATTGATCATTTAATGAAGGACAGGACATTTTCAGAATTTGCATTCTTGTCAGAGTATAGAACAGAGACTATTTCTAAATTCCTTTGGAAATATTTTAATGTGAAATAGGATAATTTTCTACACAATGCTTAACGTTGACTAATATTGACTTACCGTCACCTGAATCAGCAGACCTGGGTTGGAATTCTTACTGTTTCATTTGTTTTTATATTTTTTATTTTCTTTTCCCTCTAGATTTATTGAGTCATAATTGACAAAAAAGTTATATATTTGTGGTACACAAAATTATAATTTGCTATATATACATTATGAAATTATTGCCACTATCAAGCTAATTAACGCATCTCTCCACTTAGTTACCGTGTGTGGAGGGGTGTGTGTGTGGTGAGAACATTTAAGATCTCTCAGCAAACTTCAAGTACACATATGTTAATAATACTGTTGTTTACTCTGCCATTTAATTGATTGTATGCCCTTGGATAAATGTCTTCAACTCTGTGATTCAGTTTCTTCATCTATAAAATATACCTATCTCCCATGATTTTTAAAGAATTAACTAGTACATGTAAAGTGCCTGATTAATAAACTTAACGTACTCTTATTAATTGCCACATGTGCTTTACAACAGACAAACTTCTTACCATATTGTTGAAGAGGAGACCTCATATGCCCAAATGTCAATTCATATACTTTCAGTTGGTTTTTTCCTGTGCTTCCAGATTGGCTATTTCACACATTTATTAGAATAACTGTAGAAATCACAGCTTTCTTTAAGCCTCTTTTCTTGTTACACTCCTCCTACCAGCTGTTTTTTCTCTAGCAACAAAGTTGGAACTATAGTTTAAAAAAAAAAAACTAGTTATGCCGATAAAGGAGAAAAAAATATTTTTGCTTCAGATGCAGTCACTTGCTTCCTTTGTATCAGGAAAGGAATCAGGCAGCTATCAACTAAACACAAAGGTTCTGATATGCACCATACCTATTTGTCACTGGCAGCCCTGCCTAGGTCAATAGCATAATAAAATTTCCTTCTAGGGCAAAAAGATTGACCTGAGAATGGGACAGAATTCGTAATTAATTGGTGGAGGCTGAGGAAAACTGGTAGAGTGTCAAAATCAGGATGTCTCTAAGTGAGATGAAAGTTTCAGAGGTTTTTGATTCAGGTGGACAGGATTTGGGCTAAGGGAGGCTTTAGGATGGCCATGATTCTTGTTGATGTTTGGTAACTAGAGTATAAGGACTGAGGCTTGATTGAAATAAGATGAAGAATCTGGAAGCATGACTCATTCCTGAAGACAAAGTTTCTACAGGAATTAGGAGTTAGATAGGACCACAGGTGTCCAGGGTAGAAGGCTAAGCTGTATTAAGCCTGGGGGTACTGCATGTCTGATGGGAGTAGATTAGGAAAGCTGTAGCTCACTGACCACTGAAAACCACAAACACTGAGAAACTCAGAAGGAACCACCAGCCTGACTGTCCCTGGTAAGAGCTTGGCTATGGCTGAACTCCCAAGAGGAAGACACTATACCTGGCAGCTTGGGTGAGGCTGAGACAGACACATAGAGTTGAAACCTGCAGTGCATTATTTTCTTTGTCTTTTCAAAGCAGAGCCATTTTATATTTAAAGGGGTCAAAAGTACAACCCCTACTGTTGTTAGCTCCCAGCTGTTTGCTGACATGTGTGGAAATGAAAATTTGGGAGGGGCTGGTCCTTGACCTCATTAGCATGTGTGGTTTTACTTTTTTGTACCTAGAAAAGAATTTATGTAACTGCCCTTATCCAAAATTAAGCTTGGGAATATGTTTGTTTAAAACCAACTAATCTTCATGTTTAAGTAAAGCCAATTTAATTAGTAAGTATGAGTAATTACAACTATTATCTAATTTATAAAATCCCATTAAATTTACTTTGAAGATTTAATGAAAATTACGGTTACAGTCTTAAATCTTAAGAATATGTTTTTGTAGACTATATGATCATAGCAAGGTCAAATTAGAATCTTTTTAGCAAACAATAGAGGTAACAAAATAAACCTAATACGTTCCTTAAATATTTTCATCTCATATTTTTCTACACATGAAGATGTTTATTTGGTTGATATAATAATATATCAGAGAAAGATTCTTTTAAGCTAATTGTTTTTTTTAATAACAAATTTTATCCAAAGAAAGCCACATCTTGTTAAGATTTAAGCAATTTTGTTTATTAGGGAAATGAGGAAGATTCAACCTCAGACTTGAGGGATTTTATCTTTCTTTGAACCTAAAGTAATTATAAGAAGAAATGTATATATGGATATGTAAACATGTGTTATAGCCAAAGTCTGGAACAGGTGATTTCTGACAATAGATAGCAAAATTTATAATTAACTTAAGCAGCTGGCTAAGCACCGAAGTGTCACACAGAAGAAAAAATAGTGTCTCATTGCAAGCCAAATATCACTGCTAGTAGCCAAATGATGCATTGTATGGCTAAACACAGGCTTTCTGACTTCCAAATACATGTTGGTCATTAGCCAACTGAAACAAATGAAGTTAACATTATCTAACAAATGTTACCTTATTTGAAATTCAGACTATAGCCCATAATGTTTTGATGACAGACTGATTTTAAGTCAGTGAGGAAGTTGCTTTTGAAATACATTTCTCATTTGCATCTCCATGTATATGATTTTCTGACTAGTTATTCTGATTCATCCATTTGTCTAATATAGCAGTTATTTAGCTTTTGATTAACAAAGTAAGGTTCTGAATAGATAAAATAATTATGAAAGCTAGACTTTATCAAGAGATGAAATTATTTTTTAAAATTCCATCAGCATTTTAGTGTACACTTTTGTTTGTCTACTCAGTAACAGTAACTTTTCCTTCTTTTTTCTAACAAAACTCTGATTCAATTCGGTTACCCCACTGGTAGTGCACCTTAAGGGAGATATACTCCTGTATCAGCCTGGGGCTGAATCATGAGTGGTCTAAGCCAATTATGGTCGTCTCGTTGCCTTTGCCAAAAACCAGTTTATGTATAGGCACGTGATGCACATCTGAGAAGTGAGAAGCTGTAAATGCTTCTGATCAAGGCTTTCCTTGCTATAAAAAGTTACTGGAATATTGTTTTGGCAACTAATTGAGTGCATGAATTGAGTAAATGGTTACATCATTAGATAGTGAGCATTAGTTTTAAAAAGCATGTGACATAAAATTATTACAGAGGAAGCACTATATTAAACTAATTAACATTAAATAATTATTATTTAGAAATGCAAAAACAACTCCACCAATATCAAGGTACTCACTAGAATGGCTAACAAAAAAAAAGTGACAAGTGTTGACAAGAATGTGGGACAACAGTAACTCTTATATGTTGGTGAATTTCTAATGAAATATATTATACTTCATTAGAGAAGTTTACCAACAATCCTTCCCAAACCTGAAGAGGAAAAAGCTGTTATTTTCTTTTGCTAGATATTATTGTGTCTGCCTGTGACACCTAGAATCTGGCTGTAACCTGGCTAAGGATGGCAAGGCAGAAAGAAGTAAGAAAACTGTGTTTTATGACACAGCTGAGCACTAAATATAAAAACCTAAAATGGCCTTATCTTGGGAATAACCATATCAGATAATGCTGTTTCTGTACTATTTAAGCCAAATTGAGTTATTTTCTGTTAATTATAGCTGAAACTATTTCAGCTGATAATTGTCTATTAACATTAAAAGCCAGGACTGACCATGTAGATTACTTTCTTCCATAACACAGAAAAGATAGCCCTTCCATCATTAATAGGAGGAGACATGGTAATCATTTGCACAGGTAGAAGAAGGTTATAACATGATGGGGTTCATGTTGAAAGGAGTGGGGAGCATACCATTCTAGTGCAGGACATTTGGGAAGAAAGAGGCAGAGATGAGAAGTGAACCACTTCGGATTGACTGAAGTCCTAGAGGAGAGACAAAGACATATGGATGGGAATATAAAGCAGCACATCTCTTGTACCAATCTATATTTGATATCCTAGCCTAGTATTTTATTGTAAAGAGTCCTATATCTACCTGTGGGAGACTGTATTAGTGTTAGAGGGATGGTGCATGCATAGAGGGAGCCTTGGTGTAGCTCCTGTAAGCCACCTTCGTTTTTCATACAGTGGAGATAGAAATGCCAAATCCCAGGCTTCTCTTGAAGTAGAGAGATAGAATGTTAGCTGGGAGTTAGGGTGGGGAGCTTGCCAGAAAACATAGTGATTGCAGGGATGAAGAGACTCTGTATTAAAGGACTTTTGGACAGACTACTTAGGATTCACTGCCAACCCTAAGGGGATTTAAAGCACCACTGAGAGCTGAGGTGGGTCCAGGCCAGTAGACAATACCACTAGGCCCTGACCAAGGTGGAGGAGAACAGGTCATGAGCTAGGGCTCTTGGGCAGGTACCAACAATGCCCTGCCATCCTTAGCCAGTTGATAGCCAGCAGGGTCACTAGTACCTGGGCAAACAAAGAAATGTTTTTCATTAAGGGCTAGAAGAGTGGCACAAAATCACGTGGTACAAATAGGAGACTTTTTCTTCCCATGCCAACAAAGGATCCAGCAAATGACCTTACAGATTCAGATAATACCTTGGTAAGATGAAAGAGAGGGTAAGGTAATCTGAAAAACTGAAAAAGACTGAACATCCCTAAGAGATGATCTAAAACAAACATTATTCATTTTCTTTGTACTTTGACACTTTTGCAGGCAGTCCTTGGTTTTAATTTTGGCTCCATTGTTTACTAACTGAATGTCTAAGGCAGATTATTTAAGCTTCATGTGCTTCGGATATCTCCTCCAGGGAATGAGAATAATGACTTGTATACTAGTAACTTGTATACTAGGCATACTGTGAACATTACAAGATATATGTATATATCTTGTAATATATATCTATATCTATATCTATGTCTATATCTATATCTATATAATTCCAAACAGCAATTGGGCTAAATAGACTACTTAGACATAAACCATATGACTGTACTTTTCTCTTTGGAAAAGCAGAGTAGAAGTGTATTCTTACCGATGGGGGTGTGTTGGGTGCTTTAGCTTGGGCAGAAGACTGGTTACCCTGAGGTGAGTTGTGAGGCAGAGATCAGAGGAATGGTCACCCCTGGGATGCTCTGTCCTTGTTGAGCCTATGGGTGAGAGTGACATGATATCAAACTATTTGTCTGGGTCTACCGAAATCAAGTTAGGATTCATTCAGGGTCTGGGAGGGGGACATAGTTTTGAGATGAGGATATCATTCCTTGGCTTGCAGCTGCATCAATCTAATCCCTGCCTCTGTCATTATATGGCTGTCTTCACATTGTCTTTCCTCTGTGTGTATCTGTCTTGTTTTAACTTTAAAGTTAAAGACCACATTTAACCAAATTTCCAAATAAGGTTACATTCTGAGGTACTAGGGTATATCTCTTACTGGGAAACAGATGATTCAACACAAAACAGTTCAACTCCCCAAATGTATGTCTTTCCCATGTGCAAAATATTAATACATTCACCCCATCCCAACATTGCTAAAAGTCTTCATCATTCCAGCATCAATTTTTAAGTCCCAAATCTCATCTAAACACTATCAAATCAAAGTCTCAAATCTCATTATCTAAATCATTCAAATCAATTATGGGTGAGACGCAATATTATTTATCCTGAGGAAAAACTTTTTTTCATCATTGAAATTGTGAAACCAGACAAGTTCTATGTTTCTAAAATACAATAGTGGGACCAGCATAGAATAGACATTCCCATTTCAAAATAGAGAAATTGAAAGAAAAAAGGGTCATGGGTCTCAAGCAAGTTTAAAACTTAGCAGGGCAAATTTTATTACATGTTAAGGCTTGAGAAATATTCCCACAGGCTTGATGCTATGACCTGGTGGTGGCTCCACCTGTCTTGACCCCAGGTGACAGCACTGCCTATGGCCTCTGAAATCCAGGAGGTGAGGGTGCTATGCCCTGGGCCTGTACCCTCCGAGTCCATGGTGACAGCATTAGCCTGCTGGCCTCTGACCCACCCTGGGGGGTCATTCTTCCCGTTTTCTGAAATATAATACATATTTGCATCCAAATAGTTCGATTGGTTTATTTTCTTCCTGTGGAATCCCAGAAGTCTGACAGTGTTCTTTCTTTTTAACCCATGCCTTTACCCTTCAGTCCAGGATGGCAGTGTTTATGCTGAGATGACTAATTGGATCCACAAATCACATGCCTAATCTCCTGAGCAAACAGTTTTCCAGCAATAACATTGGTGATACCGCCAAAGCACATTTTCTATTTTTTTTTTTTTTTTGTAATGTGGATAGGCTGAGAATTTTCCAAATCCACAAGTTTTGGATTCTTTTTGCTTAACTATTTCTTCTTAAATGTATCCCTTTCCTCTTGTATTTTACTATTGGTAACAAGAAGAAACAAGGGTGTACCTTCAGCACTTTGCTTAGAAATCTCTTCAGCTGAATAATGAATACAGGTTCATCACTATAAGTTCTATTTTCTACCCAACAAAATATAATTCAGCCAGGTTCTCTGCCACTTAATAACAAGAATCACATTTCCTCTAGTCTCCAGTAACATGTTTTTCATTTCTGTTTGAGACTTTACCTGAAGCATCTTTAATATTTATGTTTCTTCCAACACTCTCTTTAAGGCAATGCAGGCTTTCTCTACCAAGCACCTCAAAATTCTTCCAGCCTTCACCCATCACCCAATTCCAAAGTCACTTTCACATTTTCAGGTATTTGTTACAGCAGCACCCTGCTCTCAGTACCAAAATATTTGGTACTGAGATTACCAAATCTAGGATTATTAGATTTGATTACTCTGGGTGTTTGATCAAACAACTGGGCCTGATAGTTGACACATAAAATGAACCATAACAACTATATAAAAACATTCCCCTTCTGATATTTTCACTTTTAATTGAAATTGAGTCTAGGGAAGGAAGGATGACCTAAATTTAGCTATGTGTTCACCTAATCCTGAGGTTTTTCTCTCCATTCCTTTACTAAAATAGAGTAGACAGAAACAAGGGAGAAAGTTATACTCTTGGTCTTTCATTGTATCTTCTGTCCCTAAACTTTGTAGGGGAGATTAAAACAAATATTCTACTTCTGTCTGTTTGTATGTGTGTGTTTATATGTCGCAGAGTGGGAAGAGAGAGACAGAATGGGGGCAGGAAGGTGCATACACAAGAGTGTAATTTGCAAATTCTTAAAACATGCAATCTATACTTTCATTTCTTTTCAAAATTCAAACTTAGTGTTAAGTAGGGACAGATTAATTGACGGGAGCCTATGGATGAGTGGGAGAAGAAGATAGAATGCTGAGCCTGGTTCTTCTGTCTTGCTATCTAATGCAAGAAAATGATTTGTAATAATTTAATACATTTTTGGCTTTTTACTAAAAGAGAAGCATCTCTAAGCAGTGTTATTTTTGTTTCAAATCAGAATGTAGTTTGTATACTTCTGCTTTCAGGTAGAAACACTAGGTAGTAGCAGAACAATGCTCCCTAGTAATTCAAAAAATATGATAAGACTCATATTTTTAAATGTAAGGGAGAGTTGTAGGAGCAACGAGAACTAGAGGAACCAGTTACAGAGAGGAAAGTGCCCTGCCAGGTGAATTGTATATTACTGACTTTTTGTCTCTGCAAGCATTTGTTGATTGAGGACCAGCTAAAGATTGAACATGAGATAGGTGAAGAAACTTCACTGGGGGGAGTAGAAGTCAGTAGGGTCATAACTAACAGGAGGCTACACCAAAAGAGTAAAATCTCCACTAGTTTCAGGATCTGAGGAGGCAATGTCCTATGGGAGAGAGAGGGAGTGAATCAAACATACAGCTGGTCTCCCAAGTGATTTGTGTAAAGCTAAAGAGTAAGCCAATATATCTGAATGGAAGAACTGAATGTTGTGAAATATTTCAAGGAAGAGGAAATAGATCTGATAAACTCTGAATCAGAAACCCATGAGAGTAACACCTGAGGAGCACAGATAAATAAAAGATGGAGTGAGGCTAATTAAAAGTGCTACCCAGCCCCAACACAGCTAAATTGTTTACTGGATTCTAGTGATTAGACCCTTAGCCTGCTCTGGGGGGATATGCTGTGAGGTTTCCAATGTACGTATATACACATTGTCTAGCATACAATGAAAATGTAAGGGAGATTGAAAGAGACAATAAAGGCAGATCCACAGTGATCCATCTGTTACAGTTACTAGAAGCACTATAAAGTAATAATGATTAACGTTAAAGAGAATAAAAAGGTAGAAAAATGAATAGTTAATGTACATTCTGGAACTGAGAAATAGAAAATCCGAAATTAAGAATGCATTGGATTGGCTTACCAGTAGACTGGACACAAAAAATTAGTGGACTCAAAGATGGTTAATTGAAATACCATAAATATATAAAATATATATCTAATATCTTCTCTCTGTCTAATTATCTATTTAGATCCTTAAAAGGAGAGAAGGAAAAAAAGCAATGATTGAAGGTAAATGGCTGAGAATGTTCCAAAAAATGATAAAAGATCTCAACCTGCAGATTCAAGAAAAAATTCGTAGAAGTTGCCTGAGTTTAAAAAAAAAAAAAAAAAGATGCATTATCTTTAAGACAGTAAGACTGAATGAGGCTGAATTTTCAACAGTAACTATGGAAGCCAGAAAATGATAAAATAATATTTTTTAAATGATAAAAAAAACTACTGGCCTAGACTTCTATAACCTATGAAAATATACTTTAGGCATGAAGGTAAAAGAAATATTTTTTTAGACAACAAAAGTTGAAAGAATTTATAAGAATTGCACAGGAAGTTTCTCAGAAGAGCAATTTTTATCAGATTGAGGCACCGGGGTACAAGAAGGAATAAGGAGCATTTGGAAGGCAATTATGTAGGTAAGTACAAATAGCATTGATTAATACAATAAAATTACCTTGTAACATATGCAAAACATGGAGTAAAATACATGACATTACTAGCAAAAAGAGCAAGAAGTAGACAAACAGTATTGTAGTCTTGCATTTTGCAGGAAGTGTTAGATTATTAATGTAGCCCTGCTTGGGATAGATCCATATGCCTATTGTACTTCTGACAATAACTACTAAAGTTAATTTTAAAATGTATATCTAAAAATCTAATTAGAGGATATAAAATAGAAAAACAATGCTTGATTCCCACAGAAGGAAGAAAAGGGCATATACAGGAATGATGTATTGCTAGGATAAGTAAAAACAAATAGTAAGATAATACAGTTAAAAGTAACTGCATGAAAACTACACCAAAGGTAGATGGATTAATACCTTAGTTAATGAGAAATATTATCAGATTATATTTTTTAAAAGATCCAACTGTATGCTGTTTGCAAATACACACTTTTATTTCTATTATAAAATTTTCATTTTTAATTGTAAATTGACAAATTATAATTGTATATGTCAAAGGGATGTTATAATTTATGCATATAATGTGGAATAATTTAACCAAGCTACTTAACATATCTATAACTTCAAATACTTATCTTTTTGTGGTGAGAACATTTAAAATTCACTCTCAGTGATTTTAAAGTGTGTACTACATTATTATTTACTATATTGATTACACTGTATAATTTATAGCAAAAGAAAAAACCCATTATTCCTCTAATTGAGGCATTATACCCTTTAACCATCATCTCTCCATTCCCCATCATACCCCTAGGCTTTGGTAACCACCATTCTACTCGCTGCTTCTGTGAGTTTATTTTAGAACCCTCATATAAGTAAGAACATAAAGTATTTGTTTTTCCGTGACTGACTTATTTCACTTAGGATGTTTCCCAATTCCATCCATATTGTCACAAATGACAAGATTTCCTTCTTTTTAAAGACTGAATGGTATTTAATTGGGAATATGTACATTTTCTTTATCCACTCATCTGTTGATGGACTCTGTTTGGTTCCATAACTTGGCTATTGTGAATAGTGTTGGCAATAAATAGAAGAGTACAGATATCTCTTTGACATACTGACTTCAAATCTTTTGGGTAAGTAGCCAGAAGTGGAATAGCTGGATCATATGATAATATTGTTTTTAGTTTTTTGAGGAACCTCCTTACCTTTTTTCATAATGGTGGTACTAAGTTACAGTCCCACCAACAGTGTACAATGGTTCCCTTTTCTTCATATCTTAGCGAACACGTTTTCTCTTTTGTCTTTTTGAAAATAGCTATTCTGCCAGGTGTGAGGTGATATCTCATTGTGGTTTTAGTTTGCATTTCCCTAATGATAAGTGATGTTGAATATTTTGTCATATGTCTATTGGCCATTTCTTAATTATCTTTGAGAACTATCTGTTCAGGTCCATTGCCCATTCTAAAATCAGATATTGTTTTCTTTCTATAAAGTTGCTTGAATTCCTAATATATATTGTGGATATTAGCCCTTTATTGGATGTATGGCTTGAAAACATTTTATCCTAATCTATGGGTTGTCTCTTCATTGTGATGTTTCATTTCTTGTACAGAAGCTTTTTAGTTTGATGCAATCCCATTTTTCTCTTCTTCTTTTTTTTTTTTTTTTTTTTTGAGATGGAGTCTTGCTCTGTTGCCCAGGCTGGAGTGCAGTGGCATGATCTTGGCTCACCACAGTCTCTGCTGCCTGGGTTCAAGCAATTCTCCTGCCTCAGTCTCCCGAGTAGCTGGACCAGAGGCGTGCACAACCACAACTATCTAGTTTTTTGGTATTTTTTTTTTTAGTAGAGATGGGGTTTCACCATGTTGGCCAGGCTGGTCTTGATCTCCTGACCTCAGGTGATCCATGCACCTCGGCCTCCCAAAGTGCTGGGATTACAGGCGTCAGCCACCGCACCCAGCCACAATCCCATTTTTCTGTTTTTGCTTTTGTTGCCTGTGCTTTTGAGATCAAATCGAAAATATCATTGCCCAGACCAATGTCACATAGTTTTTCTCATATGTTTTCTTCTAGTAGTTTTAAACTTTCAGTACTTATGGTTAAATCTTTCATCCACATTGACTTGATTTAAGTATATGATGTGAGATAAAGGTCCAATTTCATTCTTTTGCATATCCATATTGTTTACTCAACACTATTTATTTAAGGGACTCCTTTTCACAACATAAAAGGCACATTTGTTAAAAATTCTTGGCACCTTTATTGAAAATCAATTGATCAGAGATGAGTGGGTTCATTTCTGCATTCTCTATCCTTTTCCATTTGTTAATGAGCCTATTTTTATTCCAGTACCATGCTATTTAAATTACTTTCACTTCATATATAATTTGAAATCAAATAGTGTGATGTTTCCAGCTTTCTTCTTTTTGCTTATGATTGCCTTAGTTTTTCAAGATTTTTGTGCTTTCATATGAATTTTAGGTTTGTATTTTTTCTATTTATAGGAAAAATGACGTTGAAATTTTGATGGAAATTGCATTGAATTTGTTGATCACTGTGCCTAGGATGGATATTTTAACAATATTAATTTTTCCATACCATGAACACGAGGTATCTTTCCATTTGTTTATTTTCTTCAATTTTTTCATTAACATTTTATAGTTTTCAGTGTACAAGTCTTTCACTTCCTTCCACAGAAAGTTTTTAATAGTTATTGTAAATGAGACTGTTCTCTTGATTTGTTTTTCAAGAATTTTATTGTTAGTGTATAGAAATACTACTAATTTTTTTGTGTTGATTTTATATCCCATAAGGTTACTGTATCATTTATTCTAACAGTTTTTTTGGTGGCTTCTTTAGAGTTTTCTAGATATAAGATTATGTCATCAGCAAACAGCAACAATTTCATTTCTTCCTTTTTTATTTGGATGCCTTTTATTTCTTTCTATTGCGTAATTGCTTTGGCAAAAACTTCTAATGCTATGCTGAATAGAAATGCTGAGAGTGGACATCCTTGTCTTTTTCTGGATCTTAGGGAAAAGGGTTCAATTTTTCACTGTTATTTATGATTTTATTTGTGGACTTATTCTATATGGTCCTTATTGTGTTTAGGTACATTCCTTCTATACCTAATTTGTTGAAAGTTTTTATCATTAAAGAATTCTGAATTTTTCTAATAATTTTTCTCCATCTAATGAGACGATCATATAGTTTTTGTTTTTCATTCTGTTAATGTAGCACGTCCCATTTATTAATTTGCAAATATTGAATCATCCTTGTATCACATGAATAAATCCCACTTGATAATGATGAATGATCCTTTAATGTATTGATAAAATCAGTTTGCTAGTATTTTTTTGAGTACATTTGCATATATGTTCACCAAGGATAGTGCCCTGCAGTTTTGTTTTCTTCTGATGTCCTTATTTCACTCTATTATCAGAGTAGTGCTGGCCTTATAGAATGTTTTAGGAAGAATTCCCTCTTTAATTTTTTTGGAAGAGTTTGTTAAGTATTGGCATTGTTCTTTAAATGTTTGGGCGAATTCAGCAGTGAAGCCCTCAGGTTCTGGGCTTTGCTTTCAGCAAGACTTTTTCTTACTGATGAAATCTCCTTACTCTTAATTGGTTGGTTCAACCTTTCTGTGTCTTCATGATTTCTTCAAAATCTACCAAGATTTTAGTCTTGGTAGTTTGTGTTTATCTAATAATTCATTCATTTCTTCTAGGTTATCCAATATTTTGGCATCTAGTTGCTCATAATAGTCGCTTATGATCCTAGGTATTTCTGTAGTATCAGTTGTAATGTCTCCTTTTTAATTGCCGATTTTTTCTTAGTCGAGCTAAAGGTTTATTAATTTTGTTTATCTTTTCAAAATAATTTAGTTGCATTGATCTTTTTTATTATTTTCCTAGTCTCTATTTTATTTATTTTCTGGTTTTTATTGTTTCTTTTTTTTTTTTTTTTTTTGCTGTCATCAGGCTTATCCTTTTTCTATTTTCCTGAGGTGTAATATTAAGTTGCTCATTTGTGATACTTTTTCCTCTTTTGATGTAGGCATTTATTGCTGTAAATTTTCCTCTTAGAACTTATTTTGCTGCATCCCATAACTTTGGGTATATTTTCATTTTCATTTGTCTCAAGATATTTTTAAATTTCTCTTTTAATTTCTTCATTGACGCATGGGTGTTCAGGAGTACGTTTTAAAATCTCCATGTGTTTGTGAATTTTTTGACGTTTTACTTATTATTAATTTCTAGTTTCATACCATTACTGTCAAAAAAAAAAGGTACTTGATATAATTTAAATCTTCTTAAATTTGTTAAGGCTCGGCTTGTGGCCTAACATAAGATCTATCCTGGAGAATGCTCCCTGTGCACTTGAGAAGAATGTGCATTCATTTGCTGTTGGACAGAGTAATCTGTGTATATCTGTTAGATCCCTTTGGTCTAAAGTGTTTATGCTCAATATTTAATAATTAATTTTCTGTTTGGATGCCCTGTCCATTATTGAAATTGGGACATTTATATTTATATAAATATAATTTATATATTTATATAATTATATTATATATTAAATTTATATAATTCTATTTATGTAAATATATTTATATAATTATATTACATAAATATAATTATATTGATAAATAGAAATATAAATTTATATACATATTTATATGTATATAATACAAATATAAATTTATATTTATATTATATAAATATACTTACATAATTATATTTATATAATATAACATAATTTATATAATTATATAAGTATATTATATAAGTATATTTATATAAACATATTTATATAGTCATAATTATAAATGATTATATAAAGCAATCAAAACAATAATATACAAATGGTAATTTAGTATATTAATATCCTTAAGCATTATTATTTATTCAGCTTGAAAATAAATTCTCATCCATTTTTCTTAATAATAAGCAGTTTTCTTTTCTTTTCTTTTTTTTTTCTTTTTGAGGCGGGGTCTCGCTCTGTCGCCCAGGCTGGAGTGCAGTGGCATGATTTCAGCTCACTGCAAGCTCTGCCTCCCGAGTTCACACCATTCTCCTGCCTCAGCCTCCCAAGTAGCTGGGACTACAGGTGTCCACCATCATACCCGGCTAATTTTTTTGTATTTTTAGTGGAGACGGGGTTTCACCGTGTTAGCCAGGATGGTCTCTGTCTCCTGACCTTGTGATCCGCCTGCCTCAGCCTCCCAAAGTGCTGGGATTACAGGCGTGAGCCACAGTGCCCGGCTGCAGTTTCATTTTCTTAACGGTGTTTCTTTCTAAGGGTATTCACTTTAGAAATAATATAAATTTTCACAGATATGAACCAAAAGATATTTTTAAGTTTTTTTATTCTTTAACTTTTAAGTTCAGGGGTACATTTGTAGGATGTGCAGGTTGGTTACATAGGTAAATGTGTTCCATGGTGGTTTGCTGCACAGATTATCCCAACACCTAGGTATCAAGCCCAGCATCCATTAGCTATTCTTCCTGATGCTCCCTCTCAGCTCCCCACAACCCCTGACTGACAGGTCCCAGAGTGTGTTGCTTCGCACCATCTGTCCATGGTCCCACTATCTCATCATTCAGGTCCCACTTATTAGTGAGAACATGAGGTGTTTGGTTTTTTGTTCCTGCATTAGTTTGCTGAGGATCATGGCTTCCAATTCCATCCATATCCCTGCAAAGAACATGATCTTGTTCATGTTTATGGCTGCATATTATTTCATGATGTATATGTACCATGTTTACTTTACCCAGTCTATCACTGATGAGCATTTACATTGATTCCATGTCTTTGCTATTGTGAATAGTGCTGCAATGAACATATGAGTGCATGTATATAATAGAAAAGGATACATATATATTTATGATTTATATTCCTTGGGGCATATACCCAGTAATGGGATTGCTGGGTTGAATGGTATATCTGCCTCTGGGTCTTTGAGAAATTGCCACACTGTCTTCCACAATGGTTGAATTAATTTATACTCTCACCAGCAGTGTAAAAGTGTTCCTTTTTCTTCATAACCTCACCAGCATCTGTTGTTCTTTGACTTCTTAATAATAGCCATTCTGACTGGCATGAGATGGTATCTCATTGTGGTTTTGATTTGCATTTCTCTAATGATCCATAATGTTAAACTTTTTTGTCATATGTTTGTTAACCACGTGTACGTCTTCTTTTGAGAAGTGTCTGTTAATGCTCTTTGCCTCCTTTTTAATGGGTTTTTTTTCTCATAAATTTGTTTAAGTTCTTTGTTGACTCTAGGTATTAGACCTTTGTCAGATGGATAGATTGCAAAATTTTTCTCCCATTCTGTGGGTTGTCTGTTCATTCTGATAGTTTCTTTTGCTGTGAAGAAGCTCTTTAGTTTAATTAGATCTCATTTGTCAATTTTTGCTTTTGTTGCAATTGCTTTTGGGATTTTCATAATGAAATCTTTGCCTGTGCCTATGTCCTGATTAGTATTGCCTAGATTTTCTTCTAGGCTTTTTATAGTTTTGGGTTTTACATTTAAGTCTTTAATCCATCTTGGTTAATTTTTGCACATGGTGTAAGAAAGTGGTCCAGTTTCAGTTTTCTGCATATGGCTAGCCAGCTCTTGCAGCACCATTTATTAAGGAGGCAGTCTCTCCCCCATTGCTTGTTTTTGTCAGGTTTGTCAAAGAAAAGATGGTTCTGGGCATGTGGTCTTATTTCTGAGTCCTCTCTTTTGTTCCATTGGTCTATGTGTCTGTTCTTGTACCAGTACCATGCTGTTTTGGTTACTGTAGGCTTGTAGTATATAGTTTGAATTCAGGTGGCTTGATGCCTCCAGCTTTGTTCTTTTTGCTTTGGATTATCTCAGCTATGCGGGCTCTTTTTTTGTTTCATATGAATTTTAAAATAGTTTTTATCTAATTCTGTGAAGAATGTCAGTGGTAGTTTAATGGGAATTGAATTGAATTTATAAATTACTTTGGACAGTATTGCCGTTTTCATGATATTGATTCTTCCTGTCCATGAGCGTAGAATACTTTTTCATTTGTTTGTGTACTTCTGATTTCTTTGAGCAATGTTGTGTAGTTTTCTGTGAAGAAGTTATTTACTTCCATTGTTAGCTGTATTCCTAGGTATTTTATTCTTTTGGTGGCAGTTGTGAATAGGAGTTCATTCATGATTTGGTTCTCGGCTTGCCTGTTGTTGGTGTATAGGAAAGCTAGCAATTTTTGCACATCAATTTTGTATCCAGAGACATTGCTAAATTTGCTTATCAACTTAAGAAGCTTTTGGGTGGGACAATGGGATTTTGTAGATATAGGATTATGTCATCTGCAAACAAAGATAATTTGACTTCCTCTTTTCCTATTTGAATACGCTTCATTTCTTTCTCTTGCCTGATTGTCCTGGCCAGAACATCCAATATTATGTTGAATGGGAGTGGTGAGAGAGGGCATCCTTGTGCTAGTTTTCAAGGGGAATGCTTTCAGCTTTTGCCCATTCAGTACGATGTTGGTTGTGGGTTTGTCATATATGGTTCTTATTATTTTGAGGTATATTCCTTCAGTATCTAGTTTATTGAGAGTTTTTTTAACATGAAGGGATGTTGAATTTTATCAAAGGCCTTTACCGCATCTATTGAGATAATCATGTGGTTTTGTCTTGAGTTCTATGTGATGAATCATATTTATTGATTTGCATATGTTGAGCCAACCTTGCATCCTGGGGATGAAGCCAACTTGATTTTAGTGGATAAACTCTTTGATGTGCTGCTGGATTTGGTTTGCCAATATTTTATTGAGGATTTTTGCATTGATGTTCATCAAGGATATTGGTCTGAAGTTTTCTTTTTTGTTGCGTATCTGCCAGGTTTTGGTATCAGAATGATGCTAGCCTCATCAAATGAGTTAAGGAAGAGTTACTCCTTTTAATTGTTTGCAATAGTTTCATTAGAAATTGTACCAGATCTTCTTTGTATCTCTAGTAGAATTCAGCTGTGAATCTGTTTGGCCCTGGGCTTTTTTCGATTGGTAGGCTGTTTATTACTGCCTCAATTTCAGAACTCGTTATTGGTCTGTTCAGGGATTTAAGTTCTTTCTGGTTCAGTCTTAGGAGGGTACATGTGTCCAGGGATTTATCTATTTCTTCTAGATTTTCTAGCTCATTTGCATAGGAGTGTTTATAGTATTCTCTGATGGTTGTATTTCTGTGGGATCACTGGTGATATCTCCCTTATCATTTCTTATTGTGTTTGTTTAAACATTCTCTCTTTTATTCTTTATTAGTCTACCTAGTGGTCCATCTTATTATTTCTTTCTCAAAAAACCAGCTCCTGAGTTTGTGGATTCTTTTTTAAGGGTTTTCATGTCTCTATCTCCTTCAGTTCAGCTCTGATTTTAGTTATGTCTTGTCCTCTACTAGCTTTGGGGCTTGTTTCCTCTTGGCTCTGTTGTTCTTTTAGTTGTGATGTTAGTTTGCTAACTTGAGTTCTTTCTAGCTTTTTGATGTGGGCATTTAGTCCTATAAATTTCCCTGTTTACACTGCTTTAGCTGCATCCCAAATATTCTGGTACACGGTCTCTTTGTTCTCATTAGTTTACAAGAACTTCTTGATTTCTGCTTTAATTTCATTATTTACCCAGGAATCATTCAGAAGCAGGTTGTTCAATTTCCATATAGTTGTGCGGTTTTGAGTAAATTTCTTAATTTTGAGTTTACAATGTGATTGTGTTGTGGTCTGAGAGGCTGTTTGTTATTATTTCAGTTATTTTGCATTTGCTGAGGAGTGTTTTGCTTCCAATTATGTGATCGATTTTAGAGTAAGTGCTGTGGGGCAATGAGAAGAATGTATATTCTGTTGTTTTGGGTTGGAGAGTTCTGTAGATATCTATCAGGTCCACTTGATCCAGAGCTGTGATCAGGTCCTGAATATCTTTGTTAATTTTCTGTCTCGGTGATCTGTCTAGTATTGCCAGTGGGGTGTTAAAGTCTCCTACTATTATTGTGTGGGAGTCTGAGTCTCTTTGTAGGTCTCTAAGAATTTCCTTTATGAATCTTGGTGCTCCTGTATGGGTGCATGTATATTTAGGAGAGTTAGCTCTTCTTGTTGAACTGAAACCTTTACCATTATGTCATGCCCTTCTTTGTCTTTTGTTTATCTTTGTTGTTTAAAGTCTGTTTTGTCAGAAACTAAGATTGCAACCCCTGCTTTTTTTTCCCATTTGCTTAGTAATTTTTCCTCCACCTCTTTATTTCAAGCTTATTTGTGTCTTTACCCATGAAATAGGTCTCTTGATGACAGCATAGCAATGGGTCTTAGCTCTTTAGCCAGCTTGACATTCTCTGTCTTTTAATTGGGGCATTTAGCTCATGCTTATTTAAGCTTAGTATGGTTATGTGTGAATTTGATCCTGCCATCATGATGCTAGCTGTTTGTTTTGCAGACTTGCTTATGTGATTGCTTCAGTGTCACTGGTCTGTGTACTTCAGTGAGTATTTTTTTTTTTTTGAGATGGAATTTTGCTCTTGTTGCCCAGGCTGGAGTGCAGTGGCATGATCTCGGCTCACTGCAAACCACCTCCTGAGTTCAAGTGATTCTCCTGCCTCAGCCTCCGGAGTGACTGGGAGTACAGGTGTCTGCAACCACACCCAGCTAATTTTTGTATTTGTGGTAGAGACAAGGTTTTGCCATGTTGGCCAGGCTGATCTTGAACTCCTACCTCAGGTGATCTGCCCGCCTCAGCCTCCCAAAGTGCTGGGATTACAGGCATAAGCCACTGTGCCCAGCCTTTGGTGAGTTTTTGTAGTGGCAGGTAACATTTTTTTCTTTCCATATTTAGTAGTTTTTTCAGGAGCTCTTGCAAGGCAAGCCTGGTGGTGCTGAATTCCCTAAGTATTTGCTTGATAATTTAGATAAAGTGGAGAAATATACATTTCCAAGATTGCCATAAGAATTAGTAGAAAATATGAATGATGCTACATCTGTTAAATAAATTGAATCCAAATTTAAGCAACTTTCTTGAAAAGAAAAACTGCTGACCTAGATAGCTTCACTGCTGAATTCTTTTACATAATTTTCAATATTAAAAAAATAATAATTGACATAATAGCCATCATAGACAAACCCTTTTAAAATAGAGAAAAGAGAACACAGGCAGTCTAGCCATGCCACTTTTTTCTGAGTTTCTTGTGAAATGAGACTGGAGTGGGCTTCTTGGGAGAAGTCTCAGAGTGCTAGAAAAGCTGGGTGTTCACCTCTGATTCTCTTTTTCCTCTGCAGAAAATGTGGTTCATGGAGAATCTTTTCAGTGTGGCACTGTGCTGACTTGGGGGAAGGGGAAAGGTAACACAGTCAGAGTGAGACATTTCTATTACCTTTTCCATACAGTTTTTATTTTGTTCTATGAATCATGCAGGTGTCTCAGGCTTATTTCCAGTTCTGGGGGTTTTCACCAAGGTGTTCTTTTCTTTGAATAGCTGCTACATTTTCTCTCTGTGTGTTGTGGGAGAGTATAGTGAAACATGAGACCTCCTATTCTATAATCTTGTTGATGTCTCCCACATATATACTTTAAATATAAGGATACAAATAAGTGGGAAGTAAATATATGGGAAAACATAGACTATGCAATCACTAACTGAAAAAATCTACTCTTCTATTCCTTTATCGGACAGAATAGCTTGGTACCAAAACTTGACATGGATATTAAAAGAAAATTACGATTCTGTATACTTGGAGCTGGGATACAAAATTCTAAACAAAATATTAACATACAAAACTTAACAACATATAAAATAGGATAAGTCATCATTACCAAGTAGGATTTATTCCAGGAATATAAGGGTTTAACATTGAAAATTAATTAATGTAATTTACCACATTAATACTATCAATAGATGTGGAAGAAGCATTTGTTAAATATAAGCATGTATTCATGATTTTTAAAATATCACCAAAATGGTAATAAAATAAAACTTTTTTAATCTAATAAAGAGTATATATAAAAATATACAGTAAAATCATATTTACTGGTGAAATAGTAAATATTGTTTCCTTATCATATTAATTTTATGGTTTTCCTGTTCTGAACTATAACATGTTATTAATAATTTCCTCAAACTGAACTGAAGCTGCAAATGTAATATATAATATTTTTATTTCAAATTATGAAGACATTTAATTTTACCTCCTATTGGGTGAATCTAAATCATCTCTTTTAATATAGAAATGATGGAGTTATCAGGTAGTCTATTCACCGCAATAAGTACAGTACTTTATACTTTAAAACATTTAAAATTGGAAATAAACTAAATAATAATGGCATGAAACCAATTAAAAGGGCAAGTCAGGTGTAATTGTAGCGTGAGTTAAAATTCAGTGTTAGTGTAATACAGAATAGGAAAAGGAAAGAGAATGTTCAAAATGTAGCATTCTCTCCATGGAAGAAACGTGAATCTGAGTTCAGTAACAACTACCCAATCAGACACGTCCAGCTTTGTCTAACTCCAGGAACTTTTTTTCTGGTATGACTGAGAAAATAGTCTGTGTTTTGGAGGCAGAGGTACATATATACTTAAAGTGAACTTTTAAAATAATAATTTTAAAATGAATTTCCTTGGATAGCAGAGAGAGGCCAGAATGATATAGAGATTAGAATATGGGAGGAATGTCTTTTCCAGTGCAATATTTGTTTTTTTCTAGCATAATTATAATTTGTTGTTAGTCTCTTTTCTATTTCTTATATGCAAGAAAAATTTTCTTGGTACATAGTATTTGCATGTATTTGTGGAGAACATGTGATACTTTGTTACATGCATAGAATGTTTAATGATCAAGTCAGGGTATTTAGGTTATACTATCACTACAAGCATTTATCATTTCTATGTGTTGAGAATATTTCAAGTCCTGATTTCTAGGTATTTTGAAATGTACTCTTCATTGCTGTTAATTATAGTCACCATACTCTACCATCAAACATTAGAACTTATTACTTCTATCTAACTATATGTGTATAACACAAAGTGAGCCGTCTCTCTTATCCTTTCCAGACAGTTTTTATTCTGTTCTGAGGATTATGCTGGTAGGCCAGGCTCATTCTCACTTTCTTGGATTTTCACCCACCTTTCTTATTCCCCGTCCCATTCCCCAAAACCCACACCTTTCCCAGCATCTGGTAACTATCATTCTACTCTCTATATCCATGAGATCAGCATTTTTTTAGCTGTAACATATGAGTACATGCAATATTTGTCTTTCTGTGTCTGGCTTATTTCACTTAACATGATGACTTTCAGTTTCATCCATGTTGCTGCAAATGACATATTTTTTTGCAGTATATTCATGTAACAATGATTTTGCTTTTTAATGGTCAGGTAATATTCTACTATGTAAATAAACCACATTTTCTTTCTCCATTCATCAACTGATGGACACTTAGATTGATTCCGTATTTTGGCAATTGTGAATAGTGTTATAATAAACATAAGAGTGCATGTATCCTTTTGACACAGTGATTTCCTTTCCTTTGGATAAATACCTGCCAGTGAAACTGCTGGATTGTATGGTGGTTCTATTTTTAGTTTTTTGAGAAATCTCCATACAGTGATTCATAATGGCTGTACTAATTTACATTTCCACCAACACTGAATAGGAGTTCTGATACTTACACATCTTTGCTAGCATCTGTTACTTTTGATCTTTTTGATAATAGCTTTTGTAACTGGGATGAGATAATATCTCACTGTGGTTTTGATTTTTGCATTTCCCTTATAATTAATGATGATGAACATTTGATTCATATATCTGTTGTCCATTTGTATTCCTTCTTTTGAGAAATGTCTGTTTAGATTATTTGTCCAATTTTTAATGGAACGTTTTTATGCTGTTGTCTGATTTCTTTTATAATCTGAATATTAGTCTCTTTTTGAATGAATATTTGACAAATATTTTTTCCATTCAGCAGGTTGTCTCTTCACTTTGTTGATTATTTCTTTTGCTGTTGCAGAAGTTGTTTAGTTTAATAACGTCCCATTCGTTTATTCTGTATTTCTGTTGCTTGTGCTTTTGGGATCTTAGCCATAAAATGTTTGTCTAGACCAATGTCCTATAGTGTTTCCCGTGTGTTTTCTTCTAATAGTTTTATAGCTTTGGATATTACATTTAAATTTTTAAGTAATTTTCTATATGGTGGGAAGTAGGGGCCTAGTTTCATTCTTCTGCATATGGATATCCAGTTTTCCCAGCACAACTTATTGAAGAGAGTGTCTTTCCCTAAAGTATGCTCTTGGCACCTTTGTCAAAAATCAATTGGCTTTCAATACAGGAGTTTATTTCTGTGTTCTCTATCCAGTTTGATTTGTCTATGTGTCTGTTTGTATACCAATACCATGTTGTTTTGGTTAATAAAGACTTTTAATATGTTTTAAAGTCAGGTAGTATGATGCCTCTAGTTTTGTTCTTTTTTCTCAGTATTGCTTTGGCTATTCAGGTTCTTTTTTGGTTTCATACAAATTTTAGGATTTTCTTATTTCTGTGAAAAATGTGATTGCTATTTTGATAGAGACTGCATTGAATCTATAGGTTGATTTGAGTTATATGGTTAATTTAAAAATATTAATTCTCTCAATCTATGAGCCTGGGATATCTTTCCATTTATTTATGGTCTCTTCGATTTCTTTCATTAGTGTTTTATAGGTTTTGTAGAGGTCTTTCACATCTTTGGTTAAATTTATTCCTAGGTATTTTATTTTTTGGTAGCTATTGTCAGTGAGATTGCTTTGTTAATTTCTTTTGCAGCTAGTTCATTATTGGTATATATAAATGCTACTGATTTTTGTATGTTGATTTTGTATCTGAAACTTTGCTGAACTTGTTTATCAGATCTAAGAGGTTTTTTTAAGGTCTTTTGGTTTTTCTAATTATAAGATTATGTCATCCACAAAGAAGGACAATTTTATTTCTTCCTTTCTAATTTGGATGCTCTTTATTTCATTCTCTTGCCAGATTACTCTGGCTAAGACTTCCAGTACTGTATTGACTAGGAATAGTGAAAATGGGCATCCTTGTCTAGTTCCAGTTCTTACAGGAAAGGCTTCTAGCTTTTTCCCATTCAGTATGATGTTAGCTGTATGTTTGTCTTATATGGCCTTTATTATGCTAAACTATCTTCCTTCTATTCCTTGTTTGTTGAGTGTATTTATCATGAAGTGATGTTGAATTTTATCAGATGCTTTTTCTTCACCTATTAAGATGATGGTTTTTGTCCTCTATTATGCGCTGCATGGTGTTTTATTAATTTGCATATGTAGGTTGAGCTATCATAATATTCCTGGGATAAATTCTACTTAATCATGTCGTATTATGTCTTTGATGTACTGTTGGATTCAGTTTACTTGTATTTTGTCAAGGGCTTTTACATCTATGTCATCTGGTATATTGGAATATAGTTTTCTTTTTTAGTCATGTCCTTGTCTGGTTTTGGTAGTAGGTTAATGCTGGTTTCATAGAATGAGTTACAAAGTAGCCTCCCCTTTTCCAATTTTTGGACTAGTTTGAGGAGCATTGGTACTTGTTCTTATAACTTCGGTAGAAGTTGGCTGTGAAGCTGTCAGGTCCTGGGCTTGAAAGACTTTTTTTTTTTTTTGAAACCGATTCAATGTTGTTACTTGTTATTGGTTGTTCCGGTTTTCTGTTTCTTTCTTATTCAACCTTGGTAGGTTGTATGTATTCAGAAATTTATCTATTTCTTCTAGATTTTCCAGTTTGTTAGTGTATAGTTGTTTACAGAAGTCTCTGATGTTTTGGTATCTGTGGTATGAATTGTTATGTCTCCTTTTTGTTTCTAATTTTATTTGGGTTTTCTCTTTTTTTACTTGGTTAATTTTATGGGTGGTTTATTGATTTTGTTTATCTTTTCAAAAACCAACTTTTCATTTTGTTGATCTTTTGTATTTTTTGTCTCTATTTAATTGAGTTCTGCTCTGATCTTTATTATTTCTTTAATAATTTTAGGTTTGGTTTGCTCTTCTTTTTTAATTCCTTGAGGTACATCTTTAGGTTGTTTATTTGACATCTTTCTACTTTTTTGATGTGGGCATTTGTTGTTATAAACTTCTATCTTAGCATTGTTTTTGCTATATCTCATAGGTTTTATTATATTTTCCTTTTTATTTGTTTCAAGAAGTCATTTGATTCTCCTTTTAACTTTTTTATTAACCCAGTGGTTGTTCGGGAGTATGTTGCTTAATTTTCATGTATTTATACAGTTTTCAAAGTTTCTCTTGTTACTGATTTCCAGTTTTATTCTTTTGTGGTCTGAGAGATACTCGATTTCAATTTTTAAAAATTTATTGAGACATGTTTTGTGGCCTAACATGTGGTCTATCGTAATGTTCCAGCTCTTTTATGAGTTGTTCTGTAAATGTTTGTTAGGGCCATTTGGTCTAAAGTGCAGTTTAAATCCAATGTTTCTTTGTTGATTTTCTGTCTAGATGATCTGTCTGTTGCTGAGAGTGGTGTGTTGAAGTCCCCAAATATTATATATTGAAGTCTATTTCTCCCTTTAGATTTATAATATTTGCTTTATATATCTAGGTGCTCCAGTGATGAGTGCATTTATATTAGAACTGTTATATCCTTTGGTTGAATTGCTCCCTTTGTCATTATGTTATGACCTTCTTTGTCTCTTTTTACTGTTTTTGTCTTAAAGTTTGTTTTATTTAATGTAAGTATAGCTACTTCTGCTTGCTATTGGCTTCTGTTTGCATAGAATATTTTTTCCATCTTCTGTGTATAGTCTATATGTCTTTACAGGTAAAGTGAGTTTCTTGTTGGCAACATATTGTTGGATCATGTTGTCATCCATTCTAGCAGTCCATGTCTTTTAAGCAGAATACTTAATCCATTTACATTCAAAGTTATTATTGATATGTGAGGACTTACTCCTGCCATTTTGTTTATTGCTTTCTGATCATTTATATTGTCTTCATTCTTTATTATTGCTTATCTTTATGGTTTGATGGCTTTCTGTAGTGATAACATTTGAATCATGCTGCTATAAAGACACATGCACACGTATATTTATTGCGGCATTATTCACAATAGCAAAGACTTGGAACCAACCCAAATGTCCAACAATGATAGACTGGATTAAGAAAATGTGGCATATATACACCATGGAATACTATGCAGCCATAAAAAATGATGAGTTCATGTCCTTTGTAGAGACATGGATGAAATTGGAAATCATTCTCAGTAAACTATCGCAAGAACAAAAAACCAAACACCGCATATTCTCACTCATAGGTGGGAATTGAACAATGAGATCACATGGACACAGGAAGGGGAATATCACACTCTGGGGACTGTGGTGGGGTCGGGGGAGGGGGGAGGGATAGCATTGGGAGATATACCTAATGCTAGATGACGAGTTAGTGGGTGCAGTGCACCAGCACGGCACATGTATACATATGTAACTAACCTGCACAATGTGCACATGTACCCTAAAACTTAAAGTATAATAAAAACAAACAAACAAAAAAATAGGTTTATAATAAATAAATATTTTTCATTTTAATAAAAAAAAAAACTTTTGAATCCTGTCTCTTCCTCATTTGCGTGTTTTACATTTGCATGTGCTTTTATGATTGTAGATACTGTCTTTTGCTTCCATGTGTAACACTCCCTAAAGCATTTCTCATAGGGCTGGTTTAGTGGTGATGAAATCTCTCAGTTTTTGCTTGTCTTGGAAAGTCTTTATTTCACCTTCATTTGTGGAAGACACTGTTGAGTTACAGTATTGCTGCCTGATTTTTTGTTTCCTTTCAGCTCTTTGAATATATTATGCCATTTTTTTTCTGGCCTATAAGATTTCTGCTGAGAAGTCTGCTGCTAGTCTGGCGGGTTCCCTTATATGTGACTAGACACATTTCTTTTGTTATAGAATTCCCTCTTTGTCTTTAACTTTTGATAGTTTGACTATAATATGCAAGGGAGAAGATATTTTGTACTTTTATATATTTAAGGATCTCTGAGTTTCCTTTATCTGTATGTCTAAATCCTTTGCTAGACTTAGGAAGTTTCCAGGTATTATTTTGTTAAATCAGTTTTTTATGTCATAAAATTTATCTTCATCTTCTGGAACATTTAAAATTTGAATTTTAGATCACTTTTTGCTGTCCCATAAATCATGAAGGCTTTCTTTTTATTTTTTATGCTTTTTTGTCTTTTTGTCTGAATGTTTTATTTTGAAAGACCTGTCTTCATGTTCTGAAAAACTTTCTGCTGCTTTATCTAGTCTATTGTTGAAGCTTTGAATTGTAATTTGTATTTTATTTAATACATTCTTCAGTTCCAGGATTTCTGTTTGGTTCTTTTTTATGATATCTTTCTCTTTTATATCCTGAATTGTTCTGATTTTTTTGTATTGTTACCTGTTTTCTCTTGCATCTGACTGCACTTCTTTAATATTATTACTTTGAATTATTTTTCAGGCATTTGATAAATTTTGTCTTCATTGGAGTCTGTTGTTGAAGAATTATTGTGTTCATTTGAAGGTGTCACATTTCCTTGCTTTTTCCTGTTTCTTGTGTCTTTCATTGATATTAGCACCTTGGATGTAACACTCACTTCTAATTTTGTGAATTGGTTTTTGTAGAGAAAGACTTTTTTCCTGTAGATGTATTTAAATGTTGGTCGTGTAGGGGAGCTTTGCTTTGATTCCAGTTGCACACAGTAGTATACTCTCTGTATGATTACTTTGGCTGTAAACAGTGTCAGTGATGTCTGTGATTTCCTCAGTGGCTTTAGCTGCACTTGTTAGTGGAGGCTATGGTGAGCTTTTGCTGGGAATAGACTGCCGAGGCTAGTTCTTATGCCTCAGTGATGGCAACAGCAGTCTGAGTGTCTTTATATTTGGAGCCCCGGGTGGTATATGTTGGCATTGGTGTTAGGTGGTTTAGATGGGCAGTTTCTTGGGCCTTTAGGCAGATTTCTTGGCTGTCAGTAGTGGCAGTGGGGGGATGAGTGGGTGTGTGAGTCCTTTCGTCCCTTGGATGTGTGAGTTCTTGGGTCTCTGAGCAGCATGCATGGTGTGAGTGATGGTAGTTGTGGTGATAGTGTTACGGGATCTTTGGGTGTCACTTCTCTGGCTAAAAACCTCTGTGTCCCATGGTGCCTTTGCCTGACTCTTGTTTGGGCCTGCTGGGCTTGTTCTGCCCACTCAACCTGGCAGGCTGTGCTCAGCTCACCCTACCAGCCTGGAACTCATGCCTCCAAGGGAAACTGTGAGTCAAACATTGAGCAGCCAGGGGTGTGTGAGTGAGCCTAGGGTCCAGCCACTGTGCAGTCAGACATGCTGGCTGCTGCTGCAGGGCAGGCAGCTCCAGGTGCCTGCATGGGTGCCAGCTTTCTGGGAGGCTGTGGCTGTACCAGGCATACTGCAAGCAGCTTCTCCAGCTGGCACCAGTGAATGAGGTGGCACCCAGAAGCCTGGAGACACCGGGAACTGCAGGGCCCCAAAGAGGGAGTCATAGCCCTGGCTCAGGGAGCTCCCAGGTCTGGGCACCCCAAAGGGCCACAGCTCTTCTCTCCTTCTTGTCACCTGCAATGTGGCGAGCAAGGGACATGTCTCAGCCCTGTGTGTGTGTTACAGCTCTTTTAGCTTCACCATTCAGCGGGTCCCGAGTAATTGTTCTGCAACCAGGAAGAATGAGCTATGCAGATATGTGAAGGGTGAGCAAGACAAAGAGGAGCTTTATTGAGTGATAGAACAGCTCAGAGGAGACCCGCAGGGGCAGCTCCTTTCTAGAACTAGGGTGTCCCATGAGTGTTCAGCTACTAGCAGAGAGGGTAGCTCCTCTCTGCATCTGATCATCCCAATGAGGGTTCAGCTCTTAGCAGAGAGAGTAGCTCCTCTCTGCAGCTGGCTATCCTGTCATCTGTTTAGCTCTGGCTGAGCCCAAGGCTTTTATAGACCTAAGAAGGGAGAAAGTGCACACTGACTGGTCCTTGGGCCACCAGGAGCGGGTCAGGAAAAGGTACCACAAGTTCCCACTCCGGTTCCCATCCCAGGTTTCTTGGGACTAGCAGCGCAAACCTGAAGGTGGGGCCTTACTGGGGACCCACCTGTTTCCGCCCAGGAGCCTATCTGCCTCATGCCACCATCCATGATGTCCAGGCTGCTCATGCCAAGGGGCACCTGCAGGCCAGTGCCAAGCTGCCCTCAGCCCTCCTTCAGATTCCCCCTGTATGCTTGTCAGTGCCCAAAGTCTAGAGGGGGCCAAGGTGGCAGGGGGCTGTTATGTTAGCACTGCCCTGAATGTGCACACACCTGGCTGGGCAGTGACAGTGACCAGGCTTGGCCCCATTCCTACTTCAGGATTGGAGCAGGCTCTGTGAGCAGGGAGAGGCCAGGCCATGAGAGTCGACACTCCCAAGCCTGTGGGGGCAAAGGGCCCTTCCTGGGCCCCCGAGAGTGCAGAGTGCAGAGATGCCTGAGTCCTGCACCTGGGAGGCTGGAGCTCCTGCCTGCTCCATGGAGCATGCAGGCAGCCCCGGCCATGCCTGCTCACAGCATGGGGCAGGGGCTCCAGGTTCTCACTGGGCACCTTTCTGCCTGCCCCTCTGCCCAACCGCACTGCTCCCCCACTGGTGGGTGGCTCGTCCTGACCCCACTGTGGCAGCCCCCAGGGTGGTGGGCTCCAGGGGCTCCCACTTGTCCCTAGCTCCTGCCGGCTCCATGGAGCATGGCACCACCCTGGGCCCAGCTCCGACTCCTCCATATATGTTCCATGCACTTGTCCCTGCTCCTGCTGCCACTGCTCGTACCTCCCCACTGCAGCTGGTGCAGTGGCAGTGGCCACTACAGACAGCCTGCTGCTGCCATCAGTGGGACAATTCTCAGGCTTTCAGTTGGCTCTTGCTGTTGTTAACAGTGGGCACAATGGGCTGAATGGGCCTGTCCCCAAGCCCCAAAGTGATGTGTACAGGTGAGTGTAGGTGGTGGTGGTGGTGGCAGGCAGGACAACTCCGTGCTCAGGTCCCCAGAAGGAATGTCCAGATGCCAGAGGTGGTTGATGAGGTGGAGTGATTATGAAGATGCTGAATGGCATGCTTGTGTGCTGACAGCAGGTTTTCTAAACCTGTTGTTAGGCTCTCTGTTGATATGCATGCATGCCTGGGGTTAATGATAGGGTGGGGTGATCCCCTGCTTCCAGGTGTCGTGCTTGGGCACTAGCACGGGTGGTGCTAAATGGAGAAGGCCTGGTATCAGGTTCTTCCAAAGGTGTGCATGGACATAGGCTGTGATGGTTGTGGTGAGGCAAGCTCCAGGCATCCAGAAGATATGCTATATCAATGGCCAACCAGTAGGTGCTCTGGGGCTGTTATTAGCTCCTTAGGTGTGTGTGCCTCTGGCAACTGATGAAGCAGGACAATTCCTGAATATGTTTGTGCACTGGGACTGGGGGCCAGTGCCAGGCCAGGCAGGCCTGTTCTCAGGCGCCCAGTGCTGTGCATGAGTGCAGACTGTCATAAGCACAGTGGACCAACACCCATGCCCCAGGCAGTGTGTTTGAGTGGTTGTGTGGCAGTGAAGGCAACGCGTGGGGAAACCCTGTTTTCAGCACGTGTGCCAAAACACAGAGGCCCTCCTGCTTGGGAGGACAGAGTTTCTATCTGTGGTAGCCACCCCACGAAGGTGGGTTACAAGCTCTAGGTACCACGTGCTTCGGTCCCAGGCAGCAGCAGTGGTGAGGGCACTTGCAAGTGTGCGGCAGCCTTGCTGCTAGGGTGGGGAAATTCTGGGAGGTTGCTGTCAGGGATAGCAGCCCCAGGCAGGGGGGTTTCAGGCTCTTCGGAGCATGCACTTGGGCTCCCTTTGTCCTGGGGGCAGCATCCCTGGTACACTGTACCTCCCTTGGCCCTGCTTGTAAGGTTCTGTGTGGGCTGAAGTGTTGAGGACCATTGCTGCTCTGCTGGATTTAACTGATGTCTCGCTGCTGCAGTCCCCAGGATATGAGGGCTCTTAGTGAGCCTCCAGAAATGTGGAGATGCAGGGGCTGTTTGGTCCCAGGGTAGGATGTAGTCTGCTGGGGGCTGGGCTTTCAAATTGGTGCCGTGCTGCAGTTGCCTGTTGCTCAGTGGGTGTGTGGGACCCAGCATGAGTTCCCACTCTGAAGCCAGTGCTCTTATGCAGATTCCAGGCAGCTCCCTATGCCAGTCCCAGGGCCTGTGGGAGTTGAGGAACTCTTCCATGACTAGAATTACAGGAGTCTGAGGTGAGAATGTAGGCCACTGGGAATCTCTCACCTTTTCCCTGCACCGAGGAGCTGCTCCAAATCTCTGGCTAATGCTGGCTGGACTATACACCTCTCCTCTCATTCCTTCAGTGCTTCAGGTATTTCCTGTCACTTATCTGCTGAATTTCAGCATTCTCTCTTAGGTGTTCTATTCAAAATGTGGTTAGCTATTGACTATTTTGGTTCTTTGTGGAGTTGAGTGTCCTGTGCCTCTAGTCAGCCATCTGGCACCCCTCTCCCATTTTTGTTATTTCTTTGCAAATTATTAACTCATTATCAAGGTCTCATTACCTTCCTCACTCTTTTGCCTTCTTTTCTTTTTTAGTTCTTTTCAGAGTTGATCCTGTTGAGCTTTATAGTACTGTTTTTCTTGACAGATCAGGGATAATGAAACAAGGTGATTGAAGATATCACCTTCCTCAGAAAGTTTGGTATGACAAATTCAGCTCCCTTATTTGTTTCACCTTTGAGCAACATTGCCCTTTGATCTAAGCAAGCACGGTCTCTGTCCCTGGGGCACAGGCCAAGACCATGGGTTTTAGGGGGCATTTGTCAAAATTTTCTAAGTGCTCTTTTAGTGCCTGGGACTGAGTAGGCCTGGCAGTGCCTTCCAGATGGGACACCCTATGGCTTTATGTGAGCCTTCATTCCTCTTTTCCCTTTTGGGGTACTCTCAGACTTTCAAGTCTGTAACAATAGTGTTGACCAGAAGCCCAAAAATGTGAGAATTTGATCCTGTGGGATCATCCCAGGTTTCTTGGGTCGGCCCTGGTTCTTGAAGGGCAGCCTGGCAAGTAGGCTTCTCCTGCTGGCTCATGAAGTATGTCTTTCATAGGAATGCATAATATTGGGCTACCAAAATGGAGGCAACATTCTGATTTTGGGTGACTAACTCGTGTCAGAGGCAAGGAAAGCTTATGGCTGTAGGCTACCAACATAGCCACTTACCATTCAGCTGGAGCCATTTTTGTGGGCTATGCATTATCCCTCACTCATCCCGGTTCTGACTAGTGCTGTACCTCTGGTTGACAGTTCTCAAGGGTTGAGGCCACATTGAGGATGTCTGGGACCTCTATTGCCTCTGGTTGTGGTAGTATCATCAGACTTTCCTGGGCTGGTCTTAAGCCATGCTGGACAAAGGACAGATGTTGTTTTGAGCAAATAAAACTGTTCTTCTTGCTCTACTCCCAGGCCTCTTGCCTGTCCTTACTGTGGTGGGGTGTGGAAGGCAAGGTTGTGATATAACCAACATTGAAAGTGATCACATTCTAGAAATGATGTGATTATAGTCTAAAAATTTAAATATAAGATACGATTGGAAGATATGTTGTCCTATGTTTATGCTGTAAAATTCAAGACAGTAAATTTACCAGAAAAGCAATGATAACTCACATTTTCCTGCATACTATAAAGACTTTCATTTATAGGCATATCAAAAAAGCACAATAACAACTTTGAAGAAAGTCATTGAAAGCCAGTATTCATGGGAGGAATGAAGGATGATACAGTGCCATGAGAAATAATGTAATTAGTGTTAAATAAATAGTACAGTGAACTGCAGAAGAAACAAGATCTATGTTCATTGATAAATAACCACATCTCATAGGGTCTCAGGAGTCTTATATTTTTAGTAAAGTTGCTTATATAGACAGGGAGCCCCACAAAAAACATATTTTCCTGGGTACCACATGCCATAGGAGTAGACTTGGCTGAGAGAAACAAAAAAGAGGACTTTGGAGTTGATGGATAATTCCTCGGCTTCTGAACCTCACCCTTGAGACTGAAATCAGGTATCTGAGAATTCTGAGGATAAACTGAAGCAGGAAGGACATACTGAAGACAATCTAAGACTGAAGTATTGCCAGGTGAAGAGCAAGAATTGTCACTGAGCAAAGCAACATCTTAAACAGGAAAGTAGTAGCTTACTTCAAGTCTGCTGGTTAAGGTAGGGCTAGAAATGCAATAACTAGTGGTAAAGTTGGTGGTCAGGAAGTTGGAAGCAGGTTGGGGCAAAGTGTAGTGAGCATTTCATTTGCACAGATTAGAACTAAGACAAATAGTAGTGTGACCTGTGGAAACCCTTTTGTGTCAGGTCCGGCCAGGGGCATGGGGCAGAAATGGCACATTAGAGAAACCATGATTAGCTAAACATGAGAATTAAGACTATCTGCTCTTTAAAGGCAGGAATTCGCTTTTATTTATCACTGGAACCACAGAATCTATCTCATTGCCTAAAATCTAGCAAAAGCACAGGAAATGCTTGTGGGATGAATGAATTAAAAAACTCAATAGAAAGAACAGGTTGTTTGATTTTGAGGATTAGAGAAATGCAGAAAACACATCTATCAAAGTTTATTTAAATCTCCATGAGAATGTTCTCTTCCACTTAAATTAGAAAAAAGTGAGTCAACATAGTTAAATTGGAATTTGAAATCATAGGAGGGAAAGATCAGCACAAGGGCAATGTCCTTCTATAGGAAAGTCAGGCTAGGGTTTTGTTTCTCCTGAAGGCACTCATTCTCACAAAAAAGATGGGACTGAATCCAGAGGTTGACTAGAAGGTAATGCTTTCTGTTGCTATTGGTGGGACAACTTTTCTTCTGGTTCAAGACACAAGAGTTAACTACAACTTTCCATTATGGTCTCCTTTATGTTTCTCTTAGAGAGTGAACAGTTCTATTTTCATCAGTAATTTCCCCGGAAATTCCCCGGTTTCTCTGATTCTGTTGATAAGACAGAATCACACAACTCCATCTGGTCCTGCATCTGTGTGTCACCATCTGCCTGTCCCTGCAGTGGGAATAATATTGTTCTCAGCAGAGTTTTCTGTGCTAGCCCTGTAGATGTGGCAATCAAGTCCTCACCTTGGATTCTGCTGCTTGGTGGGTCTGTTGTCACTTTGAGTTGTGTTTAAGTATTTATTACCCATAGGATGAAGGTAGAAAAACTAACTGCTTATCTATTCTGACAACGTGTCCAAAAGTGAGGGCCTACAGAAAACGGAAAGCTAAACAATAGATTGATCTGCATCCTAATTCCTTCCCTCCCTGCCAAGCCTATTCATTTACTGGTGGTAATTACAGGTTGGGATCATATTGGTCATGTCTTTAAAATTGATTTATGTCATCAGCTAGTTAGTAGAAAGATTCTATGCAAAAACTTCTTTAAGAGCACATTTTCCCCAAACCTACTTTATACAGCACATAGGGAATGTACTTATCTTTATAGCTCTTTTGTCATCCACCAACTCTATTTTAGTCAATTTACATCCATTTAATTTATCTCAACACACACACACACAAAAGATTATTTTATAACTTACATTGTAAACTGTAGTATAGTATTTGGCTGTGATTTTACAGAATAGTGGGCGCCCCACCAGGTGGGCACTATTCACTATCTTGTTGTTGTCCTGGTAAGGCTCCTGTGATGTCAATCATTTACTGAACAATGCTTCCCTATGGGAAGCAGTTCATGGCTCACCCAAGGCATGAACAGCTGAAGCTCCAGATCTTCGTCTCTATACCCTTTCATGTCAATGAAAATAGAACAAGCCACTATTAATATTCCACAGGATGGCCCCTCTCTCCACCCATTTCTTTTTTTTTTTTTTTTTTTTTTGAGACGGAGTTTCGCTCTGTCGCCCAGGCCGGACTGCGGACTGCAGTGGCGCAATCTCGGCTCACTGCAAGCTCCGCTTCCCGGGTTCACGCCATTCTCCTGCCTCAGCCTCCCGAGTAGCTGGGACTACAGGCGCCCGCCACCGCGCCCGGCTAATTTTTTGTATTTTTAGTAGAGACGGGGTTTCACCTTGTTAGCCAGGATGGTCTCGATCTCCTGACCTCATGATCCACCCGCCTCGGCCTCCCAAAGTGCTGTCTCCACCCATTTCTTGATGAGAATCCACACTCAGCCTTTTATCTACATATGCTACTTTCCCTGCCTTCTTCATTCAGCAACCTCTCTCCAGGATTTATTCATAATATACAGGTGTGCCTTAGAATTCACAGAACTTCATAAATACTACCAAAAATAACATGCTTGGAAGCAGTAGAGAAGAGCACAGTGCTCACATGAACTAGTTTGGTAGTATAATTCCTGAATACTAAGATTGACACATACAAATTCTGTGGAATAACTGCCAGAGTCCACCCACAATCCTTACTTCACATTTGAAACCTGGCCTCAGTCCTGACATTCTACAAGTGTGTGTGTTGAGAATGAGGGCAATTTGGCTTTCACAAATGAAGCAAACACATATGTAACTATAGTGTTTCATTAATGCTATCATCAAGCACTTAATAAGGAAAAAATTGTTTTACCCGAATTTATAAAATAAATTATGATCTCCAAAGAGTGTGCTGGATGATTTAAAATCAGAATAGGTGTAAATAGTAAAATATTGATTCCATTTAAAAAACATATATTTGTTATTTTTGAATTTTCTACCAGTTAATTCAAAATTTAAAAATACGTGTTATTGAGACTTCTCTTTAATAATTCAGTATAACAAAATGATAAGGTATGATATATTTTTTATCTCACAATTGATTGATTTTATTTTGTATTGCTCTCATTTGTATGGATCAGTATTGATTTTCTTCTTTTCTTACCTCCAGTTTCTTCAGAGTTTATCAGAGTCTGGCTCAATGTGCCTTTCGGTGTCTCCTTGTTATGCACCATTAAGGCCGTCTCTGAGGCTGATTCAGGAGTAAGGAAGGATGTTACTTGTCTGCTTTCAAGAAGGTGCAGTTATGTGTTCATTTTTAGGACATTTAGAATTCATGCTTCAGATTATTGTAGATGGCACATTGCAGAACCTGAAACTGTTCATGTTGTTTTCACTCCCTGCAAAAACAGAGCAATTTAGTTTTTCCTGGTAAGGTGAGGTCTATTCGTCTTCTACAATTTCTGGGAACAGAAAATTTAGAGTGCATTTTTCCCCTAATTTTCTGACTGTTATAAATTGAAAGCAATATAACCTAAAGCAACACATTGAAAATAGATATAAAAAATTGGCAGGCAATATAGTTTAACATTATTGAACACTTTTTAAGAACCAGGAACTAGGATGAGGGCATTCCATGGATTATCTAATTGATTCTTTACAGCAACCTTATTTTCAGATCCTCTTCTTATATTAATTTTACAGATATGCAAATTGAGGCTTAGAGAAGTGATTTTCCCCATGGAAAATGGATATGGTTAGCATGACAGGGACTCAAATGTAGGCTATCCGGCTCCACAAACACACTGTTAATCTCTATGCTATATAGTTGCATTGAACAGTTGCCTAAGACTAATTTCCATAGTAGCTTGTTTAAGCATTTAAACCACAAGAAATCACTTAACCTTGTTAAGTGACTTTAGACAGTTTTAGACCTTGGTAAAATCTCACTTACAGATATATTACTCTTATCATTTCCATTTCCATTTCAACTATTCTCACAAAATATTTATATAAAACTAGGAAAATAGGGACACAATATGTAGCGTGTCTACACACACACACACACACGCATACACTAAATATTGTAAAAAGTGTGAGACAGTGAAAAGTATGAGAAAGTAAAAGGCCATATTTGAGAGTATGAGAAATTTTAGCATGTGAATATATATGAAAGAGATGAAGAGATCAGTATCCTGTTGCATGCCTGTAACTTATGCATGCAACCTAATTGGAAACTTGTTAACCAATCACACTATTCCTGTTTCGATACTCCCTAATACCAGTGTGTATAACTGTAGACTCTCAGACTTCTGTTGGGTATTCCCTTCCCTTCCAGTAACTTTAGGAAACTCCCAAATTGTCTAACACATCCTCAGAGCTGCCTCAAGTTGCTCTTGGCTTTATTGTTGTCCCTTCACCCTGGACTATATTGCTTGATGCCTCCTTTGGTTGATGTACTTCTCTCGCCTCTTGAGGGATGCTTGTTTTTATCCATATTTCAAGGTCTAGGAAATTGGTCCTTTATTTGTTTCACAGAAGAAAGGCTTCTGTTTCACAGAAGAGAGGCTTGGGCACCAAATGGGCCTTGTATATGGCGCATTTGGGAACTCATTCCAGAATTTATCCAAACAGCTTTTTTAGTTATACTTACTGGCTTTTCTTTTTCAAGACACACTCCCCAGAATGGCTGGTTTGGGTCAAGTTCTGTAACAGCCACCAGGCCACACTGTAACTAATAAATCCCTTCAGAAATTCTTAGTCCAACTCACCATGCCTAAGGCCTTTTTCCTCCAAATTGCATTGTCTCCCAGGAACCCTAGAATACATCTTGTTAGAATCTCTTGGTTCTTCCTTCTTCTTTATGCCTAACTATAAGCACAAATGTTTTGAGTTATTTATCAAGAGGATTCTATCCCCTTTGCAAATTAATGGATGCAAATAGGAATGGAATTTGAAGGAGATGAGTCAACTATCTATACATGCTTGTATATGGCCCATCTGGGAACTCATTACACTGTTAAAAGGTATTCTCTATTGAAGAAATCTGCTTATCAGCCAGTAAGGGGAAAAAAAAGAGGTGATTTATTTAACTACTGTATCTTGTTGCAGTATTTGTGCTTTTTAAGATTTTGCACAAATATTGCAACAAGATTCAGTAAAAATAAATTAGTAAAAGTCTTGAAGCAAAGACTTTTTGCTTTGCTTCAGATTTTTTGTGATGGTAAACGTTATTTTGAAGGGTCATTCTGAAGGGAACATGATACTCATGGTGAAGATAGGCTTAAGCCTAAAATTTTTACTGAACAAACTTACTGCAAGTCTACCTCACTATTAATACATGAAAACTTTAGTGTTTTTTTTTTTTTTTTGTAAACAGAATTTAGTGTAAGTTGAGTCTGACTTAAACCTCAACCAAGGGAGTGAAGTTATTGATATCTTGGCAGTCTGCTTTTCACTGCTTGTTCAGGCCCTTCTTATTTCATGGCTGGAGGAGTTTTATCACAATGACATTTTTGCTGATCTAATGTCACTTCCGTCTTCTCAACTTTGTCCTAAAAGAGCTGCTGAGATAGTCGGTTTTTTAAACCAAAGTTACAAAATCAATAGTGCCTGGTAGATTATGCTCAAAAAATGTTTGTTTAATCCAAATTTGAATAAAAGTTTTAATTTGGTGAATCAGAGTTGTGCCTGTCTCATATTTATCCATCTTCATATTCTTATTATTTCTCAGAAAAAGTTCTTCCCTCATTTCAATTAAACCCAATAAATTCAACTCAAGTAACCCAATCAATCCAACTGGTCCAATCCAATGAATTCTTTTTTATTCTACTTCATTCCAATAAGCCTTGCTGAGCACTTTTGCACACTAGGAGCTGCTTCATACATCTTAGTAATTTCCATTTTTAAATCTAGTACTCTTTCAATTTGCCCTGAATGTTGATTTATGTCTATCAACAGAAATTATTTAATTTTACAACCTTGTGCAAAACTGGCTTTGTTTCAAAGGTTACCCAGAACCTTTAGGACTAACTAAATTTACACATGCCAGACTAAATTATTATTAATTTTTCTAATATTTCTTAGTTTCTAAAATATTTTTCTTTTCTACTATCTAATCAAACTTAGTGTAATGATTGCTTTCCCTCCTTAGAGCCCTCAATAAGTCCTGAATAATTGTTGAATAAAAGTGGAAAAAAATTTTGTCCTGCTGGGAGTGCCATTGACTAGGAAAATGAAAAAAAAAGAAAGAATAGTATGATTCTCTTTTATACATACTAGCATTGCTTTCAGTCAATAGAGCCAAAAGTACAGAGCCTGGTACTATAATAAGGAACTAAGAATTAGAATAATTTACAACAGAATTTGAGGGTTTGTTGTGATATTTAGACACTAGAGTTTACTTTGCACAGAATTTGGTGTAAATTGAATCTGACTTGAACCTCAACCAAGAGAGTGAAGTTACTGATATATTGGCAGCCTGCTTTTCACTGCTTGTTCAGGCCCTTCTTATTTCATGGCTAAAGGGCTTTTATCACAATCACATATTTAAAGTGGGCATTGTAATAACCAGCTGGATTTTTAAATTTTTTTAATTTTTAATTTTGTGGATATATTATAATTGTACATATTTATGCAGTACATGTGATATTTTGATACAACCTATTGTCTGTTTAGTTCCAGATATTCATAGTGCTGGAGTAGGGCTGAGAAGCAAATTTGTGATTATAAAGGTCATTTTGAAGGGTCATCCTGAAGGGAACTCTGGTTTTAAAATATTGAATGATAAATGTAACTGAAGAGTTCATTAGATATAAGATTAGAAAGGACAAGGAAAATTTATGTCTGAAGGAAGAAAATAAGAAATGTCAAGCCCATTCATACTTTCAAGTGTTGGCTATATTAAAGTTTGAAATGGTGATGTGATTATGAGAACCAGCTAAAATAAGCTCAAGAAATATTTTATGTGAATTTCTGTACCTTCTTTAAAATATTTTGTTGTTATAGAAAGTTTTAAGCAGTTAATAAAGAAGTCAATAGTTCAGTGAACCCCCATTTTACTCATCGCCTAGATTTAAAAATTACAACTCACAGCCAATTCTTTTTTTTAAGCCTATATTCCCAGCTCTTAATTCTTTCATTTGTTTCTTAAATATTTTAATATGTACTTCTAAAAGGTATGGACTCTTCTTATCATAAATTCAATATAATTGTCAGACAACATTAACAATACTTAATACTATCCACTGTTTATATTACTATCTTATAAATGTTTTGCATTTTGTTCATAGTTTATTATTTGAATCACAATCCAAATAAGGTCTAGACATTGCAAATGATTGCCTTCCTTTCCCCCTTGTAATTCACTTGCTGCAGAAATGGAATAGTTTTCTCTAGAGCTTTCTGCAATCTGGATTATGCTGATTGTCTTTCCATGATGCGTTTTACATATTTATCAGTCCCCTGTAGTGGCTGATTCATCTGAATCATGTTCAGATTATGTGCATGTGTATGTGTATTTAATATATATTTTCTTTTGGCAGGGAGGCAAGACTAGCTTGTAGGAAGTGTTGTGTTCTTTCATCAGAATATGTAATATGTGGTTATCTTTTCTTTTTGTGATATCAACAACTATGGATGATGAACCCCTACTTGCGTAACTCATTGTTAAATGGTGATACTCCAATTCTAAAATTCCTTCTTCATTTATCAGCTACAATATTTCTATTAAGATAAACTTCCTTTCATCTACCTTTGAATTATTCATTGATACTATTTTCATAAGAAGAGAAAGATAAAGAATTAATCTTTTCATTTATTTGCCAATTTCAAAATAATGATTTGGTTTACAAGTATCCCTCCGTGGTGACCAGTTATTTATATTAGCTTAAACTCTTGAGTTTAAACGATGTGTGTCAATTAATTAGTTATTATTCTTATTGATACACAATTAAAAATATGCTTTAAATGTTGCTTTTATCTTTTGGTGTCTCATTGAAGCACTTGGCAGCACCAAATGGGAAAAACGCTGTTAAATAAGAGTTGTGTACAACTTGCAGAATGTAGTTAGCAGAAGAGACAACCTTTTCTTGCCTCCACAAAATTCTGTATTCATTCTTCTTTAGAACTTTGGAAGATGTTTTGTTTGTGTTAAAGGACTAAAACATCCAGGTAAGTAGACATTCTTAAGGAACATCTACAACTTTTGGTAAAATATAAAGGCCAGAGCAATACAAATATTTTTTTTTTTTTTTTTTTAAAAGGACATGAGGATGATTTATTTGGCAGTCAGATCTTAAGAGGGCAGCAGAACTAGCAAATGGCCAACCCTGAGCCCAAATGTTTTTAAGTTATATTTATTTAATGTATGCTTTAATATACACATCAATGAGTTTTAACATTTGGTAGAGTATATAATCACCACCAAAATAAAAAATTATTTCTAAAAGTTTTCCCATTTCCCTTTACAACCAATAACTTGTCTATATTCCCAATCCCTGGCAACCTCTGATCTGATCTTTGTACGTATAGTTTTGTATTTTCCAGAAAGTCATTTATATAAAATATAATAGAAACTTAGAGTATTTTTGTTGCCTTTTGTGTTTTGAGTCTTTTACCTAGCATAATACTTTTGAGATCAATCCAGGATGTTGAACATGTTAGTGGATTTTTTTTTCACTGCCAAATAATATTTCATTGTATGGCCACAGCACACTTTGTTTATCTGGTTGATCGGCATTTAATGGGATTTCAATTTTTGGCAATTATGAACAAAGCTGCTATAAAGATTTGAATGTGAGTCTTTGTGTAGGCATTCATTTTCATTTCTCTTAAGTATATACCTAAGAGGAAAATTAGTAGGTTGTATGATAAGTGTATATTTAACTTGATAGGTAATTATCAAACTGTTTTCCAAAGTGTTTGTACTATTTTGCAATTCCACCAGCAACATATGAGGGCTCTAGTTGCCTTTCTTCTAACCAACATTTGGTATTATCAGTCTTTTCAATTTTAGTGATTTTATTAGGTTTGTAGTGGTATCTATTTGTTGTCTTATTTGAGTTTTAAGAGATTTGTTTCTGTGATTTCTCCTAGAAGTTTTATAGCTTTAGGTTTTACATTTAGATCTGTGATGCATTTTGGTTTTGGTCTTTTTTTTTTTTTTTTTTTTTTTGAGACGGAGTCTTGCGTTTTCACCCAGGCTGGAGTGCAGTGGCACTATCTTGGCTCACTGCAAACTCTGCCTCCCGGTTCACGCCATTCTCCTGCCTCAGCCTCCAGAGTAGCCGGGACTACAGGCGCCTGCCACCATGCCCAGCTAATTTTTTGTATTATTTTTAGTAGAGATGTGGTTTCACCATGTTAGCCAGGATGGTCTCGATTTCCTGACCTCAAGATCCACCCGCCTCGGCCTCCCAAAGTGCTGGGATTACAGGCGTGAGCCACCATGCCTGGCTGGGTTTTGTCTTTTTTTCCTCGCCCTGTCTTATGGTTCTGACATTTTGATTTTTATTATTGTTGTTTGTATGGCTTAAGGTAAGGGTAGAGGTTCACTTAATTTGCATGTTGATGTACAATTGTACCAGAATCATTTGTTAAAATTGAATCTTTTTCCCATTGAATTATGCCAATACCTTGGTGAAAACTTTACTGATCATGTATGTGTGTGTTTCTGGATTCTGATTCTATTCCATTGAGCTATGTGCTTATCTTTATGCCAATATTATACTTTCTTGACTACTGTAGCTTTATAATTTTGAAATCAGGTAAAATTTGAGTCCTCCAACTTATATCTTATTATTAAAAATTATTTTATGTCTTCTTGGTCTTCTGCATGTTCTAATATGTTTTAGAATCAGCCTTTATATTTTTACAAAAAAATCCTGCCGGGATTTTGATTAGAATTGCATTAACTTTCTAGATCAATTTGGGAAGAATTAACTAACACCTTATTGATATTAAATATTCTGATGTTTGAGAACAGTGTTTCTTTGTATTTACTTAGATCTACTCTAAATCCCTCAACAGTGTCTTGTAATTTTAGGAGGACAAGTTTTTCACATTTTTAAAGTTTTATCCCAATATTTCATGTTTTTTCATGCTATTGTAAGTGATATTTTAACAACTTTAGTTTCTAATTATTTGTTTTTAGTATATAATTATATTTGAATACAATTGATTTAATAAATAAATATTGGTATTGTACATTAATTGTGTATCCTTTGACTTTACTAAACTCACTGGTAGCTTGTTTGTTGGATTCTTTGTGGTTTTCTATGTAGATGATTATGCCATCTGTGAATAGAGACAGTTTTCTTTCTTCCTCTTAAGTCTGTATGCCTTTTATTTCTTCTTTCTTTATGGCTTAGTTTAGGACCTCTGGTACAATGGTGAATAGAAGTAGTAAGAGAGGACCTTCTTGCTTTGCTTCCAGTCTTAAGAATGATATTAGTTTTATGTATTTTATAGATACCCTTTATTAAGTAGAGGAAATTCCTTTTAGTTTCTAGTTCACTGAGAATTTTCATCATGAATAGGTGTTAAATTTGGTCAAATGCATTTTCTGCATCAACTGAGATGACCATATACAGAGTTTTATTTTTTTAGTCTATTGTCACAGTGAATTACATTAATTGATTATTAAATTTTGAACCGACCTTGTATTCTTAGGATAAACACTAGTGGATCATGATATTTTATTCATTTTATGTATTGCTAGATTTGATTTGCTAATGTTTTGTTAAAGATTTTTGTACCTACATTCGTCACACATAAACTTGGTCGGTAATTTTTTTGTGCATAAAGTTCTTGTCTGGTTTTGGTATTTGGATAATGCTGGCCTAACAAAATGAAATTGGAATGTAATACATTTTCAAAGGTTGTGTCTACATACAGCTAAATAAAGTAGAGTTCTGCAAGTTTAGTTGGCAATTTTAGACTGCATAATTGTGGCCAAAATTTAAAAATTAAATATTAAGGTTTCTATTTCTTCCATTATAATATTTAATAACATGGTATTATGTTGTACTTGGGAAAACACTCAGCCTGGCCTTTGATCCTCAGTAGATGCTTGGGAAGTATTAGTTACTGGTAACAATATAATAGTAATAATTATAGTGACATAACCATCATATTTTGAACCTATGCTGTACAGAAAATAGTTTTATATAGAGCATCTCAGAGAAGACTGGACATAACACATTTATACCCAATTATGTGGCAATTTACTACAAAATTATTTTGATTTTAATAAAATTTTAGAGATAAGAAATACATTTAGTATAGCTCTTAGAATTCTAACATTGACAAACCTTTTTTTTTTGTTGTTGTTGTTGAGACAGAGTCTTGCTTTGTCACCCACCCAGGCTGGAGTGTAGTGGCATGATCTCGGCTCACTGCAAGCTCAGCCTCCCGGGTTCAAGCAATTCTCCTGCCTCAGCCTCCCAAGCAGCTGAGACTACAGGCATGCACCACCATGCCCAACTAATTTTTTGTATTTTAGTAGAGGTAGAGTTTCAACATGTTGGCCAGGATAGTCTCGAGCTCCTGCACTCAGGCAATCCACCCATCTTGGCTTCCCAAAGTGCTAGGATTACAGGTGTGAGCCACCGCACCCAGCCGACAAACCTTTTAAACATTTCTAAAATGCAACATTTTT
The DNA here is from genome assembly GCF_000001405.40 of Homo sapiens. NCBI lineage: Eukaryota > Metazoa > Chordata > Mammalia > Primates > Hominidae > Homo > Homo sapiens. The sequence continues at coordinate 153,211,481 of NC_000002.12, forward strand.
TTCTATGGCTATCATAATGCTAAGGTAGCAGAAAAGCAACCATGTTTATTTTTATCTTAACATTAATTTTCATGAGACGGGAACAGTAGAAGCTAACAGCATCAAAGTTTGGTAAACTTTCCACTGCACTCTTGCCTGATGGATCCTAGTGATGCTTAAATGTGGGTGTCTAAGAATCAGCAGTATCAACATCACCTAGATGTTAGTGATGCAAATTTATGCCTGGAAAGAGGAGAAATCTGTGTTTTGACAAGCTGGTAATACTGGTGTTCACTAAAGCTTGGGAAGCACTAGCTGAGTATATAGTCATCAGGGTATGAGGTGATTGGAAACACTAAGAGTCCAACATGAACATTTAGAAGAGAGCTGGTTCTCTCTTCTGAGTTAAACACCTTGTGTTGTTAGATGCAGTCTGAACTGCAGAGAAAGACACAGTTACTTGTAGCAGGTAGCATGCTCAAAAACATGATTCCCCTTTTTTAAAAATTTTCCTCACTTATGCCATCTGCATAAAGTGATGCTTAGAAAAAAAAGCAGAATTTACAGAAGCATAGAGAAATTTGCTTCAAAATGAGATTCAGAACTCAAGGTGCTGTGTTTACAGTGTACTTTTCCTAAGACCAGCACATCCTACTGTCAAATCCCTCCCAAATATTTGAAAACTTGCCAATATTTAATAGGCTTGTTTTTTTTTCTAGGTACATATCCTTTGCTGTTTCTCTTCAAATTATAAGTCCAGTAGAATTTACAAATAAGCTAATAGTTCAAAATCTAATCTAGAAAGGAGAAGATGAACAATAGTAAAATCCTCTAATGCCAGCTTCGTGATTTTATTTCTCCTCCGTCACAGCTTGGTTGACTTTACCAGTGTTGTCTAATTCTTTAATTATTCTACATTGTGTTCTAAAGAACAGTGTGTTCTTCCTATTGTGCACATTGCATCATTATACTTATCAATTAAGTCAAAGGAGCTTGAAGATCACAGCCTTCTAATTTAGAAAGATATTCTGAGAGAAAAAGAAATAGAGGATGATTCATTCTTGTGGGTATTTGCAGTTTAAATTACCTAAAAAGAATGACAGGCTACTTGTGACTTACCTGATCCTAGGACTTTTACTAGGCAAATAATAGATTTGAAAGGATGCTAGAAAATGCTATTTTTAAGTGAAAAATTGTATGCTGTCTTTTCATAATTAAACAAAATAGAATCTGAAATCCAATCTCCTTGGCTTTCTATGGTGGGAATCAAGGATTCTTTTTATTATTAATCTGATAACCAAAATTAGTTTACACAGCAGTCTGGCTGCTCAGAATAGAAAATGGATTTTATTCATTTATTTATTTAGATAGAAATTACTCTTTGGCATTGTAAAAGAGATAAGGCATTTGTGGGACTACTCAGTGGGTTATTTCAAGTTATGTTGCTGTGTATTAGAAACTAGATTTTTCTGTCTGAACAAATTATTCATTAGTGAAATGTTATTCATAGCAAAGAGTCTTACACATCCAGGGGTCACTAAATTGCAAAGTATTTGAACACTGCCTAATGAAATGTACTCTAAAAAGTCAACAGGTGTGTATCGAGTACCTACTATGGTCAAGAACTGTGAAGGTCTTTGATTTTGCCCTATTTGCAAGCTAACAAGTTAGTCTGCCACATAAGAACCCTGGAACTTTATTACTCAGCACTGCAGGGAGCATGGGCTTTATGTTTGCATTGGTTCAGTTTCCTTCCACCCCATCATCTCCCATCAAGTCCCATGGGGGTTGTGGAATGACCCAGGTGGATGATGCACACACAATGGGTTTGTGTCATAGCTGAAGATCACTGAACTTAGGAATCTGTCAATCTCATGAAGAGCCTGCTTGCTAAACCTGTCCAACCTTTGCTCTGTGGGGAGACTTGATCTTTATTCTGATCAGAAAACAAATTGCCCTCTGCCTCGGAAGGGGAGACACTATACCTTCCAAGGTTGTTTGCTGTACAAACATCATTGGGAAGACAGTGGAAGGATGTACAGAAATACCATGAAGAATTGTCTGTCAGTGTTATGTACTTATTACACCAGATGCTGTAAGGGATAAGAAAAGGGGAAAGATACAAATACTGTGCCTTGGTCTTGATGGGAGGAAACCTAATATATTGGAAAGAGCTTCTTTGGGAAATCACACAAATGGACGCTCCAGTCCCAGCTCTGTTATTAACAGCCATCTGATTTCAGTCAGTTTTTTTTAGTTCTCTGAGCCTCCATTCCTTCATCTCTAAAATGGACACTATATCTATCTTCATGGATTTTTCTGAGGATGACAGGAAGTAAATATATGACAAATTGTAGGGCATTCACTGGCTGATATAATGAAAGTATTAAGAAGCTAATGAGAACTGGTATTCATTAGGAGCATTAGTGCTTACAAATAAGGAAAAAGAGAAGAATATACAACCCTGTGCTGAACATAACTCAGCTTGTCTTTCAAGGGAGGGAACCAGAGCCATTCTTATGCAACCCCGATGTTAGACAAAAGGAATGTACCTGTTTTCTAGTAAGAGAAGGCCACTATATCTTATTAGGTATGCTAAAAAATTTGTTGTTAACTTTATTTTTTCTGTATTATTCAGCAAAAGTTGAAGGTATAAAAGGTTTTAAAATATTTTAAAATAATGGTTTATCTACTTCAAGAATTTTGCAAAATGTTGGAGAGGGCCCTGGGTAATGAAATGCCCCACAGCGTACAATACCCTTGAATTTCCTCAGCAATGGTAGACTCAAAGGAAAAACTATATATTGATAGAGATAAGCCAATGAAACATTTGCCTTGTTAGGACAGCTGACCATAGCTGATGAATAGCAATACAATATATAGTCCTTCTGTATAGAAGCACTTTATGATGACTCAATAACAACTTGAAATAGAAAAAGGAGAGTTTGCCAGGAGGTAATAAGAAGCTAGATATCCCATCATCATAATTCTTTTTGCATAACTGTACCCACTCTCTATAAAATCAAGTGCTGTGAAAAACAGATTGCATGCCATTGATACATGGAAGCATGTTGTCACAAGCAATTACAGCATGCTACATTAAACAACCATGTGCTGTGTTATGTCTTAGGCCACACGCTGCAATGTTCTCTTTTAATAGTTATAATGAAGTTGGTTTCATTTTTCAAGTAACTGGGACTTAAACATTTACTGAAGACTTTAAATAGCAAGGCCAACATTTTAATACTTAGACTAACACAGTTTGATAATTTAAGAATAGGACTTAGAAGTCGACTGTGAAAAACATTTAATAAAAAAATAAGTAATCTGCATACTTTATTAGAAAAATAAGTCACTAGGAAAACTGAGAGTAAAATGTCTAGTTTACAGGGATGTTCTATTGGAGAAATCTTGATTTATAAATATCTTTGAAAATCACCTAAAAACTCTTGGGTATCCAAACAGTATCCACCAACAAAACTAAGCTAAGATGATCTTTTGTGGTAGTGTTTACACATTAGAATGAGTTTGAATCCCCTTGAATCTTTCTTAGACCAGCTTTATTATGACGATACTCACCATCACTACTTCCTCTGGAATGTCTTAATGCCAGGTCTTGGTATGGGTTCTTCATATCTTAACTATTTAAAGTTTATTTATTTGCATTTTAGATAATTAATTGATTCATATAATTTGTACCAGACATTTTCAGAAATACATAGTAAAAAGTCCCCCTCCAGCTTCTTGCTCTTTCCCACTAAATTCTCATTGTTCTCAACCCCTAAAGAAGTAGTCACTGTAATTAGTTTCCTGTCATCCGCCAGAGATTTTTTAATATGCAATTAAATGTAAGAAGCTGTCTATTTCCACACAGCCTCACAATACAGTGCATTATCCAACATAAAACAATTTACACATTAGCATTTTTATTGCCATTTTATAGATAAAACTGGGGTACTGTGAAGTTTTATAACTTGCTCAACACCATCTAACATAAAATCGAAGGTGAGAGGATTTAAAATGAGATCTATTTGTCTAACTGCAAAATCCATATTGCTCCCTTATAAAATGTGAACAACTTACTTGATCGTGGATGAAACTGAGAGGGCCAAGTGGCCTTTCCAAGGACACAAAAGAAGGGGATGCGGGTTCAGAATTAAGAATGAATCTTCTGATGCTTTCTCTAGTATTCTGTCCATTATATCATGCAGTTTCTTTGGATATTTAATTTTCTGTTGGTGTGAATTTCTATGTGTCTTGCCTTTCCATTAGAAGGAAATTCAAACTTAATCTTTCTAGCATTTTTTTTTTCATTCTCTGGGCCTTTAAAAGGTACTTTAACTAGTTCACTATCAGTATATTTTAAAATTTATTTTTAAATTTATGTAACAGTAAAATCCACACTTTGTAGTATACAGTTGTATAGATTTTGACAAATGCTTAGGGTCCTGTATTTACACAACAGTCATAATATGGAAGAGTTCCATCAACTCCCCATATTTTTCAGACTGCCCCCTTGATGTTAGCACTCATTTCCACTCCAACCCATGGTAACTGCAAATCTGTTTCTATCCATCTAGTTCTGTCTTTTCCAGAATGTTAAAGAAGTGGAATGATACAATATGTACTTTGGTTGGACCTCTTTCAATGAACAAAGTCCATTGAGATTCACCAATATTGTTGTGTGAATCAATATTTCATTACTTTTGTATCAATGAGTAATATTGTATTGTAGCAACATTCCAGTTTGTTTATCCATTTTCCAGTTGTTTCAGGTTTTAATGATTATGAGTAAAAGCTGCTATAAACATTTCTATACAGGTTTTTGTGAGAACATAAGTTTTTGTTTCTCATGAGTAAATACCTATGAGTAGGATTGCTGGGTCATAAGTAGTATATGGTTATTGTATAACAAGCCACCAAACAGTCTCCCAAAGTGGCTATACTATTTTATATTCCTAATCAGCCAGTATTTGTGACTTCTAGTTGCTCTGCATCCTCATCAGCATGTGGTGGTGTCTTTTGTAAACATTTTTTTAACCATTCCAATAGGTGTACAGTAGTATCTCATTGTGCCTGTAATTTGCATTTCCCTAATGACTAATGATGTTGGACATATTTTCATGAGCTTGTCACCTGCATGTCCTCTTCAGTGAAATGTCCAAATAATTGCATCATTTTAATATTGGATTTTTGTTTTCCTATTGTGTTTGAGAGTTCTTTACATATTCTAGATAAAAATCTCTTGTAAGGTTTTTGATTTGTAAATATTTTTCCAAGTCTCTGGCTTATTTTTAAAAAATTCTCCTAGTATGTCTTTCATGGAAAAAAGGTTTTAATTTTAAATGTTCAATTTATCAATTTTTTTCTTTTGTTGGTCATGTTTTGGTGTAATATCTAAGAAAATTTTGCCTGATCCAAGATCACAATTATTTTTTCCTTAAATTTTCTTATAGAAATCTTATAGTTTTAGGTTTTACATTTAGTTCTATGATCCATTTGAGTTAATTTTTATATATGGAGTGAAGTAGAGGTTGCATATTTTTTCCTCTCTTTTTTGTGCATATGAATAGCCAATTGTTTCAGCAACATTTGTTGAAGAGACTATCTTTTTCCATTGAATTATCTTTGTACCTTGTACCAAAGTTCATTGTTTTTATATACATGTGTATATTTCTGGAGTCTCTTTTGTTTCATTGATCTGTTTGTCTATTTTTATTTGTTGTATTAAGTAGTCTATCTTTGTAACAAAACCTGGTATCAGACATTGTTTCCTCTCCAACATTCTTCATCTTTTTCCAAGTGTTTTGACTACTTCTGGGTTTTGAATTTACATATGCATTTATCATAAACTTGCCATGACTCTTTTTGATATTCCCTGACCTTCTTGAATATATGGTTTGTTGTGTGTCATTAATTTTGAAAACTTCTAGTCTATTATTGTTTTCCAAGGATTCTACCTTGTTCTCATTCTTACTTCTTCTGTGATTTCATTATGTGCATGTTAGATGGTTTGATAGTGTCCCAAAGCTCCTGGATGCTGTTTTATTTTATTTATTTTTACTTTCTTTGTGGTTTATTCCATGTCATTTCTATTGACCTATCTTTAAGGTCACTACTGTTTTCCTCAGTTTTTTCAAGTCTAGAAATGAGCTCATCATAGGCATTCTTCATTCCTCTTACTGTGATTTTTATTTCTAGCATTTCCGTTAATTATTTCTTATGATCTTCAGCTCTGAAGTTATCCTTCTTACCCTACATGTTTCCCCCTGTTTCTCTTAAATCTTTAGTTATTTTAACTTTAAATTTAGCTAGATATATTTCCAATATCTGTGTTATACCTAAGTCTGATCCTGTTTAATACCTTTTCACATTGTGTATATTTCTTGATTTTTCATATGCCTCATTATTTTTATTTTTAAAGCTTCATTTTCATTTTTATTATATATGGCAAGAGACACTAAGGTGAATAGTTTTATGCCTGCAGATGGACATGTCTTTCCTTCTGCTAAGTCTTTAGTGTGGGGATTTGAGCCAATCTAGTCTGGAGTTGAGCTGGTTTTGGATTTGTTATTGATGGATACCTTGATAGAATCATAGGCTTCAAATTCCTCTTGGTATATTTTGTGTTTAGGATGGGAGCCAGGTTTTCTCAATATCTGTTCCATCCTCAGCCTTGAGTCTTCCCTATCAGCTTTGTCTTAGATAACTTCTTCTCTGCTGTCTTGTCTCTCTTCTATTCCTCTTCCAGAAATATTCTACTGTTGCTTCTTATTCATTACTTGTCTTCCTGTTGGTGTGAATGTGGGAGAAATTCTCTGTTGTTCTGATGAAGCTTTAGTTTAAGCAGACAATATTACCCTGGCTCTCAGGATTATAACTTAATCCTTAGTGTTTCTGATCCTTTTCTGGTTATTTTTAGCCCAGCATGTATTTCTGCCCTTCCTCTTAGTCGTTAAGAGGTTTTTCCTATTTTTTTCTCCAGACAGAATTAGTTTTTACCAGTGCCCTAAGAGCCACAGTATTTGTCCTTCCTTCCCATCCCAAGGCTATGGTTCCTTCTGGGTGATAGGGAAGAAGGATATCTGTGCTCTTCCCACAGTGGCTCATGTACCCCTCTTCCAGGCCTGAACTATGGGGAATGTTCTCTTTGAACTCACCTAGGTGTTTTGTTGTCTTTGTTGTTGTTTTTCGATTTGGAGCACTTGGTGAGGTCCATGAAGAAGAGCTTATAAGTAGTTGTAAACTTTTTGTTTTTCTCCTTCCCCAGGGGATCCACACTTTTCTCTAGCCCACATTGACTTTTATCAATTTGTTAACAATTAAAGCTGAATTCACTTAGTCTTCCTCCGGCAGCATCTGCCCTTGGTAAGAAAGTGGTCATGTTTTGTCTTTTTCTCCTTAGATTTTGGACTAGTTGGTTGACTTGTGACCCTAGTTCTCTGATTGGTTCAAAAAAGTATAAAATTTGAAGTTTCTCTGGCTTTTGTTGCTGTTTTAAGAAGGTAGTGACATGTTTCACAACTAACTACATTACAAGTAAAAACCATAAGTATGTCTCAATTTCAATGTATATATATATGAAACAGAATAGTTGCACTTTCAATCAGACTTCATCTAAATGTTCCTCTTGGGGATGGCCACCCAGTAAGATAATTAATAGACTGTATGCCTCAAAGCATCCAATTCATCAGGGAATTTATTCCTTACCAATTTAGTCATGTTCTCTGAATTTTCTTCAGAAAACTAGCAGAAAGCTAGAGGGCCTAAGATGGTAGAATTGTAAGCACAAATGAAAACTTAGAGTTTTGAATAAGATGTTTTTGGTGAAACAATGTAACCTCCCTGTGAGTCAAATGTTCTCTGGTTCATGGACAGAAAATAGGAAACTTCCATTTGAAGTCTAGACTATTTTTCTCACTTCATGGCAGATCTATAAAGCATTTCTTGATGTATCAAGGGTTTTATGATCACCAATACAGAGAAAACAACTCATGACTTAATCCATTATTTCCCAGAAGAGCAGCTGTCTCAAGGATTTTAGAATTGCCTCTTCTGCACTGCAGGTGATTTAAGTGCTGAGCTAAATAAGTACCAATTTTCCAATTTTATACCACTTCAGACTGTGTTGATATTTGGCATCTGAAGACCAAGTTATCCACTCATTTTTATAGTGTACAATTTAGTATCTACTATAGGTAAGATGCAGTTTAGAACTGGTAAAAATTTATGAGGACAACTAGTTATCACACATGATCATTTTTCATCTGAACCTTTTTAGCTGATGTAGAAAGCTCCAGATAACAAATTGGTTTTAAGACATATCAGTGTGGGAAATTTCATCCTTTTCTGCTTCAGAGTGCTCAAAGCTGAGTTATTGCTGAATCTGGGAGAAAAATGTAGAATGTCGTATCTTCTTTACATAAGAGTAAAAATATTTAGTGCAATTGTTAAGGTGCTGCTCTAAAATGTACATGCCTTGAGCCTGGTCTCTGTTCTAACACTAGTTTTATGTAAAAACTTGGGAAAGTCACTTACTCCCCTTCATCCTCGCTTTTCTTGACTCTGAGATAAAAGTAATAATATTGGCTCTTTCAGCTTTTGATGATCAAACTATCAAGTTAGGTCCTAGGCTACATATTAACAAAGCTTTAAGCCAGTGTTAGCCAGGTAGTGGGCACTAAACAAAGATTGGCTATGTCACAGTAGGTGGCTAGTAAGGTATGAGTGGGGCAGGAGAGGGCTCTCTCCACCCACCAGGAATGTCAGGTGACCATCAGGTGATGGTCAGGCAGTTGTCACATTGTGTGACACTCTAAAATAATAATTGGTCACAGCCAAGGCCAGGGAGAGGCAGTTTCCCAACAGATAAATACACCTAGAACTGGTAATCGGCAGCTTTCAGGAATTGGGCAAGTGGGCTGGAGCATGTGCATTAAGAGGCAAAATGGTGAAGTATGACCTTCTGGGGCCATTCCATTGGAAAGGGGAAGAAAGCCTCAGGTGAGCTTGTATACAACTTCAGTAAACACACTGCGCATGCTCACCTCTGGTGCTGGCAGGCACTGTGCATGTGGGTGGCTTACCCTAAGGGAAGAATAAAAGGAAAGGGGTGCAAGATGCTGGAAGCAGGCCAGCATATATAATCCTAGGTTCAAGGTCAGACGGGGCACTTGACCTGCAAGACACCAACTTGGGCCTCTTCCAAGTGTACTTTCCTTTCTTTCATTCCTGCTCTAAAGCTTTTTCATAAACTCCCACTCCTGCACATAGGCTAAGAGAAGAGATTAAATAGAATTATATAAACTGTTCAATTAAACAGAGACAGCAGAAAAGAGAAAAAATAATAAATAGAAAACAATATCAAACATAGTAGATATTAATCCAGCTATATCAATGATCATTTTAAATGGGAGTGGTCTAAATATACCAATTAAAAGACACTGTCCTCACTTATAAGTAGGAGCTAAACGATAAGAATACATGGACACATAGAGGGAAACATCACAAACTGGAGCCTGTTGGAAGGTGGAGATCAAGAGGAAGGAGAGGAGCAGGAAATGTAACTAATAAGTCCTCTGCTTAATACCTGGGTGATGAAATAATCTGTACAACCAACTCCCATGACACACATTTACCTATGTAACAAACCTGCACATCCTGCACACGTACCCCTGAACTTAAAAGCTGAAACAGAAAAGACATTGTCAGTATGGCTTAAAAAACACCCAAATCTGCTTGAACCCGGGAGGCGGAGGTTGCTGTGAGCCGAGATTGCGCCACTGCACTCCAGTCTGGGCGACAGGGAGAGACTCTGTCTCAAAATACATACATGCATACGTACACACCCAAATCGATGTTGTCAGTATGGTTTAAAGAAACACCCAAATCTATGTCGTCTAAACCACTTTAAACACTCAGGTTAAAAGTAAAGTGATGGAAAAAAATACATCATGATAGCACTAATCAAAAGAGAGTTGGTCTGCTTAATTCTAGACAAAACAGCCTTCAGGACAATAAAGATTATCATGGATACAGAGGGTGATTATGTCACAGGATTCTTCAAGTGTTGCTTTTCCAGCTGGAAACCTCTGTGGCTGTGGGTGCCTTTGCCGGAGTTTTGCTCGGGCCTGCTTGGCTCATTCTGCCCACTCAGCCAGGCAGGCTGCCCTTGGTTCTCACTACTGGCCTGGATCCCCCGCCTGCCAAGGGTGAGCCAGGCGCAGAGCAGTGAAGGATGTGTGGGGCCAGCGAGAATGGAGTCCAGCCACTGCGCACAGCCAGGCACACCAGCTACTGTGACAGGGCGGGCAGCTCCAGGCACTGGCTCCGTGCAAGCCTGCGGCTGGATCAGATGCACCACAAGCGGCTTCTGCTGTGGGCACCTGCATCTGGATGAAGGGAATGCAGTGGCACCCTGAAGCTTTGAGACACCAGAAACCGCAAAGCCCCAAAGAAGTTGTCACAGCCCTGTCTTGGGGAGCCCCTAGGTCTGGGCTCCCTGAAGAGCCACAGCTCTTCTCTCCTTATTCCCCCAAGGTGGTGAGCAGGGGATGGGGAGGCGTGTTTCAGCCCTGTTTGTGTTACAGCTCTTTCAGTCCAGCCATTCAGCAAGTCCCAAGTTCTTGTCCCACACCCAGGAAAAATGAGGTATGCGGACAACTGGAGGGTGAGCCAGGCAGAGAGGAGTTTTGAGTGACAGAACAGCTCTCAGGAGGCCTGAAGTGGGTAGCTCCTTTCCTCAGGCAGGTCATCCTGAGGAGTGTCCAGCTCTTAGTGGAGAGGAGACCCACAGTGTGTAGCTCATTTCCGCAGGCAGGTTTTCCCGACTTCTGTATGAGTCTGGCTGGGGGGGGGGGGGGGGGGGTGGGGTGGGGGGGGGGGTTGGGCTTATAGGCTTAGAAGGGAGGAAGTACTTGCTGATTGGTCCATGGGTGGCCATGGCCGGGCCTGGAGAAAGCACCTTAAGTTCTCACTCCCGGCAGCCTCAGATTCCACCAGGAGCTGACAGCCCAGCCCCCAGGCTTCAGGCCATCCCTGGCTTGAAGATGGGACTTCACTGAGGACCCACCCCTTTCTGCCCAGCAGGCTGTCTGCCTCTTGCCACCATCAACATGTCATCCATGGTCCACTGCGCCCAGGCTGTTCCTGCCGAGGGACACCTGCAGGCTCACACTGAGCTGCCCTCAGGTCACTGGCCTCCCTCCCGAGATTGTCAGCACCCAAAATCCAGAGGGGGCTGAGGTGGCAGGCGGCTGGTGTGTCAGCGCTGCCCGGAACTTGCGCATACCCGGGCTGTGACAGTGTCCCGGCTCAGCCACAACTTTGCTCTGCCTGAAGTGGGTGCTGGGAGTGGAGAGAGGCCAGGGAGCAGAAGCAGGCACTTCCAAGCCCATAGGGGTTTGGGGGTTTCCTGGGCCACTGAGAGCGCAGGGATGCCTGGGTCCAGAGAGGCGGCTGGGAAACTGCAGCTGCGCGCGGAAGTGAGAGGCTCCTCCTGCCCCCTGACTCGGTGAGGGGGGTGTGACTTCCGCCTGTTCCCGGCCTGCTGGCTCAGTGGAGTGCGCCAGCTGCGCCTTCCCTGCTGCAGCTCTGGCCTCTCCAGATGGGCCGCCGCTGCCGTCATTTAAATGATGATAACGAGAAAAATTATTCAAGAAGATAAAACAATCTTAAATATGTGTGCATCTAACAACAGAGCATCAAAAGGACAGGAGGCAGAAACTGAGAGAACTGAAAGGAGAAACAGGCAGACATATCCACTACTATAGTTGGAGACTTCAGCACACTTCTATCAGTAATTGCTGGATCAAGCAGGCAGAAAACAAGGATATAGATGACCTGAACAATAGCTATCAATCAAATTGATCTAATTAATAGTATCGAATTTTCTGCCTGGCAATAGCAGAATATTAATTTTTCTCAGGCTCTCATAGAATATTCTCCAAGACACAATAAATTCTGTGCTATAAAATACATTATATATACCATACAATTTTGAATAGAAATCATACGAAGTATGTTATGATACCACAATGCAATTAAACTAGAGAACAATGAACATTTTTAAAAAACTGGAAAATCTTGAAATCTCTGGAAATTAAACAAAACAGTTCTAAGAACAGGTGAGTCAAAGGAGGCTCAAAAGAAATTAAAAAAATATGTTCAACTAAATATTAGTGAAAACATAACATCAAAATTTGTGGGATATGGCCACATATGGGCAGGCACAGTGGCTCATGCCTGCCCAGCACTTTGGGAGGCTGAAGCTGGGGGATCACTTGAGGTCAGGAGTTTGAGGTCAACCTGGCCAACATGGTGAAATCCCGCCTCTACTAAAAAAAAAGAAAAACTACAAAAATTGTCCAGGTGTGGTGGCACCTGCCTATAATCCCAGCTACTCAGGAGGCTGAGGCAGTAGAATCACTTGAACCTGGGAGGCAGAGGTTGCAGCGAGCCAAGATCGTGCCACTGCACTGTAGCCTGGGTGACAGAGTGAGACTCTGTCTCAAAAAAATAAAAATAAATAAATAAATAACTAAAAATGTAGAATACCATAAAGCAGTGCTTAAAGGGAAATGTATAGCATAAGTAAATGTATTAAAAGAGAGATTCAAAATGAATAACCTAGACTTCCACCTTAGGAAAACAGAAGAGCAATTTAAGCCAAAAGTAATCAGGAAAAGAGAAATTTAAAAATTGGGCAACTTGGATGCAACTGGAGGCCATTATCATAGGTGAATAAATACAGGAACAGAAAACCCAATACCTCATGTTCTCACTTTTAAGTAGGAGCTAAACATTGAGGACACAAGGACATACAGATGGGAACAATAGACACTGGGGACTACTAGAGACTACTAGAGAAGGGGGGAAGGGGGTGGGGAGGAGGCTGTGGGCTGAAAAACTACCTATCAGGTACTGTGCTCACTGAGTGGATGACAAGATCATTTGTACCTCAAACCTCAGCATCACACAATATACTCAGGTAAAAAACATGCCCATGTACCCCCTGAATCTAAAATAAAAGTTGAATTTTTTTTAAAATTGGAGAAGATGTCAACAAAATTAAAAACAGGAAAACAATGGGGAAAATAAAGCCAAAAGCTATTTCTATGTAAAAATCAACAAAATTGATAAAGCCCTCACAAGGCTAAGCAAGAAAGAGAGAGAAGACACAAATTACCAATATAACTGATGAAAGAGTTATCACTATAGATTCTGCAGACGTTTAAAGGATGATAAAAGGATACTATGAAAACTGTTTTTCACGCAATTTGATAACTTAGATGAAATGAAGCAATTCCTTAAAATATGCAAACTACTGATATTTATAAAAGGAGAAATAGCACGAGTAGCCCTTTACATATTAAATATTTTGAATTAATGACAACCTTTCCAAAAAAAGGCACCATGCCAAGATGACTTCACAGTCAAAGCTCCAAAAAGTAACATCAGTGATCCATATTATTTTCCAGTAAGTGAAGGCAGAGGAAATGCTTCTTAACTCATTCTATGAGACCAGAATTCCCTATTACAAATATTACAAATCAGATAAAAATATTACAAGAGAGAAAAACTGCAGATCAATATCTCTCATGAACATATAGGTAAAAATCCTCAACAAAATATTAGAAGGACGAATCCAACAATGTGTAACAAGAACTATACACCATGGCCAATTAATATTCATTTCACAGATTCAAGGAGGGTTAAGCTTCAAAAATCAATATAATCTTGCATATCAATAAATTAAAGAAGAAAAATCATATGATTATACCATTGGATGCAGAAAAAGTATTTTACAAAATTTAAAACTGATTTATGATTTAAAATTTTTTTAAAAGCCTCTTGTCAAACTAGGAATAAAGCAGATAAAGGACAACCTGATAAAAACATCTATAAAATGCCTACAGATAATATCGCATTTAATGTTGAGAGACTGGTTAGTTAGCCTTAATGTTGGGAACAAGGCAAGGTTGTCCTCCTCTCTCACCACTCCTATTCACCCTTGTAGTATGGGTAGTAGCTAATGCAATAAGACAAGAAAAAGAAATAAAAGATATATAGATTGGAAAGAAATAAAGTTTATTTTCAGATGACATGATTGTCTACAAAAAAATTCCAAAACATCTGTTAAAAACCTCTGAAACTAATAAATAAATACAGCAAGGTCACAGGATGAAGTCCAATATATAATTGTTGCTTAATTATATGTCAGCAATAAACAATTATAATTTGAAATTTAAAAATAAAAAAATTAATAGTAGCACCTAAAAATAAAATTCTTGGGTATAAATCAAACAAAATATGTACAGGATTTAAGTGTGGAAAATTCTAAAACACTGATGAGAGAAATAAAAGATCTAAATGAATGGTATTGCATGTTCACAGATAGGAGGACTCAATATTCATAACGTGTCAATTCTCATCTTGCTCTATAAATTCAATGCAATTCTGATCAATGTTCCAGCAAGCAATTTTTTTTTTTTGAGACAGCATCTCACTCTGTTGCCCCAGCTAGAGTACAGTGGTGCAATCTCGGCTCACTGCAACCTCCACCTCCCAGGTTCAAGCACTTCTCCTGCTTCAGCCTCCTTAGTAGTAGCTGGGACTACAGGCACGTGCCACCATGCTCAGCTAATTTTTGTAATAGTAGAGATGGGGTTTCACCATATTGGCCAGGCTGGTCTCGAACTCCTGACCTCGTGATCCACCCACCTCAGCCTCCCAAAGTGCTGGGATTACAGGTGTGAGCCACCACGCCTGGCTCCAGCAAGCAATTTTATAGATACTGAAAACTAATTCTAAAGTTTATACAGAAAAGCAAAAGACAGAATAGTCAACATAGAATATTGAATAATAACAGATTGGAATACACACAGTTCTTTAAATGTAGGTTATACATGGTGACTTCCTTCCAAAAATAAAGTATGGAAAGATAAAAAAAATGTATAGAATTTTTTCTCCACTTCAGAGTGGAGGAATCTGACAAACACTATCTGAGTCAGGTAATTAAGATTAACATCATCAATGATGACAGTATGCCTTCTTGATATAATGTAATGAAAATGGTACTTTACCTTGTGAGGTTCTTCCCCAAGCCCCATTTTAATCTTGAGGAAAATATCAGACAAATCCCATTTGAAGGGCATTCTACAAAATACCTTACCAGTACTTTTCAAAACTGTCAAACTTATCAAAAACAAGAAAAATCTGAGAAACTGTTATAGTCAGGAGAAGTCTAAAGAGGCATGATGACTAAATGTAATGTGGCATCCTGATATGGCACTAAAACCAAAAGAGAACATTAGGTAAAAATGACAGAAACGTGAATGAAGTATGGACTTCCGTTAAACATAATGCATCCAGCTCGGTTAATTGTAACAAATGTACCATGCTAATGAAAGATGTGAATAATAGGGGAAACTGGGTGTGGAAATAGTAAAATATCCTGAGATGGGAGTTGGTGTTGAGCAGGACCATAGCCACTTCATCCTCTAAAACAGGAGAAAAATAAGTATGAACAGAGGTCTTTATTTTTTTCTTGAAGGAGAGAGTGGGGCAATTCAAGCCAGATTAGCCTAATTCATTTCTCTTTGTGAAGTAGGAGATCACATCATGTGATGGGAAACAATGTCAAAATGTTGGGCTAATTCAAGTGGGGATGTTTTGGGAAAGACATCAACAGAATGAGAATGAAATTTGCCAGAGGGAATGAAGAAGATCTGAGTGGGTCACTAAAATTATAATTCTCCAATCTGTCATAGCATTGACTCAGTGATTATATAGTATTCTCTAGGACCTCCAGGTCGATGAATATGAGTGCAGCATTGGCAAATTGCAGGACTGAGTGCTGGCTGGAAATTTGTAGGGCCAATGTAGCAGAAAGAGGGGCAAGGAAGTCAATTGAGATTTTGGGTGGGAGAATTTTTTAGGAAATCAGCTTGGAGTGGAGATGAAGACCATTAGAGGTGATGAGGTAGAGGAACCAGTAGGTTTAGATGAATAGATCATATACAGCAATCTCCTAGGCTGATGCTAGGGGTTGGCAAAGAATTACGGTAATGTGGGTGAGAGTTGGCGTGGTTTAACTCCATAGCTATTTTTTTAAAAATTTTCTCGAATTTCTTCAATCCCACTTAAATACAGTAACTAATCTGCATCGCAAAGCCTTCTACTTCTCTTATATTTTAGTATACGCTTGGCTGCATTTTAGATGACATACTCATATTCTAATTTTTCTAGGAATTCAGTAGGATTTAAAGGCTATGATGAAAGATAGTCTTGGCTTTGTGAGGATATCAGCTAAAACAAGTTAATAAAAAATTCTGGATGATCCATTTTTCTACATATTATACTTTGACAGAATTATTAGTGAATCCTGGAGTAAAGCACATTCTGTTGGCTCATGTAGAATAAATTCAAAATATGAGAAATTTAAAATGTTTTGTGTCTACACATAACCTGAATATAATTAAGGCCATTTCTAGAAATGATAAGATATACAACAGAAACTATTGACCCAAGTTGTTCTATTCCTTATAAGTTGGATCTGGATATGGATTGGTATAGTACTAACAATGCTCTTAAATACTGATGCAAGTTAGAATACTGAGCTTTAAGATGTAGTACTTGGAGTTGTAGAAGGGTGTAATGCAAAAGGAAAACAGAAGTTAAGCATGCATGTGGCAGACAGATGTTTAAGATAAGAGTCAGAAAATCTGAATTCCGTGCTCTGATTATTAAAGTCCTGCTTGGCCCTGAGTGACACTCAGGGTTGTAGTTCCATGACTCATAAATTAAGAGGATTGAAGAAAGTCATATCTTAGATCCTTCCTAACTATGAAATTCTATTACTTTTCTATGTCAAAAGCATATATTGCTTGTTTTTAAAAAATACTCGAAATGCCTGCATTTAATTTTTTTTGGCACCTTAATGAACCAATATATTACAATGATACAGACAAATCAGTGCCACAGTTGCACCAATCTTTATTAGCTTTCAAATCCAATCTAGACTTGCAATTATTTCATTCCATCTCTAAGTTCTTTGTATTGAGGCAGAAAAATGAAAACAAACTCTTTGAACAATGCTAGATCTTTCTGGAGAAGAGATGTTAAGAATGTAGATACGAGGCAGGGCACAGTGGCTCTGTAATCCCAGCACTTTGGGAGGCCGAGGCAGGTGGATCACCAGGTCAAGAGATGGAGACCATCCTGGCCAACATGATGAAACCCCGTCTCTACTAAAAGTACAAAAGTTAGCTGGGCATGGTGGTGTGCACCTGTAGTCCTAGCTACTAGGGAGGCTGAGGCAGGAGAATCACTTGAACCTGGGAGGCGGAGGTTGCAGTGAGTCCAGATAGCACCACTGCACTCCACCCTGGTGACAGAGCGAGACTGTCTCAAAAAAAAAAAAAAAAAAAAAAAAAGTAGATACCGCTTGTAATTGATTACCTTGTATCCAAATCTACATGTTTGGGACAGAAAATTACTTTGACCAACTTTGTTTTTTACCAAAAAACAAGGAACTGGAGGCTGAAGGCTCTCTAAGATAGCTAGAGTATCAACTATTTTTTCCCTGTGAATGAGATAATTCTACAAGGCTCTGGTTCTGCTCTTGCTTCTGGCAGCAGATCCAGTTTTCCATTATGGGTGGGGCATACACTAGCAAACATAGCTTTCATCCTGCTTCATCTCACTGTGTGAATGGAAGCTTCAATTTGAGAATTTTCCAGCTTTATACCAGAAATGTCATCACTCTCTCACCTTTTTTCTTCAAGACTTTAATCTGTTAAGTAAATAAGCAAACTGGTTCCAATATTGAAGCTTGTGACATTTGGCCAGTCACTCATCTCTAGGCTGAGTTGCTTCCTTACCCTCTGTGCCTTAGCCAGGCTATTGCTATCATATCAAAGGATCTTATCCTTTAGTCCATATTTATTAACCTTCTGGGTAAATTCTTTATATAGTGTTTAATCAGCAGCCTTTTGTAAAGTGTAAGTAAATTACAGACCACTTATCTGGGGGCAATCATCTGCCATTTTTCAGAGGAAACCAATTGGATTTCTTTTAAAATTGTTGGTAGAATGGGCCCATACAGGATACACTTAATTTAATCGCCTATTTTTGGTTGTTCTTTTATTACAAGTATGAATAGAATTTCTAGACTGCTATATACTTTCCTTTCTGCTGATGACTTGATAGTGGTCTGAAAAGCATGCATTTGGTGAGGGTCAGTCATGAAATAGTGCCTCCTAATTTCTATATTCACAGAAAGCACTTGGCAATTAAATTCCTTGGAAAGTCTTTAAACCTCTCCTCTGTTTCACAGGTCACTGTGTCATTCAACAGAGAAAAGCACTGTAGCAGTTTTATAGGATGGCAGAGGAAGGAGCCACTCTTACAGGGAAGAGAGCAGAGAACATTGGCTAAAGCAAATGTTAATGGCTTAATGGAGTTTTATACACTCAGCACCTTTGGTACTGAGATGTCCAGTAAAATCATTTGCTCCAGTTTTCTGAGGTTATTAGAAAGCTTTGGATTCTGTACTCTAAGAAACTTGATAGAGGCATTAAATATTTGATCAAATTAATTCATATGTTGCTCCTTTCTTTCTAGCAGTCTCTGAGCGTGTGCTGGGTGGCTATGTGCGAGGGGCTACCCTAAGCAATAAATTGTCTGGCCTGCTCATTTATTCCTCTGTGCGGAAGATTAGTACCATTTTGGGAACAGAGATGGTAAAGTCAAGAACTCCGTTGGAATTTGGGGAAGAATTGTTCTTATGTTTTTCTAATTTTCTTATAGAGCGACAAAGAATATTGTATATGACTCTCATTTTGGATTAGATCAGTCTGACATTCTGAGAAATATAAAAGTATTATAGCATTTTTAACTTTCAGTACAATAGTGCTGAATATTTTCCTGCACTGCACACCATTCTTAAACAGCTTCTCTTCTGACAAAAAGATGTATCTTGCAGCCCTAAATCAGCCTCTGACTGATGCTGACTTAATAATGGCATGAAGCCACAATTTTATTAGCTTTGAAATGGAGGAACCCCAAATAATTCATCATGATGTTATGAATTTAATTTCTTTTATTTTGCTCACAATGGCTGACAGAAAGCAGTCAGATACTCAGAACTACAGTAGAGCAATCATTTCCCCCTGGAATGATTACAACTCACAATTTAAATATATATGAACACATCTAGAAATAGTTTTGAAAATTAAGAATCTATATCTTCATCCTTTCAGCAAGTTTACTGGCCGCTTTCATGTCCTCTTTATTTTCCCCTTCTATTCCACCTTTTGACACTGGCCTTAGGAAGGAAGGACATAGGCTTTTGGTCTTTCAGGAATTAAATTTGGAGACTTTTCACAAATATTACTTGTGATTACTATGAAATCCACAAGATAAGCTGCCACCTTATTAAATTATCTGAGGAAAGCCCCAGCTTTTTAAATCTTCTTGACTGATTTTCTTTATATTCATCAAAATTTCTTTTAGATTTGGACATGGGTGAGATGCTTTTCTTGATTGTCTTAACCAGTGGCTGACTGGAGATATCGATTAATGCTCCTCCACTATTTTGCATGTTGGGTGTTTTTCTTCCCCTCTAAGCTCCTTCATCGGTTTTAACTATGTTTTAGCTTTTTCACCTCTAGCTAATGGAGATACTCCCAGGAATGTAGGCCGATGA
Source organism: Homo sapiens (assembly GCF_000001405.40). Lineage (NCBI taxonomy): Eukaryota > Metazoa > Chordata > Mammalia > Primates > Hominidae > Homo > Homo sapiens. The sequence continues at coordinate 153,231,168 of NC_000002.12, forward strand.
CATACAGGCTGGAATGGTGCCAGCAGACGCATTAGGTTTCTTCTCTCACCCCAAACCAATTGTCTCGAGTTTTCAAATGAGAATTTTGAAATTTGAACTCAGTTTAAAAAATAGAGGCAAATTAGCTCTAGAGTGTAGAGAGTTTGCATCTTTCTTGGTTTCTCACATTTATCCTTTTCTGGGGAGAGTTTACAGATGGAAAAGTGATATGATACTGATGTCAGTATGGAACAGGATTCTTATTTGAGCATGATCAAAGTCATGTTGTTTAAAGATTTTGCACTGCCTTTGCATCTTATTCTTAAGAGCATAATAAAACAGCTTAATATAATTTACAGAAAGTTTAATAGACATCAGAATAGACTATTGGGATTCTAGCCTAAATGTATATACTCATAACAGCATAGATATCCTTCAGTTAACAGAATAGGGTTTTCAAAATTTATCTTGTGGAATAAATGACAAAAACACATAATTTTTCAGCTGTTACGTTTATTTTTTTCTTATTTATTATTCTCTTAGCAAAGGAACCACAGAGCTGGTTCATAATTAGGATTATTTAGACATTTAAATATTGCCATTTTTATCTGGCTATGATTTTCTTGAATTTCAAAACAGCATATTTTTCCTAGCTGGGGATAAAAGGAAAATTTACCTCTTCTTTAAGCAGAGGTCCCACCAAGAAAGGGATGTTTAATTTAGTGGTCAAATTAGATTGGTTTCAGCATCTGTACTTGTAATCCTTGAGGGCCTGACCCTTGGAGACGATCTTGTCTCCCGATTGCATATGCCTTCTTATTTTTTGTGGTGCTGAGTGGCGGTTTTGAACTGCTGGAAAAAGAAATGTGAAAACGTGCACTGACCCTTGTCAATGCTCAGGAAGGATGTCAGAATAACATTAACCTTTCTTTTCAAGTTGAGCACCTGTTTTGTTTCTGTTTTGTTTTCAAATCAATTTCTATGCAACACAAATAAGTACTTTCATGTGTTCAGGAATGAATAGATTTTAGTAAAATAATCCATGGTGAAGACTTAGAAAATGATATCCATCATGCATAGCACTGAGAATGGGTTGCAAGGTCAGGAAACCTAAACCTTAAATTAACATCTGCATAAAGCAAGCTATTTAAAAACCATATATTCACTGATATTTTATAAATTCTTGGAGCCTGCTAAGAGAGAGGTTAATTGTCATTGTCATGTGGTACCTTCTAGGTGAAAGTGTTTCATTTCTATTATTTCTTTGGTAGAAATGCTACTAAAGTGAGTTTGCTTGTTTTATTTATAGCCTTCTTCTTTTAGAACACACTCACCACAGTGAAAGTCCAGTTATAATTTAAGACCTCGCTATAATTTCAGAGAATCTTAATCTATCTGCTCTCCTGTAAGGAAATTCATTGATCTCTGCAGTGAGTTGTATAATAGAAAAGTGACAATGCTCATAGTCATCAGCTCACTGGTGACTCATTCTGAGATGCTGGAGAAAGGCCTGAAGGTAGTAACTGAGGGGACTGGCTGACAGATTCTCAATATTTGGAATGTGGCTCTACCACTTAACGCTCTTAATCTGCTACACCAACAGTACATTGTCTTTCTTGGCAGCACTGGCCAGCTACCCTATGTTGAGGAGGCTCATTCTGAACCAGTGGCTCCAGGAGACTCTTCTCAACTCAAGTTCTCACCAGCTTAGTGCTGTAGTTCACAGTGGTCTCCTTTACTGGTTGGGATCCCAGGGCTGCTCCCATCCATTATGTCTCTTTGAAAAAGATGCTTATAAAAGCCTTTCATTTGTGACTCCAACAAGTCACCTGTATCCCTTGACCTGTAGAATAGTTTCTGGATGGTACACAGTCAGCACTAATCAGAAATTAGAAACCGTGGCTCTCACACTACATCTGGCCTACAAATACACTTTTTGTTTGGCTTTTAGAGTGTGAAATATTTTTGAATTAGTTTATAAGATTTAAAAATTAGAAGCTTCCACGTTAAAACTTTAAAGTCTAAAATCATTTTGCCTTCCTTGAAAAATAAAAATTATTGCAAAATCAGAAGTTGGCATGGTTCTTACATGGCCACCATATTTCAGTGGTGAGTGGCAATTGCTTCCTTTACACAGGTCATATTCTCTCCAGCCTTCCACAGATCCCATACTTCTTAGGATTCTACTTGTGTTAATATTTTTTATTCCTATAGACATTCACATATATGTAGGACTTCTGCCTAAAACTCTATCTATCTAGAGGATAGTTCACAGGCTCTCAGCCTGCAGACCCATTCGTGCCTTTAGAGCTATTCTCAATATAATAATACCTTATTTTTAAAAAAAAAAACTGCTTGTAGTTCAATGGTCTATTTATCTGTGATCTATGATCTATTTATCTATCTATTGCATTATGTGGATTATGACTTTAATATAAACCTACTATTCCTGAACTACTTAAATTCCTAAACTACTTTTTATGTATGAGCCAATGTAAAAAGAACGCAGTCAGACTTAGGGGCAAATAATATATTTACATTAAATGAAGGCTAAATGCCATGTAATAGTCTCTGCATGAGGCTTCATAGTAACTTAATTTGAAAGAGAAGATGGCAGAAATGAATCATCACCTGACATTAGGTTTGTAGCAGGTCTTAGGAGAACCTGCCCAGAAGCAGTCAATGCCGTGTTTCCTTGGAGGGCAGAAATTTATTTCCAGCAAAATAACATTAACTGCCACATTATATTAATTTTGCTAACTAGAATTATATTTGTATGTAGTTTCTATTTAATGTATACATTTAGTTGGGTTCTACAGATGTTTAAGAATAGTTACAAAAATGTATAAAAGAAGCTTATAACTAATTTCATGGTAGTACAATTTAAGTCACATAATTTAAGCCATGGTTCAGGAAAATAAACACTTTTAAAAAGGGTTTACTGAATTCTCAAATTTGAAAACCTCTATTTTGATGTCATTGATTAAATTGCCTTCTCTTTATGTAGCATTAGGATTTGGTTTGCTTGATTTGAGAAGGGGTTGCATTCCATGCATTTGGGTCTCTACCCTGAAGCCCAGCCCAGGAGATAGGCACCAGCTGCAGAACAGGCCTGAGTTAACAAAGACAGACATGAGAAGAGTATGGATGAAGGCCAAATCTTGGGAGTTGGGAGGAAGCCACAGAAGTAATGATCAAAACTAGGCTGCAGAGTTGAATTTAGGATTTAGGTCATATGAAAGGCAATCAGTGAGAGCAGGGCTGTGGCATCCTGGGCAGCTGTTTGGTACTCTAGCTGGTCCCACCTTTATGGGTGTGAGAAGAATGCCATGTCACTGGAGTAGCCTGGCTAAAAAACAATGGAGATCCGCAGATAGACACAATGATGTTATTAGCAGGCTCTTCAGTGGAAATTCTTCTCAGGGACTAATTTAAATCCCCAAGAATTACATTAGTAAGCATCTCAAGGGAATACCATAATATCATCTACATAAGGATATTTTTTCATCTGTCTGCCTCCAAAGCATGGGTCTACTGAGCCTCATGTATTACATGTGCTCTCATATTTCCTTAAGGAGGACCTTACTGAGCTTTATGATTAGAATGCAGCACATTGTCCTGAGGTCACTTATTTCTCTCTTCACATCTAATTTTGAAAGGTCACTGGACCACAAAATAATCCTGACTATCTCATAATTGTCTGAGCCAGGCATATAAGGCTAAATTTCAATTACAGGCATATGCCATTTTATTGTACTTCGTAGCATTTGTTCAACAGCATGTGCTTGCTTTGTGTCTCTGGGTCACATTTTGGTAATTTTAGCAATATTTCAAACTTTTTGTTAGTATTATATCTGCTATGGTGATCTGTTATCAGTGATCTCTGATGTTACTGTCATAATTGCTTGGAGCACCATGAGCTGGACTCATGTAGTATGGGAAACTGAATTAATAAACATGTGTGTGTTTAGACTGATCCACCAACAACAGGTAGTTGCCCTCTGTCTCTTCTTCTCCTCAGGCCACCCTATTCTGAGACATAACAATATTGAAATGAGGTCAATTAATAACTCCACAATGTCCTCTAAGTATACTCAGTGGCCCAGTTCAGGTTTTTGACTTTGCTGCACAAAAGAATTTGAGAGTGAGTCCAAAGTAAAAGTAAGCAAGAGAGTTTATTACAAAGCAAAAGTACACTCTGATGGCTGCTCAAAGTGGGATGCTCAAAGGTGAGACAGCACCAACTGACACTTGGGAAACTCTCCTTATGGGAGTCTTACATGATTCTTCATGAAGGGGTGGGAAGAAGTGCTGCTATTAAGCATATTCTGGGTGGTCTGCTGGCAGCACATGTGCTGTGGCTGTAAATGCTAGTACATGTATCGCATGCCTCACTGGCATCTTAAATCTCCACCCAGGGGCATCTTTTTTACTATTATAGTGAGCATAGGTCAGCCCAAGGTAACTACTCATGAATTTCTGCACTTGTGTGAATCTGGGGATTTTCCCTTCTGTTCTTCCACCCCCTTGCTAAAGGATGGTCTAACCATGAACCCAGGATGTGGTTTGTGCACTGTCAGGTGGTTTGTTCTCTTCATCTGTTTAACAAGTTTATTCCCCTTTAAGGGAGGCTATGACCACCCTATCTAACCAACCTCATAAGTACTCAAGTAAAAGGAAGAGGCACACATATCTCACTTAAATCACAAGCTGGAAATGATTAAACTTAATGAAAAAGCATGTTCAAAGCTGAGATAGACTGAAAGCTAGGCCTCTTGTGCCAAGCAGTCAAGTTGTGAATGCAAAGGAAAAGATCCTGAAGAAAATTAAAGGTGCTACCTTAGTGAGCACATAAATGACAGAAAGTGAAGTCATTTTATGGCTGATATGGAGGAAGTTTTGGTGGTCTGGACTGAAGATCAAACCAGCCACAAAATTCCCTTAAGCCAAAACCTAATCTAGAACAAGGCCTTAACTCTCTTCAGTTCTTTGAAGGCTGAGAGAAGTGAGGAACCTTCAGAAGAAAAGTTTGAAGCTAACAGAGGTTGGTTCATGAAGTTAAGGAAAGAAAATGTCTCCATAACATAAAAGTGCAAGGTGAAGCAGCAAATGCTGACATAGAAGCTGGAGCAAGAGATCCAGAAGATCTAGCTAAGATCATTGATGAAGGTGGCTACACTAAACAACAGGTTTTTAATGTAGATGGAACAGCTTTATATTGGAAAAAGAGGCCATCTAGGACTTTCATAGCTAGAGAAGAGAAGTCAGAGACTGGCTTCAAAGCTTTAAAGGACAAGCTGACTTTCTTGTTGGGGGCTAATGCAGCTGGTGACTATAAGTTGAAACCAACACTCATTTACCATTCCCCAAATCCGAGGACCCTTAAGAATTATGCTAAATCTATTCTCCTTGCATGTGCTCTATGAATGGAGCAACAAGGCCTGTATGACAGCATATATGTTTACAGTATGGTTTGCTGAATATTTTAAGCTGACTGTTGAGACCTACTGCTTAGAAAAAAAATATTCCTTTAAGAATATTATTGATCATTGACAATGTTCCTGGTGACCCAAGAGCTATGATGGAGATGCACAAGGAGATCAATGTGTTTCTTGTCTGCTAACACAACGTTCATTCTGCAGCCCATAAATCAAGGAGTAATTATTACTTTCAAGTGTTATTATTTAAGAAATACATTTCATAAGGCTATAGGTATAATTCCTCTGATGTACCTGAGCAAAGTAAATTGAAAACTTTCTGGAAAGGATTAACCATTCTAGGTGCCATTAAGAAGATTTGTGATTCATGGCAAGGAGTCAAATATCACCATTAATAGGATTTTGGAAGAAGTTAGTTCCAACACTCATTGAAAACTTCAGGAGTTTCAAGACTTCAATGGAGGAAGTAACTGCAGATGTGGTGGGAATAGCAAAAGAACTAGAATTAGAAGTGGAGCCTGAAGTTGTAACTGAATTTCTGTAATCTTATGGTTAAACTCGAACTGATGAGGAGTTGCTTCTTATGGATGAGCAAATAAAATACGTTTTTCCTCTTAAAAATTTTTTTGGGTACATAGTAGCTATATATATTTATGGGGTACATGAGATATTTGATACAGACATACAATGTATAATAATTACATCAGGGTAAATGGGGTATTCATCACCTCAAGCATTTATTCTTTCTTTGTGTTAGAAACAATCCAGTCATCTTTTTGTTATTTAAAAATATACAATAAATTATTGTTGCCTGTAATCACCTATTATGCTATCAAATACTAGATCTTATTCATTCCACCTGACTATATTTTTGTACCCATTAGCCATCCCCACTACCCTTCTCAGCCTCTGGTAACCATCATCCTACTGTCTGTCTCTATGAGTTCGATTATTTTAAATTTTTAGCTCCTACCAATAATTGAGAACATGCAAAGGTTTTCTTTATGTGCCTGGCTTATTTCACTTAACATAATGACCTCCACTTCCATCCATGTTGTTGCAAATGATTGATAGAATCTCATTTTTTTAATGGCTAAATGGGACTCTGCTGTGTATATGTACCATATTTTCTTTATCCATTTGTCTGTCAATAGCCACATAGGTTGATTCCAAATCTTGGTTATTGAGAATAGTGCTGCAACAAACATGGGGGTGCAGGTATCTCTTTGATATAATAATTTCTTTTCTTTTGGGTATATATACCTAGCATTGGGATTGCTGGATAATATGGTAGTTCTATTTTTAATTTTTGAGAAAACTCAAAACTGTTCTCCATAGTGATTGTACTAATTTACATGCCCACCACCAGTGTATGACAATTCCCTTTTCTGCACAATCTTGCCAGAGTTTGTTTTTGCCTGTTTTTTGGATAAAAAACCATTTTAACTGGGATGAGATGATGTCTCATTGTAGTTTTGATTTGCATTCCTCTGATGATCAGTGATATTGAGCAGCTTTTCATATACCTGTTTGCCATTTGCATGTCTTCTTTTTGGGAAATATCTATTCAAGTCTCTTGCTCATTTTTAAATCTGATTATTAAATTTTTTCTTATTGTTTCAGCTCCTTATATATTCTGACTATTAATCCTTTGTCAGATGGGTAGCTTACAAATATTTTCTCTAATTCTGTGGGTGGTTCTCTTCACTTTTTTGATCATTTATTTGCTGTGCAGAAGCTTTTTAACTTGATGTTATCCCATTTGTCCATTTTCACTTTGTTTGCCTGTGCTTGTGGGGTATTACTGAAGGAATCTTCACCTAGTTCAGTATCCTGGACAGTTTCCCCAGTGTTTTCTCTATGAGTTTTACAGTTTGATGTCTTAGATTTAAGTCTTTAATCCATTTTGATTTGAGTTTTATATATGGCAAGAGATAAGGGTCTAGTTTCATTCTTCCGCATGTGGATATCCAGTTTCCCCAGCATTATTTATTGAAGAGACTGTCTTTTCCCCAGTGTATTGCTCTTGGCACCTTTGTAGAAAATGAGTTCACTGTAGGTGTGTAGATTTCTCTGTGGGTTCTCTATTCTGCTCCATTAGTCTATGTGTCCATTTTTATGCCAGTATCATGCTGTTTTGGTTACTATAGGTTACTATAGCTCTGCAGTATAATTTGAAGTCAGGTGATGTGATTCCTCCAGTTTTGCTCATTTTGCTCAGAATGCTTTTGGCTATTCTGAGTCTTTTGTAATTCTATATAAATGTTAAGATTGCTTTTTCTATTGCTGTGAAGAATTTCATTGGTATTTTGACAGGGATTGTGTTGAATCTGCAGATTGCTTTGATTAGTATGAACATTTTAACAATATTGATCCTTCCAATCCTTGCACATGGAATATCTTTCCATTTTTTTAGTGTCCTGTTCAATTACCTTCAATGTTTTATAGTTTTCTTTGTAGAAATCTTTCACTTTGGCAACTTTATTCCTAGGTATTTTATTTTATTTGTAGTTATTGTAAATGGGATTACTTTCTTAATTTCTTTTTCAGATTTTTCACTGTTGGCATATAGAAATGCTACAGATTTTAGTATGGTGATTTTGTGTATTGCAACTTTACTGAATTTATCAGTTCTAATGTTTATTTCTTGTTGGCGTTTTTAGTTTTTTTCAAACATAAGAACCCATCATCTGCAGGCAAGAATAATTTGCCATCTTCCTTTCCAATTTGGACGTGCTTTATTTCTTTCTGTAGTCTGATTGCTTTAGCTAGGACTTTCACAGCAATATTGAATAACAGTGGTAAAACTGAGCATTGTTTTCTTATTCCAGATCTTAGAGAAAAGGCTTTCAGTTTTTGCCCATTCAGTGATACTATGTGTCTGTTTCAAATGGCTTTTATTGCGTGGAGGTATGGTCTTTCTATTCTTTGTATTTTGAGTGTTTTTAACATGAAGGGATGCTGAATTTTATCAAATGCTTTTTCAGCATCAGTTGAAATAATCTTGTGGTTTTTATCCTTCACTCTGTTCATATGACATATCACATTGATTTGTGTATGTTGAACTATTCTTGTATTCCTTGGATAAGTCACACTTAGTCATGATGAATAATCTTTTTAATGTATTGTTAAATTTAGTTTGCTAGTATTATGAGGATTTTTGCATAAGTGTTAAACAAAAATATTGGCCTACAGCTTTCTTTTTTTTTGATGTGTCTTTGCCTGGTTTGGTATCAGGTTAATATTGGCCTCATAGAATGAGTTTGGAAGTATTGCCTCTATTTTTCAGAATAGTTTGAGTAGTTTTGGTATTAGTTCTCTTTTAAATGTTCAGTAAATATCAGCAGTGAAGCCTTCAGGTCTGTGGCTTTTCTTTACAGGGAGACTTTGTGTTACAGCGCCAATCTCATTACTTGTTACTGATCTGTTCAGATTTTGGACTTCTTCCTGGTTCAATCTTGGTAGGTTGGTTATCTAGCAACCATTTATCCATTTCTTCTAGGTTTTTCCAATTTGTTGGCATATAGTTGCTTATCTTAACCTCTAATAGTCCTTTAAACTTCTGTTTTGTGAGTTGTAATGTTTCCTCTTTCATCTCTGATTTTATTTGGATCTTCTCTCTTTTTTTCTTAGTTCTGTGGGCTAAAGATTAATCAATTTTGTTTATTTTTTTTAAATCAACTTTTTAGACTGATTTGAGTAATAATAAAACTCCAGTCTCTCACATGGCTGGCTCTGTGTGAATTGCTCTTTCTGTATTGCAATTTCCCTGTCTTAATAAGTTGGCTTTGTCTAGGCAGTGGGCAAGGTGAACCCATAGGGTGGTTACAAATTTGGGGCTCATCCAGGATTGCTCTTGTGGCTACCTGCTTGTGGTTCAGTAGCCCTGCCTCTGGTGATAGATCAGAGGCCAGTTGAAGTATCCACTTTGTACTGTTGGTCTTGGGGGCTCACTCTGATACTGTCTGTACTGGCAAGGTGCTGCCAACCCAATGTGCATGGATTTAATTGCAATAGAGAAATAGACCTGGGGAGACATCCCATAATTGTAACCCTATCACAGGATGTTTGTCTGTAGCTTCATGGCGAGGTTTATGTAACTGCAGCCCTATCACATTGTGTCTGTCTGTAGGCTGGTCATAGGGTATCTGTCTGTAGTCCAGTCATGGAGTGTCTGTAGCTGTAGCCCCATTACAGGGTGTCTGTAATGAGTATCCTAGGTGCTGCCAATGCCTTCTTTCTTCTCCTGATTGGTTTGGGTCCTTAGGGGATCTTGGGTTTTCTGTAGCCCCATGGTGGGGTGTCTGTCTTAGTTCAGATCCTTCAGGGTTTTCAGTTGGCGCTCCCTAATTAGTAGGAAGAGTCTTGATTCAGGAGACTTTTCCTCAATCAGAAAGATTTCAGGGAGATTTCCAGACAAAGAACAGGAGAATACTTAGAAAGGGATACTCTTAAAGTTCTTGGTTAGGGATCTTGATTTGGAAGGCCTTCTGTCCGTCTTGTCTTTGTGTGTGTTTGTATATGTGGAGGGGATCTCAAAAGGAATTGCTGATGGAAGTCCAGCAGGCCTAACTCAGAAAACCCTCCTTATTTGTCTGATCACATTCGGTGAGCTCTAAAGAAAGCTCAGCAGGCCTGACGAGGGGAGACTATCCACTCTTCGTCTTGCCCAGAGAGCACTCACTGAATTACCAGTTGGATCAAAACCAACAGGGACCAATGGGAGAAAGTTTGAGACTTGCCACATCAGTACTGAGTGCTAAACAAGGTGACTAGTGTCTGTTTTGTTATGTGCATTTTGCTTTGGCTGGGATGGAAAATGCTAATTTTGTTCCCCATGCAGCTTTGGGCAGTATCTTGCAAAATTGAGAACCTTTTGCCTATGTTTCCATAAAACAGAAAAGGATGATTTTCTTTTTGAAGGTGGCTTGACCTCCATAGCTATGGCACAGTGAGCTGGGTCCTTCAAACGCTACTCCATTTTCCTGGAAGCTGCAGAGAAAAGGAGCCCAGAAACCTGGTATACCAGCAAAATGTGTAAAAAATTCTTACAAGCCAAGTTCTGTGTGTGTATGTGTATGTGTGTGTGTGTGTAGGTGGTAAATGTCACTATTTGTCTCTTCTGCAAGTATCTGATTAATTGAAAAAAGGATTTGTGAGACTAGTCTTAGGCTGTAGCAAATCTGGTGCACTCTATTCTATGATACCCCTCTCCCCCTTATAGAAAGAATTTGTCTTTCTGTAATGGGGAGAGGGGTATCATAGAATAGTATGTGAGTTTAGGATCCCTGTAAGCCTGCTTTTCAAGCCAGCATGACAGGCTGGTCAGTTATGAACTTTGCTGTGGGTGCCTGAAACCAATACCAGATGAAATTTCTCCATCTTGTTTTGTGTCCTTAAGAGCTTAACCTTGTGACCATGTGGGGATACTTGTCGTGGTTTCACCATCCAGAGGACAGCAATTTGGGGGCTCATGTCATAGTCAGCCCTAGAAATTATCTTGAACAATTAAAAGCCTTTGCAAGCTTGAAACTGGCTGCTCTAGATTTCTGGGAAAAGCAATAGAAACTGCTCAATGCTGTGTAGCTCAGTAGCTAAGCCTTTATCTTTTGGTAATGGTGGCCCAGGTTTAATTCTCAGCTTCTGGAATGATTCTATTCTGGCTTATTATTTGTGTAACTGCCATTTATTGAGCTTCCCACCCACACCCATCATGGATAGCTTCTGATTTCCTGTCTTGAATTTTCCTTTCTCTGAACTATGCTTGAGGAGATTCCAAATCTAGAAAGAAAGAAAGAAAGGAAAAGGAAAAGGAAGGGAAAGGGGAAGGAAAGAAACTGCTTACTATATCTCTTTGAGACACCATATGCATCCATGGTTAAGCCATAATCTTAGTTAAAACTTATTAATTTCATGTGGGAAGTTACCTTTGATAGAATTCAAAAGGCAGAAATATTGACTGTCCTGGCTAGAAGTCTGGTAATAAGAGATTTTAGAAGATTTTTTAAAGAGAGCTCTATGGTTAAAATGTGCTTCATTAAAAATGGATATCCAAGCTATATGTATTTAGAAGGACTTAATTTTTTTCCTCCTGTTGAATCATGTTTTTCTGAAAAAAGTGTTTCTTCTCAGTCAGCTGAATTGTTTTTCTCCATTTTATCTTCTTGCCACTGTTGATGCCCACATGGGAGAACCTAAGATAATTATTAACAGCCTGGGACTCCTGGGGAAAAACAGAGGGGGCACCACAGACCCCATTCTGGGAAAAAATGTTTTCCTCATGGAACCCCAGGAATTGAAGGAAAATAAATCCCTCAAAATCTAAGGCTCTGTTCTGTTTTGCATTGCATTAGCTGATGGTTTTGACTTTTGGGATTATCGAAAATTACTTTGCGTTATGGGAGAGTTTTCAGTCTTGGTGTGTAATAACTAGGTAGAAAATATACTTTAAGGGATGGCTAATATCAGTTGTGGAGGTATATTTGACTCTTCACATGCTTGGATCAGAGAAGCATGCTCTTGGTCACCTGGGTGATATGCACACATCCCCACCCTCCACTGAGAGATGAGACACCAATGGGTGATGGGCTGATTACAAAATAGGCTGATTGGCTTTGGGTTGCCTGTAATGGAATGCATGGTAGAAGGACTGCACTATCTTCTCCCATAGGATTTCCCTCCTTCTGGGGGATCCAGGATCCAGGATCCAGTATAAAATGGCACCCTTAATTCTAGGGATCTGTTTTACCTACCTTGGAGCATTAGATTCTAGATATGGCCTGGGGACATGTGGAGTTAACCTTGCCCCTAGCTATGCTGAAAGCAGTCAGACCTTATCTACACTTCTGTCTGATATTCTAGGCCCCACACCTGGTATATAATTAAACTTGTTTACTTATCAGATTTTTCATCAAAAATAAAAGTTGCTAAGAGTTAACATTGTAACATGTAATTCAGACTACTGGAGAAACAGTTTTAACATACAACGTGTGTAAAGGAAGCAGAATGTGTTTTTGCAAGTAGACTATAAGAAGGCATGGGAATGTGGTTTTTGCCTGGTTTAGAAAGTTAGAGGATTGCTCTGATTTAAAATAAAGTTGAAGGTTTAGGCAAGGCTTGTGAAGGGTTGATCTTGCAAAGCATGTTCTGTGGGTATGAGCAAGTTGGATAAGATTTGAAGGGGATTATTTCATTTTTTTTTCATAGTCATTGAACATTAAAATGAAAACACACTGATGCAGGGTGAGAATCTGAGCCCATGTACCTGAATAACAGGGTTTTCTTAGAAAATTGATCTGTTTAATGGAAAATTGTATAGGGTTCTAAAAGATTTATGAAAATCTTACATATGGTCAAATGAATTAAAATTGGATAGATTTATACAATTTTATTAAAAACTAGCATTATTATTAAAGATGCACTAATGCAAACATGAAATTTGGTTTTCCCTCTTGAAAACTATTTTTATGTACTATTGAGAAAAAATGAAAGATTTTTGTTTGTTTTTAAAGTAAACTCCACAAAAATTGGGGGGAAGGGAACGAGAAGAGACAGATTCAGTTGGCCTCATGCTATCTACATTGGGTCTTGTTTGGAAAGCTGTCTCCTCTATCAGAGTAAAGGTTTTTCTTTTCTATCATTTTGGAGTTCTCATTTTGTTCAGATGAATGACTTATGATGACCTGGGATTCTATTTTGTGGTATCCAGTGTTTTAAACCTTTGATATCTGACAAACTTCCCCAAATCAAATTATAAATTGTGTTTCTGAAGAGGGGCCAAGATGGCCAAATAGAAACAGCTCTTGTCTGCAGCTCCCATTGAGACCAATGCAGAAGGTGGGTGATTTCTGCATTTCCAACTGAGGTACCAAGTTTATCTCACTGGTACTGGTTAGGCAGTGGGTACAACCCACGGAGTGTGAGCAGAAGCAGGGTGGGGTGTCACTTCACCTGGGAAGTCCAAGGAGCTCCCTCCCCCAGCCAAGGGAAGCCATGAAGGACTGTGCAACTAAGGCCAGATGCTACGCTTTTCCCATGGTTTTTGTCTGGAGATCAGGACTGGGGTTCCAGGTGCCACTGGGTACAAAAAATACCTTTGCAGCTAGCTTGGTGCCTGCCCAAACAGCCACCCAGTTTTGTGCTTGAAACCCAGGTGCCTGGTGGTGATCCTACACCTGGAACCCCAGCAAGACAGAACTGTTCACTGCCTTGGAAAGGGAGCTGAAGCCAGGGAGTCAAGTGGTCTCATTCAGTGGGTCCTGCTCCCATGGAGCCCAGCAAGCTAAGAACCACTGGCTTGAAATTCTCACTGCCAGCAGAAGTCTGGAGTCCACCTGGGATGATTGAGCTTGGTGTGGGGATGGGCATCCACCATTACTGAGGCTTTAGTAGGCTGTTTTCCCCTGACAGTGCTAAGGAGACTGAGAGGTCTGAAGTGGGCAGAATTTGTGTGGCAAAGCCGCTGTGACCAGACTGCTTCTCTAGATTCCTCCTCACTGCGCAGGGGATCTCTGAAGGAAATGCAGCAGCCCCAGTCAGGGGCCTACAGATAAAGCTCTCATCTTCCTGGGACAGGGAACCTGGGACAGAAAGGGACAGCTGTGGGCACAGCTTCCTCAGACTTAATTTTTCTTGCCTGGTAGCTCTGAAGAGAGCAGCTGATCCTGACAAGGAGGATTCTCGCAGCACAGCACACCAGCTTTGCTAAGGGACAGACTGCCTCCTCAATGGGTCCCTGACACCTGTGCCTCTTGACTGGGAGAGGCCTCCCAACAGGAGTTGCCAGACACCTCATACAGGAGAGCTCTGGCTGCCGTCAGGCTGGTGCCCCTCTGGCACAAAGCTCTCAGAGGAAGGATCAGGTAGCAATCTTTGCTGTTCTGCACCCTCCACTGGTATTACCCAGGTGAACAGTGTCTGGAATGGACCTTCAGCGAACTGCAGCTGACCTGAAGAAAAGGGGCCTGACTGTTCGAAAAAAACTAACAAACAGAAAGCAACAACAATATCAACAGAAAAGACCTCCCCCCCTCCCAACACACACAAACTCCATCCAAAGTTTATCAGCCTCAAAGATCAAAGGTGGATAAATCCATGAAGATGAGGAAAAACCAGTGCAAAAACACTGAAAATTCCAAAAACCAGAATGCCTCTTCTTCTTCAAATGATTGTAACTCCTCTCCAGCAAGGGCACAAAACTGGATGGAGAATGAGATTGATGAATTGACAGAAGTAGGCTTCAGAAGGTGGGTAATAACAAATTCTTCTGAGCTAAAGGAGCATGTTCTAACCCAATGCAAGCAGGCTAAGAATCTTGATAAAAGGTTACAGGAAATGCTAACTAGAATACACAGTTTAGAGAACAACATAAATGACCTGATGGAGCTGAAAAACACAGAATAAGAACTTCGTAAAGCATACACAAGTATCAATAGCTTAATTGATCAAGCAGAAGAAAGAATATCAGAAATTGATGATCACTTTGCTGAAATAAAGTGTGAAGACAAGATTGGAGAAAAAAGGAAAAAAAAAATGAACAAAGCCTCCAAGAAATATGGGACTATGTGAAAAGACTAAACCTATGATGGATTGGTATGCCTGAAAATGACGGGGAGAATGGAATCAACTTGAAAAACATACTTCAGGATATTATCCAGGAGAACTTCCCCAACCTAGCAAGACAGGCCAAAATTCAAATTCAGAAAATACAGAGAACACCACTAAGATAGTCCTCGAAGAGATCAAGCCCAAGACACATAGTCACCAGGTTCTGAAAGGGTGAAACAAACGAAAAACTGTTAAGGGCAGCCAGAGAGAAAGATCAGGTCACCTGCAAAGGAAGCCCATCACACTAACAGTGAATCTCTCTGCAGAAAACCCACAAGCAAGAAGAGAGTGGGGGCTAATATTCAACATTCTTAAAGAAAACAATTTTCAACCCAGAATTTCATATCCAGCCAAACTAAGCTTCATAAGTGAAGGAGAAGTAAAACACTTTACAAACAAGCAAATGCTGAGGGATTTTGTCACCACCAGCCCTGCTTACAAGAGCTCCTGAAGAAAACACTAAATATGGAAAGGAAAAACTGGCACCAGCCACTGCAAAAACATCCCAAAATATAAAGACCAATGACACCATAAAGAAACTGCATCAACTAATGTGCAAAATAACCAGCTGGCATCATGATGAAAGGATCAAATTCATACATAACAATGTTAACCTTAAATGCAAATGGGCTAAATACCTCAATTAAAAGACACATGCTGTTAAATTGGATAAAGTGTCAAGACCCATCACGGTGCTGTATTCAAGAGACCCATCTCACATGCAAAGACATACATAGGCTCAAAATAAAGGGATGGATGAATATTTACCAAGCAAATGAAAAGAGAAAAAAAGCAGGGGTTGCAATCCTAGTCTCTGATAAAACAGGCTTTAAACCAACAAAGATCAAAAAATAAAAAAAGCATTACATAATAGTAAAGGGATCAATGCAACAAGAGCTAACTATCCTAAATAATATGCACCCAATACAGAAGCACCTAGATTCATAAAGTTCTTAGAGACCTACAGAGAGACTTAGATTCTCACATAATAATAGTGGGAAAC